>NC_000004.12:152254714-152557744 GCF_000001405.40 Homo sapiens | reverse complement strand
AGTGAGTGCAACTTGATTGAATGCTGGTTTGAAAACACTGTAGATACCACTAGGGAAAATTTGAATAGGATTGAATACAAAATGACAATAAAGAATCACTGTTAATTTCCTTGGGTGTAAAAATTGTATTACTTTTTATGTAGAAGCCTAGCCTAATGTTGCATTTTGAAGCATTTAGGGGTAAAGTGTCACAGTTGCTATAATTTATGTTTAAATGGTTCTGGAAAATATCTAAATAAAGCAATATGGAAACACTTTAACAACTGTTGAATCTATATAGTAGGAATATGGGTTTCCTACATAGTAGGACTATTTCAACTTCTCTGTATGTTTGAACTATTTAATAATAAAAGTTGGGAGGAAAATAGGACAGAAAATTAAAAATTGGGACTGTCCTGGAAAATGTAGGCTGTAATCAATCACCAAGTCCTTTTCCTATCAGTGTCTAACTTCTCACTGGTATCTTCTCTATATTCAATCTCAGCACTTCACACCTGATTTAGAGTAAGCATATACCCTAAACAAAAGTAATAAACTTTGACTTTCACCTCACATCATATGCAAAAAGTAACTTAAATTTGATCATAGGGCCTACATGCAAAAGCTAAAAATACAAAAAATTAGCTGGGCCTGGTGGCTCATGCCTGTAATCCCAGCTACTCATGAGGCTGAGCCAGGAGAATCCCTTGAACTTCAGAGGCAGAGGTTGCAGTGAGCTGACATCGTACCACTGCACTCCAGCGTGGGCGACAGAGCAAGACTGTGTCTCAAAACAAACACACAAACAAAAAAACCTATAAAATTTCTAGAAGAAAACAGAGGGAAAAATCTCAGTGACTGGGGGTTTGACAAAGATTTCTTAAATATAACACAAAAAGCTTGGACTATAAAAGAAAGAAAATCAATCAATTGGGCTTCATAAAATTAAAATACAAATTAAAACCACAGGGAGATACCATCACACGCCTGATAGAATGGATAATAGTAAAAAGACTGACCAAACTAAGCATTGATGAGAATGTGGAATTCTCATGTACTGCTGGTGGGCATGTAAAATGACACTCTGAAGAATGGTTGAACCATTTCTTTACAAATTACATACATACCTGCCAAATGTAAATGTATATGAATACTTATGCAGCCATTCAACCCTTAGGTTTTTCTCTCAAGAAAAACGAAAGCGAAAGTCGAAACAAACATGAGTCCACAAATGTTCCTAGTAGCTTTATTTGTAATAGCCCCAAACTGGAAACAACTCAAATATCCATCAACAGGTGAACAGAAAAACAAATTGTGATAGACCCACACAATGGAACTCAGCAATTAAAAAAAAAACAATCGTTGATACAGGAGGGAAAGAAACCAACTCAAAATAATTACGCTAAGTGAAAAAATCCAGACCAAAAAGATTTGTCTAATTATTTCCTTGTGATGGTGTTTAACTTACACCTCTATGTTTTGGAAGTTAGGCCTAAAGGCTTGATTTATTTTTGGCAAGAATACTTCCTAGATCATGCTGGGTCCTTCGTATTGTATCACATGAGGAGGTAAATAGGCTGTTTCACTGGGTGATGCTAAATTTGACTGTGTGTTTAAGGTGGTGATTGCTAGATCTCTTTCCTATGAAGGTATATTTTTTCCTTAGCAATTAGCAAGCAATCTGTGTGCTGTGCTTTAACCACAAGTGAATATCTTGTTTGGCATTTACTTTTTCCTAACAGTTTTAGTGTCCATTGGTAATCCTTGCCTAAATTGATTATTCCATTGTTTGTTTGTTTGTTTGTTTGTTTTAAAAAAGGATTGATTTTAAACATTCTGTTATTTCTTCTCGATGCATTAGCTGTTTTCTTCTTAGGCAATTGAAACCGAAAAGTTTTTGAATGGAACAACTTTTTCATGTTTGATTCCCTTGACAAATTCATATTTGCTTCTTATGGCTCCACTCAATTAACCTCTCTTCTCAAATTCTAATAATTTCCTTCTCCTTCCTAACTTCCTAGTCACAGAGGCTGTTTTCAAACTATATTGCAAATATCACTTTTTTTCATTCACTCATTCGTTCTAAATTTTTTTTGTGTCCATACTATGTCTTAGGCACTGTTCTGGGTATAAGGATGTATTATAGTGGCAAATAAATCAGATGAAGTCCCTGGCCTATATTCTAGTGGAAGTGGAGAGACAGATAAGAAAATAAATATAAATATTGGCTAGGCGCGGTGGCTCACGCCTATAATCCCAGCTCTTTGGGAGGCCAAGGCAAGTGGATTACTTGAGGTCAGGAGTTTGAGACCAGCCTGGGCAACATGGTGAAACCTTGTCTCTACCACAAATACAAAAAATTAGCCAGGCATGGTGGTGCGCACCTGTGGTTCCAGCTACTCAGGAGGCTGAGGTGGGAGGATTGCTTGAGCTCAGGAAGCAGATGTTGCAGTGAGCCAAGATCACACCACTGCACTGCGCTCCAGCCTGGGCAACAGCGCCAGACCCTGTCTCAGAAAAAAAAAAAAAAAAAAAGAGAGAAAGAAAGACAAAGAAAAGAAATAGAAATATAATAGAATGACAGGTAGAAGTAAAAGAAAGCAGCTGAAGAGGACGGGCAATGATGAGGAAAGGTGATGAAGCTATTTTAGACAGGAAGTCATTGGAACATGTATAGCTGACAGCCATCAGTGCCCTGCCCACATCCCCCAGGTCCTTTGGGATGATCTAGTATAAGCCAGTGTTACTGGAAGCATCTGTGACTCTCTGCCTGTGGCCCAAGGGCTTCTTTCTGTCTCTGTGGCAGGTCCATGCTGGGGGAACAGCTCTTACCCAAGGGCAAATGGGAGTTGAAAGACAAACACCCCAGCTTTCCTGCCCCCCGCTGGGTGGGAAAATTTTGATGTGTATTCCACATCTCCCAGAGGTTTTTGGTGGGACTGAGCCCCAATTGTTCTCAGTGGGTAACTTGGCGATTAAATATTCTGCTGGCCTCTTTCCTTTGCTGGCTCAAGTCTTCACTACTCTACTAGTTCTTCCTGGTACATTTTACACTTCAAACATACCACTTGTACTCAAATCCTTAGTTTTGGAGGAACCTAGCCTAAGTCAGGAAGTCTTAGGAATGGCCCAAGGCAGAAGACCCTCAGAATGAGATTCTAGCATTGGGTCACTTGCTGGCCAACAAAGAGCAGGTCAACAAAAACCCCATCACTGTTAGTAAGTGGGGCAGTGATGATCTCTGGAGTGCTATAGCATCACTATTACTAAGAGTCTTGCCTGTGATTAACTGCGGTAGTGTGTAGGTGGCGGGGAAATGCACTGGCTGATAGAGTAGCTCTTGAACTGAAAGATACAGGGACAATGATAATTATGAGAACTGTGGAGCTGGTTGCTTGTTGTTAACTGCTAGAGAAGCCACAAAGGAAGGAAATAGCAGGCTCAGGTGAGGTAATCATTGACTTAGAGCATGGGTTAAAAGCCAGAAATCTTTCATGGCATCATTTAAAGGGAGTCTCATCTGTAGACAGAGGGTAGAATGAGCTGAAGAATAAGACCCCAAGTTTGATCTTAAATACAACAGAGCTAAAAAGGAGACTGAGTTCACAGCCCACCAGCTTTCTTTCTTTCTCTTTCTTTTCTTCTTTCTTTCCTTCTTTCTTTCTTTTTCTTTCTTTCTCTTTCTTTCTTTCTTTCTCTCTCTCTCTCTCGCTCTCTTTCTTTCTCTTTCTTTCTTTCTTTCTTTCTTTCTTTCTTTCTTTCTTTCTTTCTTTCTTTTTTTTCAGGGTCTCACTTTGCCACCTAGGCTGGAGAGCAGTGGTGCGAACATGCCTCACTGCAGCCTCAACCTCCTGGGCTCAAGTGATCTATCTACTCTCACCTCAGGCCTCCAAGTAGCTGGGACTATAGGCATGCACCACCATGCTCAGCTGATTTTTTTTTTTTTTCATAGAGACGAGGTTTCACCATGTTTCCCAAGCTAGTCTCCAACTCCTGGCTCAAGCAGTCCACCCACCTCAGCCTCCTAAAGTGTTTGGATTACAGGTATGAGCCACTGTGCCCAGCCCCCAAATTTCTAATGCTAAAGCAAGGGACCTGAAAAAGGAGAGGGGCCCTGAGAGTTCCGATGGAGATATTTGGGTAGATGGGCTCAAGGACCTTAAAACCCCAGATTCCTCTTAAAACTGAGAGTGAGAATACTCTGGAGCCTTTCTCCTTGCTAGGAGAAATCAGACTTCTGGTGCTCGGAGACTATGCCAAGGCCTCACGTAGCAAGGGCAAATGCCTTGCAGGATGATGCTTGTCTCTAAGATCCATCCCTACCTCTCTTCATTTCTTCTAGACCAATAATGAGAAATCTTATTATGAGCCAAGCGAGGAAATACTGTTATGTGAAGAAAGGGGTTATTCACCAAAAGCACTGCAAAACCTGGCAAATAGGTACTAGCAGGAAGTGGGAGAACTCTCCTGGAAATGAATCTTAAAGGTGCCAAATCAGGGAGGGCAGAATATAAGACTGAATAGTGGACAGTTTGTTAATACAGGTGTATTATTCAGTGACACGGGACTCACTATCCTGGTAGAATGCCCAGAACTGTACCTAATACATTGCAGAAACAGCTCCTTGAAACTTGAAAATAATGATCAGATGGAGATGCTGGAACTTCTTAGAAGAGAGATGAAGAAGAGGTCAGCAAGTTCAAAGAGATTAGAAGTAAGAATGCATTTTTTTTTTTTGAGACACGGTTTCACTCTGTCACCCAGGCTGGAGTGCAGTGGCACAATCTCAGCTCACTGCAGTCTTGACTTGCTGGGCTCAAGCGATCCTCCCACCTCAGCCCTCTGAGCAGTTGGGACTACAGGCATGCACTACCGTGCCCAGCTAAGTTTTGTATTTTTTGTAGAAATGGGGTTTTGCCATGTTGCTCAGACTGGTCTTGAACTTCTGGGCTCAAGCAATCTACCCACCTCAGCCTCCCAAATCCCAATCCCTCAGCTGGGATTACTGGTGTGAACCACGGCACCTGGCCAAGAATGCATTTACTATGTAACACCAGAGAACCCACCAGCCAACAATGTTCCCTGGGAGGTCCTAGAGGACACTCCCTTATTAAAGTGATAAGCAATATGCTAGTATATTCTGAGAAGCTCAGAACTGCTTGTCCTCTAGATCAAGATTGATGGTAAGAAATGCCCCAGAGTAAATGGGAATAACAGAATTCTAGCGGCCAGGTTGGTGGTACTAGACCATCAGAGGCCCTGGCAATATAATTATGGTTACGTGTATCAGCCTGAATAAGTTAGGAACCTAATATTGAGTAGGAAACAAGTGAATCCCAGCAGAACACATGAGTCATTCAGATTTTGAAAATATGCAAAATGCCTTTTGGCTCTCTGAGCAGCAAGAACAAGTGCCTCACGAAAGGCAGCAAAAGGGGAACCAAGAAGAAAGTGGTTGATCTATTTTCTTTTTTTTTATTTTTGAGACGCAGTCTTGCTCTGTCACCAGGCTGGAGTACAGTGGCGTGATCTTGGCACACTGCAACCTCTGCCCTCCGGGTTCAAGCGATTCTCCTGCCTCAGCCTCCCGAGTAGCTGAGACTACAGGTGAGCGCCACCATGCCCAGCTAATTTTTGTATTTTTAGTAGAGACGGGGTTTCACCACGTTGGCCTAGATGGTCTCGATCTCTTGACCTCGTGATCCACCCACCTTGGCCTCCCAAAGTGCTGGGATTACAGGCATGAGCCACCATGCCCGGCCTAGTTGATCTAGTTTCTAAGAAAGACTGGTATGATGTGAAAGCACCTGCTATGTTCAACATAAGAAATATTGGAAAGACACTAGTCACCAGCACTGAAGGAACCAAAATTGCATCAGATGGCCTCAAGGGTCGTGTGTTTGAAATGAGTCTTGCTGATCTGCAAAATTATGAAGTTGCATTTAGAAAATTCAAGCTGATTACTTAAGGTGTCCAGGAAAAACTGCCTAACTTCCATAGCATGGATCTTACCTGTGGCAGAATGTGTTCCATGGTCAAAAAATGGCAGACATGATTGAAGCTCATGTTGATGTCAAGACTACTGACGGTTACTTGCTTTGTCTATTCTGTACTGCTTTTACTAAAAAACATAACAATCAGATATGGAAGACCTCTTATGCTCAGCACAAACAGGTCTGCCAAATCTGGAAGAAGATGATGGAAATCATGACCCGAGAGGTACAGAGAAATGACTTGAAAGAAGTGGTCAATAAATTGATTCCAGACAGCATTGGAAAAGACATAGATAAGGCTTACCAATCTATTTATTCTCTCAATGATGTCTTCATTAGAAAAGTAAAAATGCTGAAGAAGACCAAGTTTGAATTGGGAAATCTCATGGAGCTTCATGGCGAAGGTAGCAGTTCTGGAAAAGCTACTGGAGAAGAGACAGGTTCTAAAGTTGAATGAGCTGATGGATATGAACCACCAGTCCAAGAGTGTGTTTAACACTCAGACATTTAAAATGGCAAATAAAAAGTCCTATTTGTGAAAAAAAACATGGAAAATGAAAATTTGTGTGTGTGTGTGTGTGTGTGTGTGTATCACAGGTGGGTGAGCACAAAACTAGAATAATGGTTACTTCTGGGAAAAAAGGGAAGAAAATGGGGCTAGAGAGATGTATGCAGGGACTGCTAAGGTACTGGCAATATTCTCTTTCTCAAGCCAGCTGGTGAGTACACAGGTGTTCAGTTTATTATTATTCTCCATACACATGAATAATGGTTTTTTGAACATACTTAATATTTAACAAAAAATAATGTAAGAAGTAGAGCCTAACCATAGTTCTCTATGTTTTTGACTCACAGTAGAGAGTAGTAAAAGGAACATGAGTTCCTTTGGCATTAAGTAGATCCAAATTCAAGCCACAAAGCTGTATAACTTCCGGGATGTTACAGTCTCTTAGTAATAGGTTTCTCACCAGTAAAATGGTTTTGGTAATAGTTACCCAGCAGGGTCATAGTAAGGATTAAATGAGACAATTTACATAAGTTTTATAGTCAGTGCCTGGCACCTATCAGGCGCTTAAAAATAATAGTTGCTATTCTATAACTTTGTCCATGCTTCCCATTTTTTCCCCCTTTTAGAAAGCTTTCATTTTCGTCATTTAACTTCATTCAATTTAATGATTTCCTGCAAGCAAAGCATTATGTGGGTGGGCTATACTTTAATGTGTGGGTTTTTTTTTTTTTTTTGGTATTTTAAGTCAGTTTTCAAAATGTCATTATCTCATCTGATTCTCAATTTCAATCCTCAGTGCCTAGCACAGGTTGGAACATGGAAGGAGACCAATAAATCTAAGCGAATTAGTGAATGTAATAGGTAGGTGTTAGGGGCTGAATTGAATTCTCCTAAAATTAATATGTTGAAGTGCTAACCCCCAGTTGTTCAAAATGTAACTGTATATAGTGATAAGGTCTGTAAAGAGGTGATTAAGTTAAAATGAGGCCGTGGGGTGGGGCTAATCCAAGATGACTGATATCTTTATAAAGGGAAGAAACAGGAATGCACACACATATACACTAAGGGCCATTTCAAGACAGGGAGAAGGTGGACATCTGCAAGCCAAGGAGAGAGACCTCAGAGAAACCAAACCTTCCAGCACCTTGATCTTGGACTTCCAGCCTCCAGAACTGTAAGACAATAAATTTCTGTTGTTTTAAACCACTTAGCCCATGGTATTTTGTTACAACAGCCCTGGGAAGCTAATACAGTAGGGCAAGTATAATTATCCCCAATTTACAAATGTCTAAACTGAATCTCAAGGGTTGTTGTACAGTTACATGAACAGTAAATGGGCAGAATTGGTATTTGAATCTAGGTGCCAAATTCTCGTTGTTTCCACTACAGTCTCCTTCTTGTCAAACTGTGCTATATCAAGATGCATCAATCTGTATGAACTTGATTTTTTAAATTAAATTATTTTAATCAAAGTAATACAGGGGAAAATAAGACTTTCTTACAGTAAAGAAAACCAAGTATCACCTGTCTTTCCCTTCATTTGCCATGGCTTCCTTAGAGCAACCATTTTCCACTCTTTTAGGTGTTTTTTCCTTTAGTATTTGCATCTAACTAACATGCATATACATATGTGTCATAATTTTTGAAATCAAGACATCACCTATTAATTTCCTAAAATTAAAGATGAGTCTTTAATGATCTTAAAACTCATGCATACCCCCATTGTCCCCCTCCCTTCATTTTAATATACTTTTATCACAATATTGATAACTTTTACTTCCATTTTGTCTTAGTTTTCTCCAGGTTAATTTTCTTTTTAACTTTTACGTTAGACTTTCCTCAAACATGTGGTGATCCTTAGTTGCTCATTCATGCTTAAGAGAAAGCCTGCTTTCTGCTTTACCCTGTGTCTTGAGAGGCAATTAGTGACTTCAATTTCTGTCATTTTTCTGGGGTTCTGCATCAAGGATCAGCCTGTTAGTGCTGGACACTGGTGCAGGAACATAGGTTTTAGCTTTTTTTTCTCTAAGTCAGTCATTCCTTGTTCAAGTACTTTCTATCTTCTAGAATTTCCTGACAATTCTTTTCTGCTGCCATCATGTCTTCTGTTCTCTTTGTATTTTTTTGTACCATTTTCATTCCTTTACTGTTATCTTAGGGGGTTTTAGGAAGAAGTGGAAATACAGGTTTATAGCCAAGAGTTTACATTTAAAATTTTGACTTCTCTTTTTATTATTAGTCAATAAATATTGGTTAGTATCAACTCAATTTAAATGAATAAAAATATCATTGGATAACTATTTTTCCAGTTGCCTCTGCCAAACTTTCTTTTACACTGAAAACCTCAGTTTGTATTGTTAGTAATGAGTAATATAATAGTTCAAACTTAAGTGTGACTTAAATAAAATTTTTGTGCTTAAAGCGAGGTAAGGAGGGTGTCCATGGCATCACTTTAGTGATGTTCCTGCTAAATACAAACACACTGATATTGAGGGATATCCCACTGGGGAAGGATCTGGGTGGTGTGAGTTCCATAGCAGGACAAGGAGGGCTTATGAGTGGAGGACAGACTGCTATATGGTGGCAGAGCCTGAGCAGGGGAGTAGAGATCCATGCAGTAGGGTGACCTGACCCAGGGTACCAGATCTCAAGCAAGGTAAAGAGGGCATCCACACTGTGGGGTGTCCTGGGTGAGCTACCAGAGCACAAGTCGAGTGAAGGGAGTGTCTACATGTGGGGATGGCCTGGCACAAGGGTCAGGGCACAGACTGAGGAGGACAGCGACACTGGGGAGGGAGCAGTGGCAGTAATGCGAGTTTGGTTAATGTACCAGGGGATGGATCAAACAAATAAATATATTAAGGCTCATGGGAGTCCAGTTTCTCACTTTGAAAGGAGTCATAAATATGGAAAGGGAGAAAGTTGGAATAATCCCTGAGGTATTGAATTAGAATTAGAATATCGGTGTGAACTCATAGAATGCAATGTTTCTGTATCCATATTACATCAACGTCAATGTTGTCATGTATAGAGGTAAATGTGTATGTGAGTGTGTGTGTGTTCCCTAGTGCTGTCCACTGAGAGAGCCTGAGAGCTGTCCACTGAGAGAGCCTGAGAGTCCACTGAGAGAGCCTGAGAAACAAAAGTGGAATCAACAGACCTGCTCTGGTTGTGGTTTTTTTTTTTTTTTTTTTTTTTTTTTTTTTTTTGAGATAGAGTCTCACTCCCATCACCTAGGCTGGAGTGCAGTGGCACAATCATGGCTCACTGCAGCCTCCATCTTCCGGGCTTAGGTGTTCTACCAACCTCAGCCTTCTGAGTAGCTGGGAATACAGGCACATGCCACCATGCCCAGCTGATCGCTGTATTTTTTTGTAGAGATGGGGGTTTTGCCATGTTGTTCAGGCTGGTCTTGAACTCCTGGGCTCAAGCAATCCATCTGCCTTGGCCTCCCAAAGTGTTGGGATTACAGGCATGAGCCATCACTCCTGGCCAGATTGTGGCATCCAAATACCATTTACCACTTAAAGGAATCAGGGCTCCTTGGTAGGGTGCCAGATTTGGCAAATGAAAATACAGTAAATATTTAGCAAAGAAGATATTATTGCATGGGACATACATGCAATATATATTTGCCTGAAATTCAAATTTAACTGACTACGCTGTATTTTATTTAGCAACTTTACCCCTTGGAGAAATAACTGATTCCAATACTGGGTCAGGAAAGGTATAAGATGAGCCAGAACACTTTTTTGTGCAAGAAAAAAAGTAAATAATCAAGGAATGATGGGACAAAATGACACAGACACCAATTTAAAGGGACTCCCATTAGCCAAATATGGGAACAATTTAAGCATCAAAATAAATAAATAATAATAGTAACAGGTTATAATCCATTTAACAAAATAGGAAGCCATGAGCCTAATAGAAATAAAACAATAAAATGGAAGTTTGATGAGGAATTGAATATTTATCTAGATCTTATCTCCACACAAAATATTTATTAATTCTATATGGACAAAATAGTAACTTCATTGTGGAGAAGCCTGGCAGATACCATTTTAATCAAGTGATTAAAGTGAATGTCATGAGTAACAGAAGGAATTAAAATTGAGCGTCATCTGATGAGACGCAGTAAGAACATAAAGTGATGAATATCATCAATTTAGTGATGCTCCTGCTAAAAGCAAACATGTTGAAACTGAGTGATATTCCACAATAATTAGCTGTAATCTTCAAAAGTACTGAGGTCATGGAAATAAAAGAAAAGCTGAGGAAACGTTTCAGAGAAAGGACACCAAAGACATGTGACAATTAAATGCAACACATATTCTAAACTGGATCCATTATTTTTGCTATAAGGAATGTTACCGGGATAATTGATCAAATGATGGGATTTCAGGATTAGACATTATTAATTATCAAGGTCAACTGATAATTAAAAATGGATTAAAATTTAAATCAATTTAAATGGATTACAAAATCAATTTTTACTTTTTTTTTTTTTTTTTTGAGACAGACTGTAGCTCTGTCTCCCAGGCTACAGTGCAGTGGCGTGATCTCAGCTCACTGCAACCTCTGCCTCCCAGGCTACAGTGCAGTGGCATGATCTCAGCTCACTGCAACCTCTGCCTCCCAGGTTCAAGCGATTCTCCTGCCTCAGCCTCCTGAGTAGCTGGGATTATAGGCGTTTACCACCATGCCTGGCTAATTTTTGTATTTTTAGTAGGGATGGGGTTTTGCATATTGGCAAGGCTGGTCTTGAACTCCTCGCATCAAATGGTCCTCCACCTTTGTCTCCCAAAGTGCTGGGATTGCAGGCTTGAGCCACCATTCCCGGCCTAAAAAATCAATTTTAATTGTTGTACTGTGTTTCTGTTGGAGAATGTCCCACATATAGGGCATCAGGTTAGCAACTGACGCCCAAATGGCTCAATATAAAAGAGTGATTTGTAGTGGACTTGCAACTTTTCTGTAGGTTTCAGATTGTTTTAAAATAAATAAACATAATGTTTAGTTTTGGTTTTAAAAGGAAATGATAATCATTCTTAAATATGGGCCTAAAAAAAAGAGTTGAAAATACCACTAATAAAATGTGTTTTGGCCAGGCGCAGTGGCTCATGCCTGTAATCCCAGCACTTTGGGAGGCCGAGGCAGGCGGATCACCCATCAGGAATTCGACGCTAGCCTGGCCAACATGGTGAAACCCCATCTTTACTAAAAATACAAAAATTAGACAGGCGTGGTGGCACGTGCCTGTAGTCCCAGCTACTTGGGAGGCTGAGGCAGGAGAATCGCTTGAACTCGGGAGGTGAAGGTTGCAGTGAGCTGAGGTCGCGCCACTGTACTCCAGCCTGGGTGACAGAGTGAGACTCCATCACACACACACACACACACACACACACACACACACACACACACGCACGCACAACAAAATGTGTTTTGCAATTATGATGTACAGGACACAAAGCCAACTATCTGGAGACCACAAACTCATACATTAAAGAATGCTCCTGAAATTAAATTGCTAGAATTTTTAAACTATAAGAAGCCAAAAAGGAGACTCAACATATTGCTGATACTTGTATGCAAAGCATTGGGGGGGAAATTGCCATTTAAAAGAAAAACCAATGGCAGTTACCTCTGGGGTTTAGAAAGTGGCATTTCATCTCTGGGATAGATGGTCCCTTTGTTTAATAAAAACATCTTTAAGAGTGTGTCAGACACTGGTAATTTTCTACCCTATAACTATTCTTTCTGCTTTCCTTATTAACAGACCTTAAACCTCACTTTGGGCAACAATGCTCGGGGCCTTCTCAGCCTTCTTTAGAGCTGGGTATGGCCTTAAGACACCACTCTATCAAGGAGAGCTAAACAGAATTGTGCTGGGAATATTGGGAAAATAATCAGTGTGGATGTGATTCCGGAGGATCTGCAGCTTATTTGTGAGTCATCAGGGAATGGGTTTTATGATAAAAGTCAACATGACATAGATGGCAATAAAGATGGCAAAGGAAGAGAAATAGCCTGGGCATATGATGGTATTATGAGCATTATGTTGTATTATATATTGTAATGTTCAATGTTTCTGTATTTTTTTTTTTTTTTGAGACAGGATCTCATTCTGTTGCCCAGGCTGGAGTGCAGTGGCATGATCACAGCTCACTGCAGCCTCAACCTCCCTGGGTCAGGTAATCCTCCTACCTCAGCCTCTTGAGTGGCTGGGACTACAGGTGTATGCCACCACACCCAGCTAATTTTTGTATTTTTTGTAGAGATGGGGTTTCACCAATTTGCCCAGGCTGGTCTCGAATTCCTGGGCTCAATCAATCCACCTGCCTTGGCCTCCCAAAGTGCTGGGATTACAGGCGTGAGTCGCCATGCCAGGCCATGTTTCTGTATTTTTAAAAACGGCCATAATGAAAATTTGAAAAATGACAAATAGGATTGAAGGTTTCTAGAATACCATTTGTTTATCCTGAGAATGCAAGCAGTGACTCATTTATTTGTAGACCACATCCTCAGGAAATATAGATCAAATAATTTTATTTTAATTTTTTTGAGATGGAG
Source organism: Homo sapiens (assembly GCF_000001405.40). Lineage (NCBI taxonomy): Eukaryota > Metazoa > Chordata > Mammalia > Primates > Hominidae > Homo > Homo sapiens. The sequence goes on along the minus strand of NC_000004.12, from coordinate 152,544,694 downwards.
TTTCGCTCTTGTTGCCCAGGCTAGAGTGCAATGGCGTGATCTTGGCTCATTGCAACTTCCGCCTTCTGGGTTCAAGTGATTCTCCTCCATCAGCCTCCCGAGTAGCTGGGATTACAGGCATGCGCCACCACACCCAGCTAATTTTTGTATTTTTAGTAGAGAGGGGGTTTCGCTATGTTGGCCAGGCTGGTCTCGAACTCCTGAGGTCAAGTGATCCACCTGCCTTGCCTCCCAAAGTGCTGGGATTACAGGCGTGAGTCACCGTGGCCAGCCTAGATAAAATAATTTTAGATGGTAGTGGCTGGGGTCAAGCACTGAGTCTGGCACATTCTAGGTATCAGACTGTATGCTCCATGAAGGGAGGGACAAGGTCTTTTTTTTCCTCTTCTCATCACTGTATGTTCAGCACGTTGCTCTAGTGCTAGAAAATAGTAAGTGACAGTAAAATTTTATTGACTCAATACTGCCTTTTGGAAGTTAAAACAAAAAATATACTAATAATATTTATAAAGCTGGTCCCTTTGGGAACTCCCTAGTGTTAATTCAATAATTTAACTTTGAATTTCAAGCCAGAACATTTTAAAGGCTTTGCTCTACAAGTTTAGTTACATTTAAGCCTACCTTAATATTTTTATAAAGTTATTTTTAATCCTGTTTTACTCAATTTTTAATTTTAAAAATAGCTGGATTTTATTGATAAAATATTTCATGACTATTTATGACAAAACCAACTGGCTTGTATCCTGAAGGATTCCTCTAAAGCTAAAGGTTACATTTTCAATGATTATAAATGATTCATAGTTATTTTATTTTCTATTAAAACCAGTAGTCATCTATCATTAATCTTCAGAATTAATCTTTTTGTAAACCCAGATGATCAGAAAGGTAACGCAGGGGAAATCTCATCATTAGTCTGTAAGTTTTCCAGGTTGATTTGTATTTTAATTATTTTATTTTATTTATTTTATTATTTTATGACAAAGTCTCACTCTGTCGCCCAGGCTGGAGTGCCCTGGCACCATCTTGGCTCACTGCAAACTCTGCCTCCTGGGTTCAAGCAATTCTCATACCTTAGCCTCCCGAGTAGCTGGGATTACAGGCGCAAGCCACCACACCCACCTAATTTTTGTATTTTTAGTAGAGACAGGGTTTCACAATTTTGGCCAGGCTAGTTTCAAACTCCTGACCTCAAGTGATCTGCCTGCCTCGGCCTCCCAAAGTGCTGGGATTACAGGCATAAGCCACTGTGCCTGGCCTGTTCTTGTATTTTAAAATATCATTAAATTCTGAGCGCCTCCAACATTTTTACAGTACTATGAAATTATTAAGAAACTCATTACCAAATCCAATGGCATTCCTGCAACATTTGACACTTTTATTTGGTAAAACTCTTTTCTCAGTTATTAAGGAAGTATGGCGATTCTTTGAAGAAGCAATAGGGACCAGTGACAGATTGGCCATAAGGGATGAAGGGGAGAGTGGAGAAACTTTATTTTTTTTAAAGCAAGTTTTCTTCCATTTAATCCATTTTTAGTGCTACTATTTATATTAATCTTTATTTTACTTATTTATTTTTTTTGAGACAGAGTTTCACTCTTGTTGCCCAGGCTGCAGTACAATGGCACGATCTCGGCTCACCGTAACCTCTGCCTTCCGGGTTCAAGCGATTCTCTTGCCTCAGCCTCTCGAGTAGCTAGGATTACAGGCATGCGCCACCATGCCCGGCAAATTTTGTACTTTTAGTAGAGAGATGGTTTCTCCATTTTGGTCAGGCTGGTCTCGAACTCCTGACCTCAGGTGATCTACCTGCTTCGGCCTCCCAAAGTGCTGGGATTACAGACTTGAGCCACTGCGTCCAGCCTAATCTTTAATTTTTTAAAAAATTATTTCTATTAGTATCAATATTAATCTGATCCTAAAGCTGTTAGGCTTAAAATAAACCTTATTCAATTGTAGAATAAGAGGTCTGCCATGTGGAAATGAACAATATTCTACAGACCTTGGGAATTAATTTACCTTATTGTTCCAGAAGACAGAGTCAGTGTGATATAATGGCAAGCATACTGTTATTTGAAGACTTGGGGTGGAGTCCGGGCTTCACATTTACTTGCCCTCCTGACTCTGGCTAAGTCAATTTCTCTGGGTCTCACCTTCCTCCAGTTTTAAAATATCACTGATTCTAAACAAAGAACTGAGAGATAAGAAATTAATGAAAATAATAAAATGTAGTATGTTGGGAAAATATGCCAGGCAGTGACACCAATGTTGTGTATTTGATGTAAATGAGTGAAATTAAAAAAAAAATCCATAAATTGTAGCAGGAATGTTAGGAGGAAAGAAAAAGCCACTGTGACTTTTAAAAAATCAATGAACCTGGGAAATGAAAAAAATATGTGCAGGGAAAACAACTTTTTACACGATTGTCTTGAGAAAAATACAAAGCAACAAAAACCAAGTTTAGTTACACAGATTCAAGAGAATTAAAATTGCCTTTATATTCTCAGAGGAAACTAAAATACAACAAAAATAAAAACCACCATGAGGGATTGCTGGCAATAGCCCAATAGTTGAAAAATTGCATGATTTTGGATAGTAAAGAAAAAAAAAGCCCTATAGGCCTACTTTTAAGAAGTTTATTAGCTGGGTGTGGTGGTGCATCCCTGTGGCCTCAGGAAGCTGAGGCAGGAGAATCCATTGAGCCCAGGTTGAGGCTGCAGTGGGCTGTGTTCACATCAATGCACTCCACCCTGGGTGATAGAGTGAGACTTTGTCTCAAAAAAAAAAAAAAAAAAAGAAAAAGAAAAAAGTAAAGAAAAAAAAGTTTATAGGGTGGGCATGGTGGCTCACACCTGAGGCTGAGGCTGGAGGATTGCTTGAGTCCTGGCGTTTGAGACCAGCCTGGGCAACACAGTGAGACCCCGTCTCTATAAACAATAAAAAAATTCGCTGGGTGGTGGCAAGTGCCTATAGTCCTAGCTGCTTGAGAAGCGGAGGCAGGAGGAACGCTTGAGTCCAGGAGTTCACGACTTCAATGAGCTATGATTTAACCGCTGTACTCCAGCCTTTGTGACACAGTGAAACCCTGTCTAAAAAAAAAGTTTATAATCAAATTAATAAAAAAAAAACTAGGTAACCTATAATTATTCTTATTTTGGAAGGAACTTGTCCCAAATATAACTCAAGTGGTGGCATTACTGATGGCAGTGGCAGGCTGTCCGGAGCAGCCACTGCCATCATGCTGGCTGCAGCGTGGATGTGTGAGCGGTGGTGGCAGGAGTGGCTGTGGGAGTGGCAGTGGCAGTTGTGGGACCTTTGTGCCCCGCGTTCCCGAGGTGGACAACTGTGCTGCCCCCCGTACCCATCCTCATATGGCCAGGCAGGACCCGTTCCCAGTACTGGAGCCTCCACTGCTCCAGACCTTGACCCTGAATCACTGCGATCACCCACTGCCACTGTGGGGAGCACGTGGGGAGGAGGCGGACAGTCCCCAGAGCCCACTGCCCTGGGGGCTGCTGTGATGGGGCAGCGCTGAGCTGCTTGCCAGCAGGGGAGCAGCATGGTCGGGCACGGAGAGGTGGGCAGAGGAGGGCCCAGCAAGGACCTGGAGTCCCCGCGCTGGGTTGCAAACAGGCGCAGCTGGGGCTGCCTGCACACTCCATGCAGCAGGCGGCAGCCCTACCCTCCCAGGTGCAGGACCAGGGCATCTCCGCACTCTGCACCCTCTGGGGGACGGGAAGGCCCCCTTGCCCTTGCAGGCCCTGGGTGTCTGTTCCCACTGCTTGGCCTCTCCCTGCTCCTAGCACCTGCTCTGATCTCAGAATGGGGTTGGGGTCAAGCCTGGGCACTGTCACAGCCCGGCTGGGTATGTGCAGGCTTGCGGCAGTACTGACATGCTAGCCCACTGCTGCTTCCGCCCCCTCTAGATGTTGGGCGCTGACAAGCATGGGAGGGAGGCAAGGGTTGGCAGGGCTGAGGGTAGCCCTGTGCTGGCCCCACAGGCGCCCCTCTGCAGAAATAGCCTGGGTGCCATGAAAAGTGGTAGGAGGCAGACAGGCTCCAGTGTGGAAAGGAGCGGGTTCCCAGTGAAGTCCCACCTTTAGGCTGGGGAAGGCCTGAAGCCTGGGGATTGGACTGCCCATCCTGCACACTAGAGGGGGAACTTATGGTGCTTTTTCCTAGGCCTGCCCAAGGACCAATCAGCATGCACTTCCTCCCCTGAGGCCCGGGGCTCAGTCAGAACTGAGCAGGCGATGGATGACCAGCTGCAGAGAGGAGCTACCTTCTTTGCCGCTAGCTGAATACTTGTTAGGATGACCAGGTGCAGAGAGTAGCTATCCTCCCTGCTGAGAACTGAACACTTGTTGGGACAACCTTCCTGCATAGAGGAGCTCTCCTCTCTGCTGAGAGCTGAAAACTCATCAGGACAACCTGCCTAGCAGAAAGGAGCTGCCCTCCCTGCTAGCAGCTGAACACTCACTGGGACACCCTGGCTGCAGAAAGGAGCTATCCACTGTGGGTCTCCTCTCAGCTGTTCCATTACTCAATAACATCTTGCTCACCCTCCACTTGTCTGTGTACCTCATTCTTCCTGGTCACGGGACAAGAACTTGGGACCTGCCAGATGGCGAGGCTAAACGAGATATAACACAAATGGGGCTGAGACATCCCCATTGCTTGCCACGTTGCGGGTGAAGAGGAGGGAAGGGCTGTGGCCTTTTGGGGAGCCCAGACCTGGGAGCTCCCCAAGCCAACACTGTGACTCCCTCTTTGGGTCCCTGCAGTTCCTGGCGTCTCCAAGCTTCCGGGTGCCAATGTGTTCCCTGGTGCCAGCTGTGGAAGCTGCTTGCAGTATGCCTGGTCCAGCCACAGCCTTGCAGAGAGCTGGTGCATCTGGAGCTGCCCGCCCCACTGCAGCAGCTGGTGTGTCTGACTGCGCAGTAGCCAGACCTCACGCTCGCTCACACATGCCTTGCCACTCCACGCCGTACTTGCCCTTGGCAGGTGTGGGATCCAGGCCGGTAGCATAAGCTGAGCACAGCCTGCCAGGCCAAGTAGGTGGAATGAGCCCAGTGGGCCTGAGCAAGACTTGTGCAAAGGCGCCACAGGCTACAGAGGTTTCTGGCCAGAAAAGCGACACCCTAAACATCCCATAACATTACTTTACCTGTTCAAATGTGGACTATGAAAGGATATTGAAAAGTTGGGCATCTCAGAGACTTAGACATTGAAAAGATACTAACGCGCCACAAAAATGTAAATCCAAATAGCTAGTTGTATACAAGAAGGTCCTCAACAGCATCAGTAATCAGAGAAATGACAGTTAAAACCACAATGATATATTACCATACACCCACCAGACTGGCAAAACCAAAAAGACCAATAATGTCAAGTGTTGTGAAGGTGTGGAGCAATGGGACTCATATATACCTAGTGTGACTGTGTAACCCTCTAGAAAAGAACTTGGCATTATTTATTCAAGTTTATGATACATATTACACTCCCAGGTATATGTTATACAGAAACTGACGTAGATGTGATGGAATACATATATGAAGAATGTTCACATTAGCATTTATAACAATCCTAAACTGGAAACAACCCAGATGTCCATCAGCAATAGAATGGCTAAACATATTGTCACATATTGTTATAATGGGACACTGTAATATGCAGCAATGAAAATGCACAAATTACAGCTATAGGAACAACCTGAACAACATATGAATTAAAAACAATGTTGAGCAAAAGCAGCAAGAACAACAGATTACATATTATATTGTTCCAGTTACATAAAGTTCAAAAGAAAGAGTGAGACTAAACAATATATTGTTTAGGGATGCATGCTTGCGACAAAGCGACAAAGAAAAGCAGGGAAATGATTATCACAAATGTTAGAATAATGACTACACTTAGGAGGGAGGGAAAGAGTTGTGTTCGGGAAGGTCATGGCAGGGAGGGGAACTTCTGAGTTGCTGGAAATATTCCATTTCTTGACCTGGTTGATTGGTTACATGGTGGTTTCCTTTATAATCACTTATACTATATAATTGCTTTATGTATTTAAACTATATTTCACAATAAAAATGTTAAAATTAATATAGATAGTATTTCTGGAAAGCAAAATTTTGCCAGATAATTTAGCTTACACAATCTTTGACAGTAAAAGCCACTGATATGGAATAACGAAACACTGATTAGTTTCTTGTAAGAGCTCACTTTCAAGTGTAGAGGTCAAAAACCTTATAAGAGTCTCCGTTTTTCTATATTTTAACACAGTATTTAGATCCTTATCTTAAATTGATGAACCAGGGAAGTAACTATTAGCTAAAACTTCAGATTTTTTGGAATTTTTAATTAACTAGCTGTTTTCTCCTCTGGATTAATAAGCAATACAAGGAACTAAAGAGATGCAGACCAAGTTGGAAATGTATGAACTTCCTTCTCTCCAGTCTCCAGTTCCAGCTGTTTCCTCCTGTTATCAAGCTGGGTGCTGAGGTGGGTATCTAGCCCAGTAAGCTTAGTGTGCTGTTATTAAATACTTTCTAAGTAAGTGGCTCAGGCTCTCCTGAGTGCCCTTCTGTTCCTCAGCACTGAGGTTGTAAGGTGGAGCCACTGACAATGAAAACAGAAGATCACGCTGCTGAAAAACCCTATGTGGTACACACTTAACTGGAGGTGTTCTCTGCTGGGCTGCAGAACTCTGATGTTTGCACTCTTTTCCTTCAAAGCCTACAAAGGTTAAACTCTCTGAGGTGTTTAGCTTCACAAAATCCCCTAAATCTGTGTGTTTTACTCCTTTAATTTCCACCATTCCCCTGTTGTAAGATAGGAAGAGGGGGAAAAACAAAAAATATTTATTTTGTAGCCATGTGAGACCATCACTTGTTGGTCTGATTACCTGTGAGTCTTATTTGGAAGGCTGTAGCAGGGGATTGGTCACGTAAAGACAGAAAAATCCAGGGTAATTTAAGCAGGATATTTAACCTGGCTCTTGGAACTTCAGGTCAAGGGCAGTAGGGTCAGGTGCTAGTCTGTGAGTCTCTCCTTGGTTTTGCCACATCCTCCTTTGCCCCTCTCACCACCTTTCCCGCAGCATTTTAATGAACACGAGCCCTTGGATTTACCCAGTTAAAAGTTTCCTTAGTTTACTGTTTGCAGATGGTAGTGGCAGTAGTGGGAGAAACCCAGAGCTTCCCACATTTGTCTATAATACACTTGCTCCTACCTTACCCCCTCCTCCAGGTGGAAAGACTTGTAAAATCCATTACTACTGCTTCCCAAGGAGGTAGAGTGTACTAGGGTCCAGGGACAGAATTGTGGAATCTGCTTTCATCATTGCTGCTGCTTTAATCTTTTTCTCATACTATTCACTGAAGACAGATTTCTGAGGATTCTGGTCCTTTTATCTTAAATTTGTTTTCCTAGAGAACTACACTTTAAACTTCATGAGTTTCTACTTAACTTTCCTTTCCAGGATAACATCTGTAGGAAAAGCTGCATAATAGTAATAACACTTATTTTAGAAAGAAAATAACCTTTGAGTCAGACCTGAAACAGGCCAACATTTCTTGATGACAACGTACACTGATGAACCAAGACCAGAAGCTCTCGAAAGCTCCAAACCGTAAGAAAGAACCATTCGTAAAAGTGAGGGACTATTAAATTCTTCCCCTGACAGTCAAAAATCCTTCAGCAATCTCCCAGAGGATGGCTCCCTTCCAATCCTCCCTTCCCGCCGCCCTAACAATCTGCGCGAGGATGGGTCCCTTCCCTTGCTCGGCATTTCGTCTCCTTTTCCACTAAAGACTCAGGTTGTGACTCTGTACTCAAGCCGCACCCCTGTTTCCTTTCATGGCTAGGGGGAGGGGAGGAATGTATTACAACTCATTTTTACAATGCACTGCAGTTTACAAAGCGCTTGCACTTCCACCATATCCTCTGAGCTTCACGAGTGCCACGTGAGAGAGGCATTCATTCATTCATTCATTCATCAAACATTTGCTCGGCCCGACCACACGTTATCCAACGCTGGGTCTCACCCCACGCCACGGGAAGGGTGGGGCGCTCTCTCCCTGGAGCAGGTGCAGATCAGGCTGTAGGGTAACTCCTCGATCAGTCCGGCTTTTCGAGGGTCTGTTTGGGGCCAAATGCCTCACCTTCGGGTGGTGCGCGCAGCTGCCTGAAGACGCGGCCTGGGCCTCCTCCTTCCTCCCAAAGGAGCAGTCCCCACCTGCCCCGAAGGAAACCGCTACAGACCAAGCTCTCCAGGCCGCCCTCGGGTCAGGGGTAAGATCGGGCGGCAGCTTAGGCTCGACTCGGCTCCTCCCCTTCCTCTCTTCAGTTCTGACGCGGCCGTAGAGGCGGCAGCGGCGGTGGCGGCTGCGAGTCCCGCGGCCCGAGGCGCACCCACCCGCTCGCCGATCCCCACTTCCTCTTCCCTTGGAGCGTCATCAGAGCGCGCCAGAGGCGCCCAGGGCGGGGTGGCTGGAAGGGGGAAAAAGGCCAGCGGAGGAAGCCTCAGAGCGGAAAGAAGAGGGAGGGGGAAGAGAGCGGTTGCTAGGTGACTTGCGTCATCGGCAGGCGCCGCTCTCCTCCCGCCCCTCTCTCTGGAGTGAGGCGAGAGCCCCGCACAGAGCGAGGGAGACAGCGAGCTGAGCTCCGGGCGCTGCCGCTGCCGCTGCCGCCGCCGCCGCCGCTGAGACTGAGAGCGAAGGAGCATCCGAGAGATCCAGTCCCCCTGCACTGGCCGCCGCCGAGACCTTCGCTCTCACCTGGGCCAGCGGGAGCCGCGGCCGCACTCCTTTCCCCCCCTCACCTTCCCGGCCGGCAGCGGCGGCTGCACACGCCGGAGCCGGAGCCAGAGCCGGAGCCCGAGCCTGAGCCGGAGCCGGCGGCTTGGGGGGCAGGGAGGCGGCTACCACGGGCCGGGAGTGGGTAGCTGCTCCGCGGTGAGAGAACGCTGAGGAGGCGCCAGAGCTTCTGCCTCGTCCCGTGGGGCGTGGGGCGAGACCCCCAAGGTGTAGGGAGGGGGGTCCCAGCCGCAGCGACACATGCGGGAGCCGGGAGCGGGGGCGGCGCCGAGCGGAGCCGGCCGGGTCCCTCGCCTTGCCGCCGACTCGGCCACCCGCCCGGGGCCGTAGCATCTTGCCCCGGAGTGTATGAACCGGGGCCCCAACCAAGCTCGGCAACCACCCCCCGGCCGGGGGGGCGGGGACCCCGATGTGAAGCGGCGGCTGGGGCGGCGGAGAGAACAGGACCGACGCCGCCGTCCTTTCCTCACCTTCCCCCTCCCCTCAGCCCCCTCCGGGGGTCTTCTCCCTTGGCCAGTCGCCGGCCCCCCGGCTCCTTGGCTGGACTCCGGGAGGAGTTCCTAGAGCCCCCCTCCCCCGCCCCAGTCCCGAGGGCGGCGGGGCCGGGGGGGACCCGGGGGGCCGGCCGCAGCCTCCACCCAGAGGAAACTTTACAAAAACAAAATCCGGAGTCTCCCAAACCTGACTGTCCCGGGAGAAGTGGCCCTGGACGGGCAGAAGCCGCAGCCTGAAAAGACCCAGGAAGAGGAAAAGAGGAGGTAAGCGGGGCCGCCGCCTCCCCTCCCCTGGCAGCGCGGAAGAGACCCGGGTTGCCGCCTGGTTTAGCGACACGAGCACCGCTTCTTCCTCAGTACCGCGCCGGAGCCTTCCGCAGCTGCCGCTTCAGTCCGAAGGAGGAAGGGAACCAACCCACTTTCTCGGCGCCGCGGCTCTTTTCTAAAAGTGTGAGTGGCCCCGGGAGAGGGAATTGAGGGGGAGAAAGTGGGAGGATGCCGGCGCTTCCTCCTGGAGTTTTGCTGATGTTCTCCAGTAGTGTTGGGAGTCTATCAATGAGGGAGTCTAGCTTTATTCACGGAGGGGGGAAGGTGTTAGGGAGGCCTGTATTTTGTAACTTTTTAGCTCTTTGTACGAGTAATGCAAGTATGCAGGTTTCTGTCGGAGGAGTCTTTTCTCCAAAGTGAATACTCGCACCTTTCTGGCCAGCAGTTGGCAAAGGGAAATTGAGGAAGCCAGAGCATATGTGCGCACAGAGGCCATCTGTATCTGTAACCTTTTCCTGGTACTGTGGGTGTGTGCGGTGTACTTTTTGTTTCGGGGGTACTCTCATATAGGTTCCCGAATGAGAACTACTTAACCTGTGGACCCCTGAAAGTAAAATTCCTTTTTTAAAAAACAACAACAAACCTGTTTTGAGAGAGGTTCATTTCAGTACCTATTGGTACAGGAGTTAACCTTCTCAGTTACTGGGTCCAATTTCATGTGTGTCAGGAGGACACTGTAACAGATGTCAGTTACTCAGGAACTTGAGTTGTTAGGAATCACAACTTACTTGGGGAAGAGCATTTATCACATTAATCATTTTATAAAAGTTGTGATTTTTTCCCTTTCACCCCCCCCTTTTTTTTTTTAGAGTAACAAATTACAGCACTTTTTTATTTGGTTTGAGGCTTTGCTTTTTTGAATTATCTTTATTTCTGTATCAATTTAGGATACATCTTTGATATTTAAGTCAGGAATGATTTTTTCCTTCCATTATTTTAAAGCTGAAGTTTATAAAACCTTTGACTTGTATTTTAGGTATCTTGTCAGAGTACCAAATTAAAGGTTTATGAAAGTAATTAATATTTCATATACAGACCTTAAGGGTTAAACATAGAGCAGAATTTTATGTAAGAAGACATAGACAGTAGTATACTGAGAATTGTGGTCCGTCTAGACAACTGTGGGCTCGTTCTGTCTGAAGCCACTGCTGAGAGATACTTTGTGGGAATGAATGTAAGCCTGGGGTTATCTCTCTTTTCGAAGTTCTCCATTCAGGATCTTGATTAGATTAATTTAAAACTTTCTCAAACTTAACAATGTTTGGTCCTTTTTTTTAAAGTAATGAGTTCTGCAAGTTTATTAGCCTGTGTATTATGTGACAGTTCATTTACATATTCCATACCTGTGTCCCTAAACTTTCAGGACACAGTCAGAGTTTGTGTTTCAAGAATTATCAGGACAAGCCTCAGTTCATCTTTTCTTAATTTTATGGACTTTCATTATTTCTACCATCAGTTTCTCCAACTGTTGTCTTAGAATAATGTCTTTCATTTGACCACTTTTCCCTCCTCTGGAACTTCTCCCACTGAATTGTTTTTCTTTAGTTGCCTTGTTATGCTTTGGTAAGGAACTTTAAATTCTGTCCTTTAAATGTGTACTGACATGAAAATACTGAATAGTGGATGTAATGTTAGAATCAGAGTCACGTATTCTGTTTTTCACTAAGATATTGCAAAGAGAAATGTAGTCATTTTCTAAAATACTGTACCCAAAATACAGTAGAAGCTGTATTTTGGGAAGGAGGGGAGGACAAACTAAGAAACAAACTATAGTTTGAATGTAGGTTGCACTCTGTCAAAGTTGCTTACTAACTTTAGGACCTACTTTTATTGCTTATGGATTGGTTAAAAATTACGGTATTTTTTTTTTTTTTGAGACAGAGTCTTGCTCTGTCACCCAGGCTGGAGTGCAATGGAGCGATCTTGGCTCACTGCAACCTCCGCCTCCCAGGTTCAAGCGATTCTCATGCCTCAGCCTCCCAAATAGCTGGGACTACAGGCATGTGCTACCACGCCTGGCTAATTTTTTTTGTATTTTTAGTAGAGATGGGGTTTCACCATGTGGGTCAGGCTGGTCTAGAACTCCTGACCTCAAATGATCTGCCCACCTCGGCCTCCCAAAGTGCTGGGATTACAGGCGTTGAGACACCGCGTCCTGCCAAAAAATTATGGTAATGTTTTATTGCACGTTTGGGTAGAAATGACAAAGTTTTTGGGGTCCCTGCCTTTGAGATGCTTTTACTTGTAGGTGGTGGAGACAATCAAACACAAATTGCACAAAGCTATAGGAGAGGGGGGATAGACCAATATTTATCTAAGACCGCACTGGATGTTAGATATTGTCAACTTATAGATGTGAATATATTTTTACATTTTTCACTAGGGAAATGTTGCTTTTGGACGTGTACATATAGAACTAATTGAAGTATTGAAGCCAAATCTGGGAAGGTTTCTTTTAGGAAGAAAAGAGCAAGTGGAGACACAATATTTAAGACTTTTGGAATTGAAAGGCATAAGGGACAGATAAAATTACGAAGCTGGTTTGAAGGGAATACAGATAGAGGTTGTTGAGTAGTGTTAGGGTCAGTTGTGTTTGTGTAGACACATGATTACAGTTCAAAGAAGCAACTGAGAAGAGTGTTCCTGAGAGTAATTTCAGATGACTGGGGAGAAATTACATTTTAGGTAAAAGCTGTATGCCTGGATTAGGATTTTGTTTTTCTAGGGAACCAACATTTTTATTATATCGTGGCTATCCAGGGCTATACAGAAGGAGGAGTGAAAAAGAAGATGCTTAGTGTGTTGAAAGTGGCTTCTTACAAAAAAGAGTTTAGAAATGGGACAGTAGACTTTGCTTTGGATGTGAAATTTTAGGGCAACAATTGGATACTGGTGCAGTTTCAAAACAGCAAAATAGTTTAGCAGGTAATATACTGAAAATGTAAAGTTGGAATTATTTTCAAAGTATTTAGGTTTCCCAGAGTACTGATGGAAAGTGAAGAGCTGAAAAGTGGGTATTTTTAGTTAGGGGGAAAATCTGAATGAATGAGACACTACCTAAAATAGATGTTTTAGAAGTGGATAAGAGTTGAAGTTAAAAAGGAATGAGCAGGCTTTAAACATGGCCACCAGTTTAGTCCCAGGGTATATTATTCTGTATTTTTGAAACAAGCTAAAATTTTTTTTTTTTTTTAAATAGGGTATATAGGTCCCTTGAGATTAAGTTCAGAAGAGTATACTTAATAATAATTTCATTGTTAAGGAATTTATAAATAGAAGGACAGATTTGTTTCCTCAAATTCATGTTTTAAAGTTCACTGTGCATTATTATCCTACGTTTGGTCTTGATATGACGAAGTGAGGCCAAAAATAGCTGACAGAGAAGGCTGCTTCCCTTGTTCACAGTTGGTGTGTGTCTTTGTGTCCCATACAATGGAGGGGATATCCCTGTGTAGGCACAGTAGTGCTGAACATGCTTTTTTTTTTTTTTTCCTTTTAAACTTTTTATTAAAAAAAAGCAACTTGGCATTTAAAAAAATGTAGACATTTTTGCGGCTTGCATTTAGTATTGACTTTAACAGGATTAAGGATTGTGAGGAAGGAAATATATATTCACACTTTTTTGTGTTCCTTAGTTGGAATTCTGCACCTTCCTAGTAGCTTCTCTGACTTCTTAACAGTGATTATTCAAATGGCAGAAACTCTGGGGAAGAGATGTTTCAACAAGGAGATAGGTCTAAGGTGATTCTAGGGTGAAAATATAGGGATTGGATTATATGCCATATGGAGGCCTTCTCTTGTCATCCTCCACTTTCCACAACATTTTTTGTGCAGTCGAAGCCATGTTCAGATGAATTTTAGAAGGCAGCCACTTATAGTTAATGTTATTTACTAGTGAGGACAGTGGGAAGAGTGGTAACTTCATGTACTTTGCCTTGGCAACTTTTGGATTGATAGGGAATTAGAGAGCCTTGAGGGTATATGTTTGTGTGTGTGTGTGTGTTTTAGCACCCACCAGATGACCCCAAAGGCCATGCATAGGCTCATTTCATTGTACTTTGGAGATGGTTCTTGGAGAAGTCTTCTGGTGCTTCTGACATCTCATTGTGTAGAGAAAGAGTTGGCAAACTATTTTTGTAAAGGGCCAGTTAGTAAATATTTTAGGTTTTACAGGCCACATGATCTGTCACAACTTTCAATTCTGTTCTTATAGTGTGAAAGCAGCTGTAGACAACAAGGAAGTGAATGAATGTTGCCGTGCTCCAATTGGCCCATAGGCCGAAGTTTTTGGACTCCTGGTATAGACAACTGCCAAATCCACCAACAAACAGTATGAGCTTTATTACACTACAAAGCCAGGACTGGCTATTTTTGGTGGTCTTTGTTTTCTAGATGAGATGTTTTTCTCTGAGTTCATTTAAAATGATTCTGCATAAAGCACATACTCTACTGTACAAAATACTTTTGCCTTCATGGTGATGAAAACTATGGATTGAGGGTCGGGGTGATACCATCTTTAAAGGGATGCAGCTAAAAAGTAGGGACTACCTGCATTTCTTATCTAAAGATAACCACAGTTGGCATTTAGTGATATACTGGCTTTGTATCATGGCCAAAAGTATCTGTAAAGAAGCTTGTGGGCATACTTTTGAAACCTTCTGAAAATAAATGTAAAGCATTTACTTCGTGTGTAAAATTAGAAGTGTCTATGGTTGGTTTGAATAATATGAGTCAAATTATAAGAGCATTAAAGTTTGATACTGCTATCTATTAAAGTCTTAATCTCTTGCAGTGGCTAATTCAGTGTGTAGAATTACACATCGCAATTTTTGTTTTGTTAATTTCAAGTACTAGTGTATATTAACAAATCACTTAAATCATTTAAATGTGTACTTTAAAAAGCTTTGATGTATATACATATATATACGTATATATATATATGTACACGTATATATATACACGTGTGTGTGTGTGTGTGTGTGTGTGTGTGTGTATTTTTTTTTTTTTTGTGACGGGGTCTCATTCTGTCACCCAGGCTGGAGTGCTGTGGTGTGATCTCAGCTCACTGCAACCTCCACCTCCTGGGCTCAAGTCATCCTCCTACCTCAGCCTCTCGAGTGGCTGGGATCACAGGCATGCGCCACCATGCCCGACTAATTTTTTTGTATTTTTGATAGAGATGGGTAACAACTTTTGGATTGATAGGGAATTAGAGAGCCTCGAGGGTATATGTGTGTGTGTTTTAGCACCCACCAGGTAACCCCAAAGGCCATGCATCATGTTGCCCAGGCTGGTCTCTTAACTCCTGAGCTCAGGTAATCCATCTACCTCGACCTCCCTCAGTGCTGGGATTGCAGGCGTGAGCCACCACACCTGGCCAGCATTGCTATATTTTTAAGAGTGAATCTTTCTCACATGTGTTGTTCAGAAAGTGTAATTCACTTTGTGCAATTTTACATTACAGTTAATATTAAAATATTTGTTTCATATGTCAGCAGATACCAACATTGGATGATGGTATATTTAGTTTCATAAATCCTATTTATTTTAGGATTCCCTTGTTTATGGCAGGGGTGGAGATTACTCTTGCAATAATGATCACTTTTTAGTTAGTTTGAAACCTGCTTTTAGTTTATATGTAGTATTTCTACATATTGTTACTTAAATTGAACTAACAATTTACTTTTTAATTTTTCTTCTTCCTTTTAAAAAAAGAGTATATAATCTGACAATGTTAGTACATCTTTTAGAAGGTCACTATAAAGTTGCTTTCCCTATTTATTTGGAAAGGATTATTTCCTTATTATTTTAAAAAATCTTTTAATTTTTGTCTTTTCAAGTAATTTTATCATTGTCCCAAGCCTAAGGATGAGTGGCAATTTAAAAGACACAAGGTGTGCATCTTCTATCTGCAAATACTCCAAACAGAAATTATTCCAGTTTGTTGATACTTTGAGTGGACCAGGGAAAAATGTGTATGTTTTTAGTGTAACTGAATTGTCATTACAAAAAGATGAGTAAAGTTGCTGTTAAATAATGAATTCTTGCTGTTAATTTGTCCTGTTCTTAGACTTTCCCCCATTAAGTATAATGGGGGAAAATGTACACACACACACACACACACAAAGTATGTATGTGTAGATATACCTAGCGTATTGTGCTAGATGTTCATTTCTGCATGACTGCTCTGGAATTTAGGCAATATTAAAAGACCTTACAAAATATTTTTAATATCACTTAATATCCTGTTTTATGTCTTAATGTACTTTTATGTTTTTGCTGCTTTCTGATGATACCTCCTTGGTACTTCCTCATGATACCTTTCACAGTATGTTTAAATGGAATGTATTTTCTCAAAGTACGTGACATTTTCTGAACACTATGGGATATATATCTTCTAGTAATTATATTTTTACATGCAAGTATCTTTAAAAATTTCTTCCTATTACAACTTAAGAATTGTGAAACATTTGAGGGAGCATCTGCAGTTTGAGCACTTGATCTGGATATTGGAATGACAAACTTAACATTTAACTAAATTTTTCTGAGGTGTTCTTTTACAATTTTTGAGTTAACACTTGATTTCTGTAAAGCAGAAGGCTTATAAGAAGAAAATATGAGAGCCAGTGTTCGTCTTGTATTATCCTGCCATGCACGTAGTTGAAAATCAGAAACAAACAGAAATGCACAAGAGACCTTATTGCTTGAGTATCTTCTGCTCTTCCCCCATCAGACCTAAGGGACAGCTAGTGGATCAGTCAGATACTGTGCAGTTTCTGTTGCTATGCTGTGTCACCTTTGCCCTTTCTTTCTATCTGGAAGATAGCTACTGGAAATCTGGCTGTAAGAAAGAGATAGCATGTTTTTTTCCTCTCTCTCTCTGTGTGTTTCTGTCTGTCTGTGTACCTGTACCTAGTGTATTGTGTTAGATGTTCATTTCTGCATGACTGCTCTGGAATTTAGGAAATATTAAAAGACTACAAAATATTTTTAATATTATTTAGCCTTTTCTCTGAGAGGATCACATCCTCTGGCTTTGGCGTTTTCATCTCACAGCATCTTAAACGAACCCGTCAATGTTTATTATCAGTTCCAAATGTGAAGTCTCAAGGCAAATTGTTGGTTTGTTTTTGGAAGAATGTATGTGTGTGTGTATATATATGTGTGTGTGTGTGTGTGTGTGTGTGTGTGTGTGTGTATATAATTTTTAAATTTTTAACAAAAATTCCTGATCTAGTCAATGCTTATGAGAGTGTGTGTGGTTTGTATAAAATTATTTTTTTTAGAGACAGGGTTGCTTGTTGTCACCAGGCTGGAGGGCAGTGGTGTGATCCTTGCTCACTGCAGCCGTGACCCCCTGGGCTCAAGTGATCTTCCCACCTTAGCCTCCTGAGTAGCTGAGTAGCTGGGACTATAGGTGTGTACTGCCACACCCTGCAAATTTAAAAAAAAAATTCTGTAAAGACAGGGTCTCACTATATTGCCCAGGCTGGTTCTCAAACTCCAGGACTCAAGCAGTCCTCCTGAAATGGCCTCCCAAAGTGTTGAGATTACAGGCTGGGGCCACAGTGCCCGGTCAGAGTGTGTGTATTTTTTAACAGCCTTTTAGGATTGCATGCTTTTTAGGGGGGTGAATGAGGGGTAATATACCTTTGCATGACATTCTCTAGGTCTGAGAAGGAGTTGCTTCACTAAAAGTGTAATTTATAATTACCAAATGGTTGAAAACAGGTCTACCTGGAGTCAGCAACAGGCAGCTAGTTTACTTCTCATTTACGTAATAAAATACATTCATAATATGCATTCAGTAATTCATAATTCAATAATTTCTTGGCTTCATGGCCTTGGACAAGCTATTTATTATCCTTTTAATTTTGGTGGCATCACCTGTTGATGGAGGAAAACGTGTCCTTTACATGGTGGTTGTTAGGATTAAATGAGATAATATAAAGCATGCAAAGCTCTTAATCCAGTGCCTGGCATATAGCATTTGACCCATCAGTGTTAATTTATTAAGTTAAAGTTGTTTTAAAGTGTGTTGTAGATAGAAGATTTAAATCAGGCCTTATATTAAGCCCAACATTTAAATTCAACACTTGAGTTTGACAAATAATACTGAAGTAATTCTGTGTTTTCAGAAACATCTAAAACTTCATTAACATTTTATTAAAAACTGAAGAAATGACAGAACTGTTGGGCTTTTTTTTAATAGAAAAGAAAGACTGATTTGAACATAACTGGAATTTGAATTTAGTTTCAAAGATCTCAGTAGTGCATGGACCAGAAAAGAATCCGTTTTTGAATAGTTAGTGATTATGATAGTGACTGTGGTTTAAATTGCCCATTTAGAAATAGCAGGATCTAATTCAGTTATCAGCCTTTTTAGTTGCCCATCTCTTTAACCCCTGGAAATAAAAAGCTTTAAAAAATCATTAAGAAGTTGAACGGAAATTTTATCTGTGTCATTTACATCTCAAATTAAGATCGAAATAATTTTGTTTACATGATTCTATTTTAACTACTTAATTTTAGTTTTTGTTTTTTCCTGAAATTATTAGTATGTGGGTTTTAAAAATTCCTTTTTTTGTGTGCTTAATATTTGTTAAATACAAGATTGGTTTTCAGAAATACCTTTTCTTCGAGTAGGGCATAATCAGTGTTTTATTGGCCAATACAATAAATAAATGCTTCTTGATTGTTTTTGTATTTGGAAAGAAATTCTATGTTGAGAACAGTTTTGGTATGCTTTCCTTCATTGGCTGTTTATTGAATAGAACTGTATATTTAAGGTATATGAAAAAAATCTAAGCTAGAAAAAAAGACTGAGATACATTCTTGGAAGAAAATACTTGCAAACTATGCATCTGACAAAGGTCTATTGTCCAACGTCTATAAGAACTTAAATTTACAAGAGAAAAACGACCCCATTAAAAAGTGGACAAAGGACGTGAATAGACACTTCTCAGAAGAAGACTTACATGTGGCCAACAAGCAAAGAAAGCTCAATATTACTCATTAGAGAAACGCAAATCAAAACCACAATGAGATACCATCTCAGACTATTCAGAGTGGCTACTATAAAAAGTCAAAAAATAACAGATGCTAGTGAAGTTGTGGAGAAAAGGGAACACTTATATACTGTTGGTGGGAGTGTAAATTAGTTCAACCATTGTGGAAATCAGTATCGCGATTCCTTAAAGAGCTAACAGCAGAACTACCATTCCACCCAGCAATCCCATTACTAATGGGTATATACCCAGAAGAATATAATTCATTCTACCATAAAGACACATGCACACGCGTGTTCCTTACAGCACTAATCACAATAGCAAAGATGTGGAATCAATCTAAATGCCCATCAGTGACAGATTGGATAAAGAAAATGTGGTACATACACACCATGGGATACTGTGCAGCCATAAAAAAGAAGGAGATCATGTCTTTTGTGGGAGTATGGATGAAGCTGGAGGCTATTATCCGTAGCACACTAATGCAGGAACAGAAAACCAAGTACCGCGTGTTCTCACTTATAAGTGGGAGCTAAATGGTAAGAACTTATGAACAAAATGAATAGACACTGGGGTCTACTTGAGGGGGAGGGTTGGAGGAGGGAGAAGAGCAGAAAAGATAACTATTGGGTACTGGGTTTAATACCTGGTTGTTGAAATAATAAGTACAGCACACCCTCGTGACATGTGTTTACCTATGAAACCTTTACATGTACCCCGAAACCTAAAATAAAAGTTTAAAAAATATATTCTTTAGCACTGATTATCTTGCTAGCTGTGACTTCTCCTTTTAAGGAAAGTTTGCTTTAGATTTTGGTGTAAATGTAGAAATTAGATGGGTTTATCTGCTAGTGGCTCTCTAGTTAGATGATTAATGAATATTCTAGTTTAAAAAATTTCAGCATTTTAAATACTTTTCTTTATTGGTAACGATTTGGATTATGCTTCTAGGGATCTTTACATTTCATAGTTTTTCAAAAAAGACTTTATAATGAGTTCCTGGATGGGAAGAAGAGCATGTTCTCTCTAGTTTATTTGATTTCTTCCTGATTATTATGTATGTAATACTGGAAGGTTGTGTAAATAAATATTTGGGTTGTAAGTTTTCTTTTGCATGATTGGTGGTCTCTTAATTGACTGCTGTGTGAATTTGATAGTATAAACTAGAATGCTTATACAGTGAGTGGGGAAGCCTTTTTCTACTGAGTGTTATGCAGGTGGATTTTTCCCCCCTGCGGATAAATACTAAACTTTTATATTACCAGATTTAGACATTTAGACAGGAAACAAAATTTCCTTTTTTTTAAAATAAATGAGCGGGAGAAGAGAGTGGGGTTGTACAGAGGTGGGGAGAGAGGCAGTAAAGGAGGGAGGAAAGAAGAGGCAGATATCAGGGAGAGTGGCTCCGGAAGTTTTGAGTTCAGTCTTAGTCAGAGGTCACACCCTGTTATTTCTTTGGGTTGTGGACATGAGGTGTTACCACTTGTTATCTGTCACCCTTTGAAATGATGATTAGATTATTGGTTTTTATTCATAGCTTTTCAACATTTGGGTTCTTTAAACCATTGAAGGTTTAGTTTGTATGGGATAATCAGTGTTATTTTAGGGTGGGAAAATTTCCACCATACCTGCTAGGAGAAGGGGATGGCCAAAGAGTTTTTGACTTACAGAGGAGTTTTTTTGTTCTGTTGTTTTTTCCTCATTGACTCTATTTCGCTAGCTTTGTCTGAGAGGGGTGCTTATAATTCTATATGTGACATAGTAGCTGAGAGGCAAGCTTTGGAGTTGATAGACCCAGGTTCCAGCTCTGCTGCTTTGTGATTTCAGGCAAGTTATTTATTCCATGTGTGTTTCTTTTAAAACTGGGATGATAATAATAGTACCTGTTTCCCTTATAGAGTAATTAAGAGGATTGAGTGAGATAATGCATGTAAGCCTTTAGCACAGTGTCTGCCTAAGTTAGCATCCAGTAAATGTTAGCTGCTGCAATAATAAGAAATATTATAGTATTAAGTTATTGTTATTTCTGTGAGGGTGCTGGTTTTCTGAATGCTGAGACATTGGTGATCTTTGCTCCTGAACGTGTTACTATTTGGAATACTGCCTTTATTCAGCAGCAGATTCAGTTCAGATTTACTGAACACCTACTATGCCAGGAATTGATCTAAATAAGCAAAACAAAAATCCTGCTCTCTTGAAACTTACTTTCTGGTTAGGAGAGACAAAATACACAAAACAAAATAGATGATGTGTCACTCAGGAAATTTGGTTGTTGGACTTTGTCTAAGCTTTCATTAACCAACCCTAGCAGTCTTAACCTTTACATACTTTTTGATTGTTCCTGTTGCTGTGCTTGAGAGTGTTTGGAGGTAGGGGCACCCTAAAAGCGTATCATAGACTAGCTTTATTGTCTCCAGCTTCAGCTTGATCCTAATTTTAAGGCAGCCTTAAATGATAGTTTTCATCATTTCCTTGACTTACTACTTAAATTGGCTATCTCAAAACTTTCAGTCCCCAAAACTTGTATTTCACATCATTCAGAGAGATGTTGCTCCTCCCCAGCTGCTCCTCTTTTGCTCTTCTATGCCATTTTCTTAAGAGGAGGGGATACTAGAAGCATCTTTTTAGATTTATTTTCTGACTAGTCTAACTGTATACTTTTCTTTCTCATATTTTGTGTTTTCTACCCTTTATTTATTGTTAACTGATACATTTAATTTGCTTATTTTCTTTAAAATATGTGTTTTTTTTGGTCTCTCCAATTAAATTGTGAAAGTTTTTAGGTCAGGGACCACTTTTCTATTTTGACCTTGAGCTTACTCTCTTGAAAAAAAGATAATACCACCCAGGGATGTTGTGAGACCTCAAAGAGATAATGTGTGAAAGGGGTCCTGGAGCCAGATCCTTAATAAATGTTAGTTTCTTCTTTGAACCACTCTAGTTGCTGAAACTGCTGTGCATATAATCAGTGCTTAAAAAATGCTTGTTAATTTATCTTGAATTGAGTTTGTGAACTTTCAATTGTCACTTGGTGGTAGTTTTAGTTTTTAGTGCTAGATAAGATTCAAAATACTACTTTTCAAGTGTCAGATGATAAATGCTGGGTCATTAGTGGTAGAGCTCAACAGTGATTAGGAGCAGGAACTTGAGCCATCATTGTTTGGGTTCAAGTACAGGCTACCACACTTACTGGTTGTATGACCTTTGGCAAGTTGTTTAACCTCCCTCGGTTTCTTTATCTGTAAGGAGGGGAAAATGATATCTACCCACCTCATGGTTACTTCTTTGTTAGTATTAAACGAAGTAAATGAGAAGCTCGAAACAGTGCTTAGTATATAACAATCTATAACAGGGTCCCCAGGGGACATTTGGCACTATTTGGTGATGTTTCTGATGGTCATTTGGGGGAGTGGGGAGAGGGAAGGGTGCTACTGGTATCTCGTGGGTAGAGGTTAGGTATAAACAAGGTATAGGACAGCATCCACAACAAAAAAATTACCTGGTCCAGAATGCCAGCCCTGCCAAGCAACATTGGGAAACCCAGCTTAGTTCCTTTGTATAAGGTACTTTGCCAGTTAGATTCTGTATACATGCTGATTATTGATAAAGATGAGTCACAGACATGGATAGGCTTCATTTAACATTCATTTTAAAAGACAGACATGTAAGAAGGTTAGTAGGTTTCATTTCTTTTTAAGGTTACAGGGAAAGTACTCCAAAATTAATCTAAAAGTCCTTACACTTTTTTCAGAAACTGAGAAAAGGTTCCAGATGAATTTTACTAATTTAATTTTTTTATGACGAGCTATTCATGTAAAAGTGTATTATGAATAGAGGGCTTATGAGATATGAGTGCCGTAGTGTGTATTCATAAAGTCAAACGTACACTTAAAAAACAAGTATCAAGGTAAATGGAATGATCTATTGGGGGAAACCTTGGAGCTCTCTCTCTTTCCATATGTTTTATTACTCACCAAGTCAAGGGCTCTTTAACTTAGGATCTTGTTTTTCTGTGTACACTTTTCCTGTTTACTGTTTAAAATTGGACCCTTACTAAAAATACAGAAAATTAGCTGGGCATGGTGGCGTGCACCTGTAATTTCAGCTACTGGGGAGGCTGAGGTAGGGAGAATCGCTTGAACCAGGGAGACGGAGGTTGCAGTGAGCTGAGATCGCGCCATTGCACTCCAGCCTGGGTGACAGGGCGAGACTCAGTCTCAAAAAAAAAAAAAAAAAAAAAAAAAAATTGGACCCTTACCATTCCTTGTCCATTTCAGGAGCCTCTTAATTGCCTTGCTTCTGTTCTTTCTCTGTATTCCCACTTGAATTGACTCTTCTTTGCTGGGATCCCTTTGGGATCCCTTCTAGTCCAGATCCAATCTACCCTTCAGAGCTCCTTCCACCGTCCCCTTATTTCTGGGAGAGAATTCAGCCTTAATACCCTAAGGATGGAATTTGAATGTACTGACTTTTCTGCTATTTACAGGGTTGTGTATTATCTTTGGAAGAATTGGGAAGTCATATCATTTTCTGTATGTTGTGGTTCAGGTGACTTGTTTCACTTGTATCCAAACACTGGTTGTGTGTCCATGTATATACAGCATGTATGTACTTTAATGTCTATTTGTATGTGTGTGTACATGTATATTCTTTCATGTATATTTGTCTCTACACCTTGCTGTTTCCTCTGCTTGGAATATTCTTTTCTTTTCATCTGGGAAACATTTGTCTCTTCAGACCCTACTTAAATATTGATCTCCTAGGAAGTGTGTCCTGATTAATATAACTAGAATTAGTTATTTTTTTCCACTGGTTACCCACAGTATCTCTGTGGCTTTTATAGCACTTAACATCCTTATTTGTATTTTTCTTTTCTACTGATCTCTCAGTTCTTTGAGGGCAAGAGTCTTGTCTTAGTCAACACCTGCTCCCCCAAGTACCTAACATTCCTGCCACATTGTAGACATATAGTATGTTAACAAATGAATGGGAGAGACAAAAAACTGGAAAGCTTTTAAATAAGTTCTATGGGGGTTGGCAGGAGGGGAGACCACACATTATCTTGTCACCTTTGTTTCCAAGTGCTTAGTGTTGTGCTTGCCCATAGGTGTTCAGCAAATATTTGTTGAATGAATTAGAAGCAAATCCCAGGAGCTGATAAAATTTTCATGTGAACTTTTTTCTTCTGCATTTCTAGAAAGCATATCCTAGAAGTAAAGTAGCTTAGATATTTTGGAACATCTTATTCTTAAAGTCGACCTTCCTATTTTTGACTCAGTAGTGAAACTTTGATCCAATGGATACTTCCTGAATAGTGCTTTTGGCTGATTCCTTTTTCACAACATAGGTCCGTTCTGGTGTTGAGTTTGTTGGAAAGATGAATATGTAGTATCATTTTTACATCATGGAGGAGCCATCATTAAGTAACAGTGTTAAATAAGGACTGGTCCCCTTTGCACATTTGGGCCCAAATTAAGTGAGTATGTACTCTTAAGTATGGGTAATGATTGAGGCTATTGAGGTGTAGGAAAGAAAGAGGACAACTGGAGGTGAAGAAGTGACCTACTAGATCTCTTTTGCTTTTGGTAATGATTGATTTTTTTTTTTTTTTTTTTTGAGACGGAGTCTCGCTCTGTCGCCCAGGCCGGACTGCGGACTGCAGTGGCGCAATCTCGGCTCACTGCAAGCTCCGCTTCCCGGGTTCACGCCATTCTCCTGCCTCAGCCTCCCCAGTAGCTGGGACTACAGGCGCCCGCCACCGCGCCCGGCTAATTTTTTGTATTTTTAGTAGAGACGGGGTTTCACCTTGTTAGCCAGGATGGTCTCGATCTCCTGACCTCATGATCCACCCGCCTCGGCCTCCCAAAGTGCTGGGATTACAGGCGTGAGCCACCGCGCCCGGCCGGTAATGATTGATTTTTTACCCCCAGTTATTTTTAAAGAATTGGCAAGGAAGGAGAGGGGTATGAATCTAGAAGATAAGAATGTAGATTTTGTAATTCATGATCATTATTATTACCATGTATTGAATGTTTACTGTATGTCAGGAACTGTCCTAAGGATTTTTACAACCGTTATTTAACTTAGTCCTCACAGCAGTTCATATGAAATAGCTACTGATGTTTTATGGCAAAGGA
Source organism: Homo sapiens (assembly GCF_000001405.40). Classification (NCBI taxonomy): domain Eukaryota; kingdom Metazoa; phylum Chordata; class Mammalia; order Primates; family Hominidae; genus Homo; species Homo sapiens. The sequence continues at coordinate 152,519,918 of NC_000004.12, read as the reverse complement.
AACAAATTCAGAGAAATTTCCAAGAACACATCGGAATTTTGACTTGCAGAACTGGGATTCAAATCTAGATCTGTCATACTCCATGGTCTATGCTTTTAATCATGCATGCTGTCTCTTAAGTTTTTATTGAAAATGGAAAGTTGTACTGACATAGGAGGGGAAAATGATAGAAAATCATCCTATTGGAAGGCAGATTAACAGACTCGTGAAGAAGCAATTCCCAGTTTTATGTCATTATACAAAATAATTGTGAAATTGAAGTCCGTCATTTGAATTGATTTGCATTAACCCTCATTTTTTAGTCTTGCTCTTGGAATCATCATCAGGACAGGTGTCCCAGATATGTTAGCAGTAGAATAAATTTATCTAGGCAAAATCTGTCTAAGATTATGGAGAAAACTGATTTTATATGTGAAATGTGTTGTTGAGTGAGAGTTAAATCTTTTGAAGGAGATTATTTCAGGATGAGCCTCAAATACATTATTTAGGATTTGAAAACCTATGGTTTAGCAGAAAATCTGAGAATCAACATTTGTTAGTCTCTTGGGTATAAATTGCTTAAGTCAGTGGGTATCTGATTATTCTTTCTTTCTTTCTTTATTTATTTATTTATTTATTTTTGAGACAGAGTCTCACTCTGTAGCCCAGGCTGGAGTGCAGTGGTGTGATCTTGGCTCACTGCAAGCTCTGCCTCCCGGATTCACGCCATTCTCCTCCCTCAGCCTCCTGAGTAGCTGGGACTACAGGCGCCCACCGCTACGCCCTGCTAATTTTTTGTATTTTTAGTAGAGACGGGGTTTCACCGTGTTAGCCAGGATGGTCTCGATCTCCTGACCTCGTGATCCACCCACCTTCACCTCTCAAAATGCTGGGATTACAGGCATGAGCCACCACGCCTGGCTTCCCTTATGTAATTTCTTAAACTATTTTTGTTTGCTGATTTGGTGTTTGTAATTTAAAAAAAATTTATTTTTTCTTCTTTTACATACTTTGTAGAACTATTCCCTACCCAGTGAGTTTATTTATAGATATTTCATATTTAATTAATACTGTGAGAACATAGTTTTTATATCTGTATTTTTGTTTTTTCATTAGGATATTTAAAATAATTTTTGTAATTCTGTTACCTTAAAAAGAGCTAAACTTAGATGTTGGCCTTTAAAAATGTTTTGTGAAAGATTTTCTCTTGGTTCCATTTAAAATACTGTATTTGTAACTATAGTTAAATACATTTGAACTTTGCCCTTTTCAGAAATTTTAATTATATGCCTTTATAAAATTTTATCAAAAGTTACATGCAAATACTAAGTATAGAGTGCTGAAGCTGAGCGTGATGGCTTATGCCTATAATCCCAGTTACTCGAGAGGCTGAGGCAAAAGGATTGCTTTAGGCCGGGAGTTGGAGACCAGCCTGGGCATCATGGCAAAACCTTGTCTCTACAAAAATAAAATAAATTAGCTGGGTGTGGTGGTGTGCACCTGTAGTCCTAGTTACTTGGGAGGCTGAGGTGGGAGGATGGTTTTGAGCGTAGTAGTTCAAGACTGTAGTGAGCCAAGATCCTGCCACTATACTTTAGCCTGGGTGAGAGAGCAAGACCCTGTTTCAAATATATAAATAAATAAAATAGTAGGCTGGGTGCAGTGGCTCATGGCTGTAATCCCAGCACATTGGGAGTCCAAGGCGGGTGGATCACTTGAGGCCAGGAGTTCCAGACCAGCCTGGCTGGCATGGTGAAACCCTGTCTCTACTAAAAATAGAAAAATTAGCTGGGTGTGGTGGTGCGTGCCTGTAATCCCAGCTACTCTGGAGGCTGAGGCAGGAGAATTGCTTGAACCCGGGTGGTGGAGGTTGCATTGAGCTGAGATTGCACCATTGCACTCCAGCCTGGGCGACACAGCGAGACTTTGTCTTGAAGAAAAAAAGAAAAAAATAAGTATTGAGTGCTGAATGATGTTCTATAAAAGATTAAAAATGCCTAAGTGGAACTAAATTCTGGTAAATAGAATTTAGGGGTTGGGGTAGAAAGAATCAGATAAGTACTTCAAGATTTTCAGACTTTAAGTCTAAGGCTCATTAGTATCCTCTGACATAATCTACTACAGGTTTCCTTTCTTAGAAGTGAATGTTAATATGGCACCACTATACAAATAATATCGATATCGGTATTTGAGTGTTTATTATGTGACAGGCACTGTTCTGTGTCCTTCATGTGTATTACCTCATCCAGTCCTCACGATAGCTCTATGAGGTAAGTGTTGTTAATATCCCTATTTTATAGCTGAAAATTTGGCATAGAGAAGTTAAACATGGTCAAGGTCCCACCTTTAGTTAATAGTGGAGCTGGGATTGTTTCCAGGCAGTCTGGCTCTAGAGCCTGGGACCTTAATCTTTATTCTATACTGTCTGTGTCATCTGTAAATTTATTTCTTATATATTATTTATAGAACAGTGCCTGGCACACAATAAGAGCCATAGAAGTACTGGCTATTTTCATTGGCATTTAATTATATATGAGGTTGGCAGAGCATGCATTATTATTCCATTTGTTTATTTATACTATTAATTAGATAGTAGACTTTATTCAGATTTCTGTGTTTCCTTTTTTTAAATAGTCGAGTTTACCGAAGTTCTTAGAAACTGGATGATTGCCTCCAATAATGTGGCCATGCTAGATCTCAAAATTAACTTTTTTAAAAAAACCACCCCTCCAACTTTATTTACACTTCCTTAGAAATGGATAAAGACCAAGATTGGGCTTCTGTTTTGATATGTCATTGGTTTAGAAAGGCAGAAACAGCCTGGCACGGTAGCTCATGCGTATAATCCTAGCACTTTGGGAGGCTGAGGCGAGTGGATCGCTTGAGCTCAGGAGTTCGAGACCAGCTGGACAACATGGCGAAACCATCTCTACTGAACATACAAAAATTAGCTGGGTGTAGTGGCACTTGCCTGTAGTCCCAGCTACTTGGGAGGCTGAGGCAGGAGGATTGCTTGAACCCAGGAGGTCGAGGCTGCAGTGAGCCAAGATGGTGCTACTGCAGTCCAGCCTGGGTGACAAAATAAGACCCTGTCTCAAAAACAAACAAAAAAAGCGGAAACAACCATACTAAGTTTACAGTATTGTTTGTGTGCCTACTTGGTGGAAGAAATAAATTCTTAGAAGTTACACTTTCTTTAAAAAATTAAAAATTAAAAACTGTGCAGTGTTGAGATTAGTATTACCGCTTATCTTGCTGACTTGTGAAATTGAATTACATCACTTATAATAATGTGAAGTTTTAGAAATTGTTTTGATGATAAAGAGTAGCAGCCTTTAAGAGAAATAATATAAACCATGTTTCCTCAAATCTAAATGGTCATCTGTATGGTATTAGTTTTCCATCGCTCTACAGAAGCAGTCCCCAGCCTTTTTGGCACCAGGGACCATTTTTGTGGAAGACAGTTTTTCCGTGGATGCGGGGAAGGAGAGGCAGTGGGGAATGGTTTGGGATGAATCATCAGGCATTAGGTTCTCTTAAGGAGCACCTAACCTAGATGCCTTGCATGCACAGTTCACAATAGTGTTTGTGCTCCTATGAGACTCTAATGCCACAGCTGATCTGACAGGAGGCGGAGCTCAGGCGATAATACTCCACCTGCAGCTCACCTCCTGCTGTGCGGCCGGGTTTCTAACAGGCCACGGACCAGTACCAGTTGTGGACCCCTGCTCTACAGCAAATTAACACAAATTTAGCAGCTTATCTTACAGTTTCTATTGGTCAGGAATTTGGGTATGGTTTAGCTGGGTCTTTCCTCAGGTTCTCACTAGGCTGAAATTAAGGAATCAGCCGGGGCTCCTATCTCTTCTGAGGCTCTGGGTTCTCCTCCAGGCTCACCGGTTGTGGGAAGAGTTCAATTCCTTGTTCTTGTAGATCTGATGTCCCTGTTTGCTTGCTGGCTGTCAGCCAGGGACCACTTTGAGCTCCTTAGAGGCCCACCCCCGCCACCATGTTCTTGCCATGTGGCCAAGTTATTATGTTGTGTATGACTAAGGAAGAAAAATGCTGGATTAAAATATAAGACAAATTCTTACTTTATGTATGACTAAGGAAGAAAAAATGTTGAATTAAAACATGATACAACACATTATTGCTTGGACAGTGCCTTGCAAAAAAAAAAAAAAAAGAGAGTTGTGGTTATTCTTCCAGCCACAATATCTGCTTCAGAAATGTCAAATTTATTTTCTACTGTTGTGTTTGTGTTCTTTTTTGTAAACAACTTTTTTGTTTCAATGCTGAATCATAGTATTTTACAGGACATTTAAAATTAAGAAGTAAGCGTGACTTCTTATTGTACTACTAAATGTACAGAATTTAGTAATAATTATGGTGATATAAACTGCCATTACCCAATTTGCAAGTGTACAGGGAATGACAGCTATGTTGTGACTGCCATGGGCAAATGGTGATTTGTAAAGCATTGTTGCTTTTTTCCCCCCATTTTAAGTTGATTTTATTGAGATATAATTTATATACAGTAAACTACAAGACATTTCTGTCACCCTCAAAAGATTCCTCATGCCCCTTCACAGTTAAATCCTTCCCTGCACCCTCGCTTCAGGCAATCAATGATCTGCTTTTTTATTACTACAAATTAGTTTGCATTTTTTAGTATTTTAAACAGTGAGGAAAAAAGAGGAGATGGAGACAGGCTATTTTTAATTTTTATATTTTCTTCTTTGTTCTTAGAGAAATCCTAGTTTCTTTATTAGGCATTAGGTTTATTCCTTCAGTGTGGGGGTAAAGTGATTCTTCTTGAAGCTTTCTAAGTATGTTTCCTAGATGTTCTTGACCTCTGTTTTGCCTAAGATAACTTTTCTCCAGCATACCCAGAGTTGGCTCTCTTAAACCATACGTGCTTGTGTAGCTCCCTCATCCATATTTCTACTTATTGTCTTTTCAGGACCGTAAACAGAGGTATTTTTGACTTGACATTCTCAGCTCCTAAATAATCTTATAGTGTTACTGAGGCTTTTCACCTGTCACATACCCCCGTCCTAGTCTCTTTTTGTGTTGCTGTAAATACCCGAGGCTGGGTAATTTATGAAGAGAAGAGGTTTATTTGGTTCATGGTTCCTGCAGGTTGTATAAGAAGCATGATGTCAGAACATCTGCTTTCTGGTGAGGGCTTCAGGAAGCTTCCACTCATGGCAGAGAGTGAAGGGGAGCAGGTATCACATGGTGAGGCAGGAAAGGAGAGAAAGAGGAGAGGGGGTGCCAAGCTCTTTTTATCAGTTCTCATGAGAACTTACAGAGGGGAAACTCATTCATTACCTTGAGGATAGCACAAGCTGTTTATGTGGAATCTGCTCCTATGACCCAGGCACCTCCCACTGTGCCCCACCCTCAACATTGGGGATCAGATTTCAACCTGAGATTTGGAGGTGTCAAATATTCAAATTATATCATCCCCTAGAGAACATACCTCCCCACCCCTGAGAATCTCAGAATTTCTTGTTGAGAATTCATATTACAGTATGAGTTGTAGGAAACATGAAGGAAAGATTTCCCTTCTAGTCAGTTCTTATATTTATCACTTGTTTCATGCTCCTTGGTGTGTATAGTGTTTTCAGGTGCAGGAAATGCTCTGGGAAGAATGTTGCTTCTTAGAACGTAAGAGAAAGGGAACCCCAAGGGAAGACTCAAATGAAGTCCTTAAAAAGCCCACTTAGCTTCTTCTGAGACAGCATTGTCCAATGGAATGCAAGCGAGATAGTTAAATTTAAATTTTCTGGTAGCTATGTTAATAAAGCAAAAAAAGAACCAGCCAACATTAATTTTAATAATATATTTTATTTAACACAATATATCCCAAATGTTATTTTAACATGTAATCAATATGAAAACCATGAAGACTTTGATATTTAAAATTCTTATTTTAATACTAAATCTTTGAAATCAGTGTATATTTTATACTTACAAGACATCTGAATTTGGACTTAGTCACATTTCAAGTAAGTGCTCATTAGTTAGTGACTACCTTAGTGGACAGTGTAGATGTAGATTATGAACTTTTTAGGAAAAGACAATAGCATGTGGACTCCACAAGAAATTGTCTTTAACAACTGTTTGACTCTCATAGGTTAGGGCTTTAGTGTTTCAGAATGGTTTCTATGGTTGAGATGTAAAGTTTTTTATTTTTATAAAGGTAAGTACATTTTTATACATTTTCATTATACAAGTAATGTCATTGTTGAAGAGTTGGAAAAGTCTGGGTAAAAGACAACAAATTGTCCTCACTTCCTCAGTCCAGAGATAACCAATGGTAAACTTTATTGAATTTCCTCTTTGGGAATGTTGCTTTTTAAAATCAAAGAGAAAATAGATTTCTTTTTTGTCATAATTCCTTCCTGTTCACATTCAGACATACATTATTATTGACAATTCTTTTACCTCTTTGTTTAAATTTATGTATTCTTTTTCTCGGGCTGTATCCTCCAATAGGGTCTCTGTGAGTGGAGTACTCTGGAGCACAGTAACCTGAATGGTGCTTCCCTGGATTAGGGTTAACAATAGAAACTTCAATGGCTTTTATGTACTCATTGCTAAACCAGTGTAGTTGCTTTCTATTTTAACTATCTGCGATCTCTTTGCATATCCTGCAGCTTTTTTAGTTATTGAGGTATAATTTGCATACCAGAAAATTCACTCTATTAAATACTCAATTCAGGCCGGCATAATTTGCATACCAGAAAATTCACGCTATTAAATACTCAGTTCAGGCCAGGCGCAATGGCTCATGCCTGTAATCCCAGTTTGGGAGGCTGAGGTGAGCGGATCACCTGAGGTCAAGGGTTCGAGACCAGCCTGGCCAATATGGTGAAACCCCGTCTCTACTAAAAATACAAAAATTAGCCGAGCATGGTGGTGTGCGCCTGTAGTCCCAGCTATTTGGGAGGCCGAGGCAGGAGAATCGCTGGAACCTGGGAGGTGGAGGTTGCGGTGAGCCGAGATGGTGCCATTTGCACTCCAGCCTGGGCAACAGGAGCAAAACTCCGTCTCAAATAAATAAATAAATAAATATTCGGTCGTTTTCATTGTATTCACACAGTTGTGCAGTAATTATCACTATTAATCCAGAACATTTTCATTACCTCAAAAGAACCCTGATGCTCATTAAGGAGTCACTTCCCATTTCCTCTTTGCGCAGTCTCCTGGCAACCACTAATCTACTTCCTATCTCTATGGATTTGCCTATTTTAGACATTTCTTATAAATGGAGTCATACAGTACATGGCCTTTTGTGTTTGGCTTCTTTCACGTAACACGATGTTTTCAGTGTTCTTCTGTGTTGTAGCATGCATGAGAACTTCATTCTTTTTAGGACTGAATAGTATTCAGTTGTATGGAGGGTACCACATTTTATTCATCAGTTGATGGACTTTGGGGTTGTTTCTGCTTTTTGAGATCACATTCATTCTTCAAGAACATTAATTTCTTAATATCGTCCTCCATTCTTATCAAAGCTTTCAGTGGTTTCCTGTTGTCTATAAACATAATAGAAAAATATTTAGTTTGCATTCAGTCTTACAAAGTGTAACTTCAAGTTACTTTCTTTTCCACTCTTATTTTCCATCTTGTTGTTGTTTACTGTGTCTAAAATATGTGCTATATATGAATTATAAAATTATGTAGACAATATAGATAACCTTGTCATCTGATCTAATTTTTAAAAAGTGAATTTGAATACTGCCAAACTAAGGAGTATGTGTAGTATGGAGAATTTGAGAAAGACAAGTATCAGTAAAGAAGAAACAGTATAGTAAAACAAAATTTTTTTCTGCCTTGGTCCATTGAAAGAAATATTTAGTTTCATATAATGTGAACAAAAACCTTAATTTTGAATGAACATTTGATACATAGGAACTCATTCAAATCATTGATTTTCTGGTTAACTTTGTTAGTAGTTTGTTTTTTTCTGAGTCTTTTGTTTTAATCCAGATAGTCAGTCTTTTTCTCCTTTTTACATGCTTGAAATGGTAAAAATGAAATATTTTTACTTATTCTTAAAAATATTTCCAGAATGTCTTACACACACATACACTTAGAAACAAATACAAATATATAGTGATATTCTCTCACATTTTACAGAGAAAAGCGTAGTATACATACTTTGTTTTTTAATTTCACAGTAGATCTTAGAGGTCTTTTAATATTAGCATACTGAGAACTTTCTCATTTTTTTCATAATAGTATTGTTTATTCCATTGTGATGAATATGCTATTGTTTTTGAAACTAGTCCCATATTGGTGGACATTTAGGTTGTTTCCAGGTCCACTATTACAGATAATACTACAGTGAATAAGTTTGTACATGTATCATTTCATATGTATGCCAATATTTCTGCAGGATAATTTCCCAAAAGTGAAATTGCTGAATCAAAAGATATATCCACCTGAAATTTGATTACCCATATTTTTAAGCATAAAGGAAGAGATAAAGGGAAATAAATAGAAAAAAAAGAAACTATAGATTTTCAAAAACTTTGTTTATAGATGAAAAAATGGAGGATTAGAACTTTTAAGTAATTGTCCATGGTCATGCACTCCACAGAGGACTGGGCATGGTGGGATTCGGTGGGGGGGGCGGGGGGCTGTGTCAGGATGCTAACCCAGGTGTTCCTGATTTTAAATAAGCTGCTATCCTTCCTGTTATATTCATACTGCATGTTATGAGCAAAAGGGGAGAGAAGTCGCCAACTTTTTGGAGAAAAAGAATAAAATCCCAGACTTTATTTTTGGGATCATCTGAGGTGGGAAGATGGCTTGGGCCCAGGAGTTTGAGACCAGCCTGGGCAACATGAAGAGACCCCCTGTCTCTACAAAAAAAAAAAAAAAAAATTAACCGTGGTGTTTGAGGCTTCAGTGAGCTGTGATCACTGCACTCTAGCCTGGGTGACAGAATGAGATCCTAGTATATGTAGGTATTTAATGTATATCGAAGGCAGCATTTCAGATTGGTGGGGGAGAAGATGGATTATTTGGTAATTTATATTGCAGCAACTTTCTATTCATTTGGGGAAAAAGCCCTGTCCCTTGCTCTTACTCTTTACATAAAAAATAATTTAAAAATGAAAGCAAAAGGTAATATCGAAGGATGTCGTGAGGTTAGCCTTATTCAATAGACTGACCTCAGTGAGTACTGAACTCATGAAAGTTTCATTTTTTTCCCAGTCACTGTCTTTTGCATTTTCCTTAATTGATTTTTAACATCACCTTGGATTAATCTCATAGCTTTCCCAATATGTTTTTAGTTATGAAAAGTCTATTTCTCCTCTTGCCCCGTATTAGGCTTGACCTGTGGCTGGAGAGATCTGTGGTACTGTTTCATATGTACCGCCCTCCTCTTTCTCTCCTCCCTTTTTTACTTGTTCTGAAAACAATGAGTAAGGTTAAAAAATTATTTTTCACAAACATGAAAAAGGTTGATAATACGTAAGTTTTGAATATGGGGGAAAGTTACTCTCATACTGTTGTTGGGAGTATACATTTTTGTGGCCTTTTTGGAGAGCAGTTTGACAGTATTTATCAAAATAAAGTACACAGGCATCTTGAATCAGCAGTTGTTCTTCCAAAATTTAGTAGTACAGATATACTGACATAACTTTACTTGAAAGAAGAATCCTTTTTATAACTTAGTGTTTATTGACAAGAGAATTAGCATTTAGAGTCATTTATTATTCTAACTCTTCTACCAAAATGGTGAGATGTGTTGTAATTTACTGGACGTTTAGGTTGTTCCCAATTTTTTTGTAAGTATGAAAAATGCTGCAGTGAACATCTTTGTCTGTGTGCTACCCAGTCATCACTGTTGAGAATGTTTCTTAATGGCTATATTTAGGTAAGTGTTATTTCCCTTTATTTCCCCTCTTATACTTTAAGGAGCACAGGAGATCTCAGTTTTAATCGCAGCTCAATTGCCTAAATGGATGTGTGACTTAAAACAAGCTCTTTAACCTTACTGAGCAGGAGGTTCTGCAGATATGGGCCTCTCAGACTATTTTATAGCAGTAATAAATGGACTACCTATTGTCACATTCTTCATGATCCTGTAGGGAGTATGTGTCAGTAGGACAACCCATTGAGTGACAGTCCTAACTTTCTTGGTTCCTCTCCCTCATTGTGAGGTCATTGTTTCACAATTGTATATACTTACTGATTCAAAAAACAACTCCAACACTTATTGAGGGGTAGTACTGTTCCCAGTTGAGAATTACTGTTGTAAAAATTTTGGCAGGAATTATATAAGATTATTCATGATTGTTATCGACTTATCTTTATTCCTTCATTTTTTTTTAAAGCAGGAAGCAATAATAGTTTACGTTCGTTAACCTCAATATCTACTCTAAAACATGTTGTTTTTCTTGTTATTACCATGAAAGTCTGGGTTAACAGGAGACGAGACTAGCTTCTTCACAGATACATACATTAATTTGACATTATAGAAAAATGAGACTGTATCCTGACTTGCCAGTTTGGTTTTGATTGGTGGTTTCACCTTTTTTTTTAGACTCAGGAAAACGGTGGCAAAAATAGTATAAAGGGTAAATTCTCATATGCCCTTCATTCAAGTTCCCAAAATTTAACATCTTATGCAGTGACAGAAAAATTATCAAAATCAGGAGATTAACATTCATGTAATACTGATAGTCTACAGACTTTATTCAGATTTCACCCATTTTCTCACCAATGGCCTTTCTCTGGTCCAGGATCACAATATGAAATTATTCACGTGTTGTATTTTAGTTATCATGTTTTCTTAGTTTTCTTTAACCTGAAACAATTCCAGTCTTTCTTTGCCTTTTGTGACTGTTATACTTTGGAAGAGTACTGGTCAGTAATTTTGTGGAATATTGCACAATTTGTGTTTGTATGTTTTCCTATGATTCAATTAATTTTAAGCATTTTTGATTAAGAATACTGCAAAAATGATTTTATGAATCTTATTTAGAGGCACATGATGCTGATTTGTCCAGTTATCAGTGATACTAATTTTCAGTTCCTTTCGTTAAGGTGGTATCAGGTTTGTCCACTCTAGTTGCTTTTTTTCCTTTGTGATTCATAAGTAGTGTTGATTCAGATTCTAGGTTAAGAAAAGGAAAAAAAAAAGTATCCTATGGGAAGGTACTTAAAAATAAGTACTTTGGGACCAGGTAATTAACATTTCTCACCATACTCTACCAATTTTTAACTTCCTTGCTGTTTTTTTTTTCTTTTTTTTTTTTGCAGTGGCACGATCATGAGTCACTGCAAGCCTCAATCTCCTGGGCTCAGGTGATCCTCCTACCTCAGCCTGTTAAGTAGCTGGGACTGCAGGTGCACACCACCATGCCTGGCTAATTTTTCATATTGTTTGTAGAGGCGAGGTTTCATCATGTTGTCCAGGCTAGTCTCGAACTCCTGGACTCAAGCCATCCTGTGTTGGCCTCCCAAGGTGTTGGGATTACAAGCGTGAGCCACTGCCTGGCCCCAGACTTTAACTTTTATTGATGATTTTGTCATGGTGATTTTCTGTTTCCATCATTTCTTCTGTATTTACATTAGTGGTTTTTGGTAAGGAAGAACTTTCCCTTGTTATGTATTTATTTAATGTTTTATGTATATCAGAATGGACTCGCGGATTTTTTTTCCCCTCTTATATCAGATGGACTTACAGATTCTTCTATGGATTTCATCTATTATCATCATTATTTATTTTGGTGCTCTAATTATCCCAGGTTTGGCCCCATGAAGCCTCTTCAAGGAGGTTCCTGGTCCTTTTGACATGTCTCCATCATTTTGTGAGGGCTTAACTTTTTTTTTTTCTTTTTGAGTCAGGGTCCTGCTGTGTCACTCAGGCTGGAGTGCGCAGTGGTATGATCATAGCTCACTGCAACCTGGATTTCCTGGGCTCAAGTGATCCCCCTGCCTTAGCCTCCGGAGTAGCTAGGACTACAGGCCAGGTATGTGCCACCACACCCAGCTAGTTTTCGCCTTTTTTTTTTTTCTCCAATAGAGACAGAGTCTTGCTGTGTTGCCCAAGCTAGTCTTAAACTCCTGGCCTCAAGCAGTCCTCCCACCTTGGTCTCCCAAAGTGCTGGGATTATAGGCATGGACCACCACACCTGGTCAGAAGGCTTAACTTTCTAGTAGCGCAAAATGTTCTAGTCTCTTCTTGTGCTTTTCTCTGCCCCAGCCATGAAATCAGCCATTTCACCAAGGAATATTGATTCCTTTTACTGGAAATCGGAATTCTTCCATTCCCCCTGCCCCCAGTACTTGTATCTTACCATCTTTTTAAAAGTCTTTGTGTCTTAGAACCGTGTTAGATGATCTGGACACATTACCCTGATGTACAGAAATTAGTTTATACACGGTAATTCTTTTTGTAGCAGACTGTTTAATTTGTAGCAGATTCATTTTGCACTGATTAATCCTGGAGGATTTCTTCACAAGTTACATTGTGTCAAATATGTTATTTCATGGGAACACAATTGAATTTTTTCCTTAATTTTGTTCGGTATTTGATAATAACAATTTAAAAAACTTTTCTAAGAGCTTCCTTCTAATATTATATGATATAGGAATGTTTACATTTCTCATTTATTTATTTGGTGTAGTGATCTCAGAAGTTTTTTTAAAAGAAAAATCTTGACTTTGTCTCAGGTACTCTCAGTTCACTTCCATGTGGGAGGGTCATTTGCCATCCATCCAGATTACCTTTTTGATTAGGCTTTTCAGTGTCTATAAATATTTCGGTCTTTTCTGATCATTTAATTTCTAATACATGCATATGCTCCTATGTATAATAAATAGACAACTTCAAATTTGCAGTTTCTAGATGGTTGGAAAAGGGAAACATTGTGGTGTGTAATTTATCAGCCATCAGATCCTAGATATTTGAGATTTTAACTAAGCAAGGTATTAGATAGACCATGTTGTTTTGGCTTCACAGAATTCATTCATATTGTGCATTACACAATCAGTGTGCATATTGCACATTGATTTTATCTGTAAGTTGTCTTTATCAGTGGTTCTCAAAGTGTGGTCCCCTGCTAGTATAGTATCAGCCTCACATTGGAACTGGTTAGAAATGCAGACTTCTCAGGATCCACCTAATTGCAGTAGTTAATTTTAACAAGCCCTTCGGTGATCCTGAAACATGTTACAGTTTGAGAAACACTGCTATAATACGTTTCATTTAAATTGTTTCAGGTTGTGGGGGTAGGGAATAAGACTACCAATTTATTCATCTTCTGTGCAATATTACCTGTTTACCTAACTCTTAGAGATATTAAGATATTTTGAAGAATGTGTCCCATGAGATTATAATGGAACTGACAAATTCCTATTGCTTAGTGATATCATAGCTGTCATGAAGTCTTAGTGCTGTACCTTACTCATGTGTTTGTGGTGGTGATGGTGTACACAAATCTTCTGCACTGCCAGTCGTCTGAAAGTATAGCACATGGCCGGGCGCGGTGGCTCACGCCTATAATCCCAACACTTTGGGAGGCTGAGGCGGGCAGATCACAAGGTCAGGAGATTGAGACCATCCTGGCTAACACGGTGAAACCCCGTCTCTACTAAAAATACAAAAAATTAGCTGGGTGTGGTGGCGGGCACCTGTAGTCCCAGCTACTCAGGAGGCTGAGGCAGGAGAATGACGGGAACCTGGGAGGCAGAGCTTGCAGTGAGCTGAGATCGTGCCACCGCACTCCCGCCTGGGTGACAGAGCAAGACTCCGTCTCAAAAAAAAAGTATAGCACATACAATTATGTACAGTACCTAATACTTGATAATAAAGGACTGTGTTACTGGTTGATATATTTACAATACTGCACTTTCTGTTGTTACTTTAGAATGCACTGTTTGAACTTTAAAAAAATAAATTCACTTTGGGAGGCCGAGGCGGACGAATTGCTTGAGGCCAGGAATTCGAGACTAGCCTGGCCAACATCGCAAAACCCTGTCTCTACTAAAAATACAAAAATTAGCTGGGTGTGGTGGTGCACGTCTGTAATCCTGGCTACTTGGAGGCTGAGGCACGAGAATTGCTTGAACCTGGGAGGCAGAGGTAGCAGTGAGCCAGTATAGCGCCACCACACTCCAGTCTTGGTGACAGAGTGAGACTCTACCTCAAAAAAAAAAAAAAAATTGCAAAACAGCCTCAAGAAGGCCCTTCAGGAGGTGTTCCAGAAGGCAGCACTGTTGTTGTAGGAGATTACAGTTCCATGTGTGTGATTGCCTCTGAAGACCTTCCAGTGGGACATTATGTGGAGATGGAAGACAGTGATATTGATGATCCTAATCCTGTGTAGGCTTGGGTTATTGTGTATATTTGTGTCTTAAAACAGTTTTGAAAGTTAAAAAAATTTTTTTTAAAACAGGAAAAAGGCTTATAAAATAAGGATATAAGGAAAGAAAATATTTTTATATAGCTTTACTATGTGTTTTAAGCTAAGTGTTATTACAAAACAGGCAAAAAATTAAAACGTTCATAAAGTAAAAACGTTATAGTAAGCTGAGGTTATTACGGAAGAAAGAAAAAATTTTAAAATAAACTTAGTACAGCCTAAGTGCACACTGTTTATAAAGTGTATGGTAGTATACAATAATGTCCTAGGCCTTCATATGCATCCACCCCAACTGACTCATCTAGAGCACCTTCCAGTCCTGCTAGCTTAATTTATGATACAGATGCACCGTTTTACATTTTATATACCTTATTTTTAATATACCTTTTATATATTTAGATGTGTTAATATCATTGTGCTACAGTTGCATACAGTATTCAGTACAGTAACATGCTGTACAGGTTTGTAACCTGGGAGCAATAGTTTATACCATGGAGATTTGTGTAAAAGCACTGTGTAATATTCACACAAAGAAGAAATTGCCTGACACATTTCTCTGAATGTATCTTTGTCATGAGGCGATGCGTGACTGTATAATTTGAGCCACACATGTTATTTTAAAAATTGCAATACCCTTATTAATGTAAAAAGCAGTTGAATTAATTTTAAGATATTTAGCCTGATGGAGCCATGATATTACCATTTCAACATAATTTATAAAAAAAATTGTTATTTTAGATTCTCTTTGTACCAAGTTTTTGAAATCTGGTAGATATTTTATATCTCAATTTCAACACTAACTTTTTACCGGAAGTAATTGATCTTCCTTTAGATTTCATAAAGTTTATGGTTGGAAAAGTAGATTCACATATCTAAATCGTTTCAGACACACTTAAGTATTTCGCTACCTGAATTAAGTACCAAAAAATAATTTTTCTGTAATATTTGCATCTAAATTGGTAAAACTGGTTCATGTTTTTTAGTAGAATGTAGTAGACTTTGAAGCAAAACTGTATCCATTTCAAAATTGAGCTACTGAAGTTAAGCAAATTCATGAACTCTTGTGTCAACTCCGTATTACTGACATTATATTCAAAAGGAGATTGGATGTTAGGCAAATCTATATTAAATAAAGTGTTTTTCAATGATTTTTTTGTAATTTTTGCAGCCACTTTGCAAAACACTGTCAATTAAAATTTATATATGTTGATTTATGTTAGAACAAAGTGTAAAATCTTTTTTATTGGTTTGTGTTATGAAAACTTTAAATTTCAATGTAAATTTATAAGAAAGTTCTTATAAAATTTCTGGCATACCTTCTTCCAGTTTCTTTTTATTTTACTTTTTCTTGTGTTAGCCTGGTCATAAATAAACTCTACCTTTCTTTGGTGCTTCAAGTTAAGCTTGTTCATAGGCATTGAGATGTAAGTGAGGAAACAAAAGAATACTGCCATTTTTGTCTTTTATTACTTAATAGTGAAAAGCATCTCTTTCTAAAATCAGAGTTGACATTAGAGTAGATCTTTGTGAAGTTATTCCACTATACCCAGTGAGCAAAGAACACAGATGTTTTAAATGTATTGTTTTTTATTTTTTTAACATTTCCATGAACTGGCTAGGATTCATATTTTTGGCATGTACATACTGAACAATTCAACTCTTTACATAGGGCTTTTCATAGTCTGTTTCAGAAAGCTGAACACAGATATTTTCAATGTGTATCATACAGTGGAATAAAGGAATAGGAGAAACATCAATTTTTGCTTTTAAAATTCCTAACATAGCTGGAGCTGTCTGTTGTGATAGAAACTAATTGTTTAATACCTAGCTGAAATTCTTTGACAGAGGTAAAGGATTAAAAAATATCTATGCCACTCTTGATTTTTTTTTTTTTTTTACAGCTACATAGTGACAACTTTTTCTTAAGTTTAGAAGTTCTTTCAAATAAATTTCACCTAAAAGATTTAATTGGGGCCGGGCACGGTGGCTCATGCCTGTAATTCCAGCACTTTGGGAGGCCAAGGCAAGTGGATCTCTTGAGGCCAGGAGATCGAGACCAGCCTGGCCAACATGACAAAACCCCATCTCTACTAAAAAATGCAAAAAATTAGCCGGGCGTGGTGGTGTGCATCTGTAATGCCAGCTACTTGGAGGCTGAGGCAGGAGAATCACTTGAACCTGGGAGGTGGAGGTTGCAGTGAGCCGAGATTGCGCCACTGCACTCCAGCCAGGGCAACAGAGCGAGACTGTCTCAAAAAAAAAAATTTAATAAGGTAGTGTCTCTTATATCACATGGCTCATCTAAAGCTAAAGGGAAATAGTAATTTTTCACATTTTGAATCTGTTGATTTTTCGTATTATTAGAAAGGTCTTCCATATGATGGATGGTGTCTTAATTGAATATCTTCCACGTGTTGTAAAGTATCTATTTTAGTATTCCTCATAATTTTCTAACAAAATTTCTATAATTGAAATAATTTCTTTACCATCTCTTTATGTAAATGTGATTTTCTTTCTTTTGGCGCAAGAATTTAAGCCAGTTTATAGCTGACCAGAGTTACAAGCCCAGATTTGTTAAAAAGCTTTTAAACACGTTTGTTGTACATTTACTTCTGACATTGTTTGGCTAATTTTGTTGCTTTTCTTCTGATTGTAGAGCAGAAAGTTCTTATAAAATTCACTGTGTATTTGTTGAAAATGTCTCCTAATATTGTCTACTTTACTTGTAAAACTTTAAAACCCAAGAAATAGCTTTTAATTTTGCTCTGTCACAGCTAATTGTAATTGTCATTCATTAGAAAATTTCTAGCATACCTTCTTCCAGTTTCTTTTTACTTTACTGTTCTGGTGGTAGCATTAGCTTCTGTATCTCTACTTGATTGTGTATTGCTGTAATGCCTTCTTTTTACTTTTAAAAATGTGTCCTCCTCTTGTCCATTCATTTTTAAAGTAAGAAAATTAATTATATTCAAAATATTAAAATTAAAAAAAATAAAAAGTATTGCGATTGAGTTACCAGTTGTGATTTACATAGGCATCACTGCAACTTGTGTTATTTGTGAAAAACGTATTTAAGTAAACGCAGTACGGTGTTAGATTGATGAGTAGAAAAATACTCATTCTAACTGTAAATTAGTTAATTTTTACTGACTAGATCAGTATTTTTATGTGTAATACTAGAAATGACTCACTGTATCCTGAGATGTGGAGTATAATATGCAGTACAGTGGTCACAGTGAAATGTAGTACTGCCAAAAGAATAAAACTTTCTTTAGTAGAAGGACATTTTACACAGCTTCAGCTTTTAAATTTAAATTAAGTACAACTAAATAAAGCTAAAAACTCAATTCCCTGGTAACACTAGCCACATTTCAAGTGCTTAGTAGTCACATGTGGCTAATAGCTAATATATTAGAAATTAAACCTTTTGAGAGTTGGTTATGTATGTGATTAAAGTATTTTGGTTACTTGGGACTAGAGATTACAGTCATTTTTGATCAGGCTGATGTCATAGGAACAGTACCAAGGGGACTTCTGAATCAAGCACCCTAGAAAGAGCTACTTAGAACTACTTGCATTTTCTTTGTGGCATCTCTTATAGGCATGAAAAAATTTCAAACATTTTTCATGGATAAAAGGATTTAATCAGAAAAGCATTTGGATATACATATTTGAAATCATAGCTTGCCTGTATGTTACTAGAGTAGTTGGAGAGTGGAAAAGTATCTATATTCTAAAGACTGTTTCATCATTTGGGTGAAAAACCAAAAAAAGAGAGTAATTTTGTTTAATAGCTCTTTCACAAATAAAAAAAAGAATGTTCATCTGTAGAGACCTATCGAGATCTCATCAGGTTTACAACAAACTTTAGATTAGCAAGCTCAATTTCAGTTGACATGGATTGTGGAAAGATTTTCAGTGGAGCTCAGATATTTAATATCCTGAATTTGGATGAATATACAATTTCTAAAATTAAGTACTTCAACTCCTCTGTGGTTTTAAAACCAGTAGTGGCCATATCTTGACTAGTTATTAAAGCACCAACCTTTTTTTCTTTATTACTTTGCTTTTATCCTTTGAGCAAGTTAGGCAATAAGTTCTCCATGTTTTTGATTTCTACAGAAGTAAATGAATGTTATTGCTGATGTTTATTTCATTCTGTCTTGATCTCATGATATGAGAATATAAGGAGATGTCTGAAAACTTGTTTTAAAAATCCTATGAAGCATAAGTTCATGAATAAAGAAGGAAGTGGAACTTGTCTTGAGAGAATTTGCCTATTTAGATGGTTTCCAAAGTGCATTCTGCTAGTCACTAGAGATGGTCCTTGAAAGAGTTCTGTAATTAAGTTTGAAGAAACACTGTGTACCATAATAATGGCCTATTGAATATTTTACCATGCACATTAATATATCAAAGGCTTTGAGATATCTTACAAGAAAGAAACTTGCTAAAGCTTGTCTTCCTGCATGTCTTAAGCTTCTTCCACAGTGACTTTAAGTCGGACTTGTCTATCCTGTGAGAAATGCTGCCCTCTAGAGGCACAAATTCAATTGCTCTTAAATTTGAGTACCATAATGCTGCCTGATCTTAGTGTGAAGTTGTGATAATTAATATTAATCAAATGCATGGTAACAAAACCAAATAGAAGAAATCTTATGTTGCTTAATTTTAAGAAAATATGAGGAAACAGAATTGCAATTTATAAATACCCACTTTTTAAATTGTACATGTGATATTTTTGGCTGCTAATAATCTTTTGAATACATTTCTGTATATGGGGAATTGCGGACACATAGTACTTCAAGTCTCCAAACTCTGAGTCTCTCCTGCTAGCAGAAGCCATCCTTCCCTGTGTTAACAACCTTGCTTAAGACAGTTACCATCCATGGGGAAGCTAGTTTCCTCATACCCCTTCCCACGATACTCATGTTTCCATACCTGTAACTGGAGTCAGACTATATCATGCTGCACCTTTGCAGTCACAATGGGAAGAAAAGGATTATATGTAATTTTTTTAAAGTTTTTTTTTTTTTTTTTTTTTTTTGCTGACAAAGCAGCAAAACCTTCAGGAATATGTACAGAAATGGGTGATGATGATGATGTGAGAGAGAAAGAAACATGCTTTTGCATTTGGCTGAATGTATTGGTATGGTGCAGTTATCAGAGATTCTGAATTCATTGTTCTCGTTCAAGTAGCCAGGAGTGGTTCTAATTGTTTGCTCCTTTGGTCTCAGCATTGACTTATACTAAATGAAGTTGAATGCCTAAAAACTCATAGCATAATATAGAGGAAGAAGTCAAAAGATTAAAGGAAATAGAACTGATGGAGTGGATTTATCACTGTGACCATTCACTTACCTCCCCTATTCCCTCTCCAGTATTCTCTACTAAGAGGTCTGGAAGACACTTCATTCACCAACCTAATGAGAAATACTTTGAGGGCAGTGCCAGCATATATGAAAAGTAATTCAATTGCTTTTGTCTGTAGGCTGGAGGAGATACTTTCATTGAAATTGTCTTTTTTACTTCAGGGGGTGTGGCCAGATTCTAGGTAAGGTCCAGGCATCATTTTCATAAGGTAGCTTGACAGGCATGATGATCAGAGATGCACTGACTTGAATTCTTTTTGGCTGTGACTAAATGATCATGGATCCCTACGTCTAAAATAGAGAGGAAGCCTATTAAGATCCTACTTTATCTGTATGAGCAAAAAATTTTAGGTCTCATAGGAGAAGGCCTTACTTGAACTACCATAAGAGTGAGTTGGCCAGCCTGGGCAACATGGTGAAACCCTGTCTCTACAAAAAACACAAAAGTTAACTTTTGTGTTTTGGGCATGGCTGCGTGAGCCTGTGGTCCTGGCTGCTCAGGAGGCTGCCCCCTTTTTGCAGTTTACTTCATGGGTTATATGAGAAAACAGGAAGGAGGGGGATATCACCGAGAGATTCTGATATTGGAGCTGTGTGCAATAACTGATAAGTCTCTGGTTCTTACCTCCATATGAGGAACAGAGAGAGTCTTGTTTGTACAAGGCTTAGTTATAATCTGTCAGGTTTGAGGATCTTGATTGGAAGCATAGACTTGATCTGTATTTGTGGTTTCTCATTTCAAATAGCCTCTCAATGTTGGATAAATTTGCATGTTCATGTTTTATAGAGTCAGAACTCAATTTCCTAGTATTCCTTGCAGCTAGGGCACAAGCATATGACCTAGGCTTTATTGATCAGATGCATCTGTGTAAGACATGAATTCAGGGTCAGAGAAATGCAGGGTAACAGCTCTTGCCTGGAATTGCTTTCTAATGTGCATGTTGAGTGACAAGATATTGAGCTGTTTAGAGGTAGCAGTGACAGAGATACTAGTGAGCCTTGTTGTCCTAGGCTCAGCTTTCATGGTACTAGGGCTGAAGGATGGGAACAATTTGGTGGGGAGACTTAGGTATTTTTCCTGGCATCATATCTCCAAGTGGATTCTTCAGTTCTCTGATAATTCTTGGAATCCCCTAATATATTAATAAATTTATTTTCTCTTGAAACCACCTCAAATAGATTCTGTTTATAGCTTAGAGCCCTGATTGATCGTCTAACTTTAAAGATTTTATTTATCGTCAAAATATTTTATTTTTCTAATTGAGATCTAAAAATTGTCAAGCACTTATACTCTATTTTTTCCCTTCCTAGAGCTCTGCAATCCTTTGCTGTCATTTTTTCTTACCAGGAATGCCAATTTTTGTACCTTTTGAATTGCTTTTTCTTCTTTGCTACTTGGCTTGAGCTCCACTATTGTTATGAAACCTTTCTTATACCATCCCAGCAGCCTGATGGATTTTTTTCTTCCTCTGAATTCCAGTAGCACTTGTTTAGACATTAAGTGCAAGGTGTTTTTTTGTTTTGTTTTGTTTTTCTGTATGCATCTTAGCTTCCGCACTAAATGATAAGCTCCCTGAAAACTAGTACTATGCCTCTTTATATCGCTTGCATTGTCCAACAGAATGTCTTGCACCTATTAGATTCAAGGTTCAGCACAGTCACCCTCATAATATATAGTGATGAGAGTTGCTGAGAATCACAGTGATGCCAGGCTGAATGAGCTGAGATAATAAACTAGTTAGATGCATAGTCTGGCCATGAGGCCCAATTTCCATCTTCCTCAAGGAGTCTGAGACTTGCCTCTCAGTAGTTTTCGTTAGTAGGTGATCATATCTTCTGAATTACTGTCTTCTTAATGTTTTATGAGTTTTTTTTTGCCTTGACAAAAGCCTTCTATTTCTCTCATGCTTCCTAGTTCCTTCCATTGTGCCCTCTGCAATTTCTTTTCACTAAGCTTACTATTTGCAGTCTCTTAAAATTTGTGTAAATTATGAAATCAAAGATACAAAGAAAGGACAGAAAGTAGTATAACAAACACCTGTGTATCTAACCTCAGGGTCAAGCAGATATTAACCTTTTGCCTCGTTTGATTTCCTTTTAAAGTTCTTCCCTCCCCATACTTTTCTCCCTTCTTTGGAGGTACTCATTATCCTAAAGTCCTTACGATTATTTCCCTGCTGTTTTTGTACACATAAAACATTTACACAAAAGATGACCTGTGTTTTTTTCTAGATGTGTTCATATTGACATGTGTAGATTTAGTTCATTCATTGTAACTACTGTTTAGTTTTCCAGGTTGAATAATGCTAAGTTTTATAGAGATAATGCAGTTCTACCTTTTGGCAAATAATATTGTAATGCTCGTACATAGGTACTTACTGTAATTTTATCTAGGATAGATACCTGAAAGTAGAATTGCTGAATCACAGGGTTCAGGTGCCACTTTATCAAGTATTGCCGAGTCCAGTCCAAAGTGGAGCTACCATTTTATACCCATTAACATGTTTCCACACTTTTTTTTATCAACATTTAATTTTATCTAGCTATGATTTTTTTGCCTATTTGAAAGATGAGAAATGGAGTTTGATGATTTTCATTTTCATTACTTTGATTTATAGTAAAGTTGAATGTCTTTGCATAGTTTTTGATCATTCTAGTTTCCTATTCTGTGAATCTTTTATGTTCTTTGCTGATTTTTTTCCTATTGGGTATTGAACCTTAAATTGATTTGTGGTGATTCTTTTTATAATCTGGATATTAATGGTTTTGGTAATATGCATTGCAAGTATCTCATAGTGTGTGTGTGTGTGTGTGTGTGTGTGTGTGTGGTTTTTTTTTTTTTTTTTTTTTGAGATGGAGTCTCACTCTGTCTCCCAGGCTGGAGTGCAGTGGTGCGATCTTGGCTCACACAAATTCTGCCTCCCGGGTTCAAGTGATTCTCCTGTCTCAGCCTCCTGAGTAGCTGGGATTATAGGTGCCCGCCACCACACCTGGCTAATTTTTGTATTTTTAGTAGAGATGGGATTTCACTGTGTTGTCCAGGCTGGTCTCCAACTCCTGACCTCGGGTGATCTGCCCGCCTTGGCCTCCCAGAGTGTTGGGATGACAGGCGTGAGCCATTGTGCCCGGCCTTCGTGTCGGTTTTTAACATTGTTTAAAAGTTTCAGATTTACTACATGAGTTCATTTGTAGAATCTCTCTTCTGTATCATAGCTTCTTTGGTCTGCTTTCATGTCTTTACAATATTGTGTTAATTTTAATAGTTTTGATATAAATCTTGTTATCTGATAAGGTGAATCTTCTCTCAATGAAAATTTTGGGTCAGCTAATCATATTTCACCCTGACCCTAATGAAAATTTAACAGAAAACAAACCCTGTTGGAAATGTGATTGGAATCTCATTGAATTTACAGGTTACAGTGGGGATAGTTGTCACCTTTACATTGGTTGACTGTCATTGATATTTCTGTTCAATACAGTTCTATTTTTTTCTTTTTTCTTTTTCTTTTTTTTTTGAGATGGAGTCTTGCTTTTGTTGTGATCTCGGCTCACTGCAACCTCCGCCTCCCTGTTTCGAGTGATTTTGCTGCGTCAGCCTCCCCAGTAGCTGGGATTACAGGCGCCTGCCACCATGCCTGGCTGATTTTTGTATTTTTAGTAGAGACAGGGTTTCGCCATGTTGGCCATCCTGACCTTAGGTGATCTACCCACCTCAGCTTCTCGAAGTGCTGGGATTATAGGCGTGAGCCACTGCGCCTGGCCCAGTTCCATTTTTTTCTTGATAGAAGTCTTCATTAGATTTTTTTTTTTTAGGTTTTTATGATTTTTGTTACCATCGTGAATGGCAAATTTTTATAAAAATACTTTTTGTTACTGGTAGCTACAAACCAATTAGTATAAGAGACAAATTGCTAAGAAGCAAGTTGCTGTTTGTATCTTGATTTTGTATCTCTCAATCTTGCTGAATTCTTAGTTGTTTTTGTTTGTTTGTTTGAGGTGGTGTGTCTTACTCTGACACCTAGGCTGGAGTGCAGTGGTGTGGTCACTGCTCACCACAGCCTTGACTGCCTGGGTTCAAGCAATTCTCCCACCTCAGCTTCCCAAGTAGCTGGGACCACAGGTGCATGTCACCACACCCAACCAATTTTAAAATTATTTGTAGAGATGAGGTCTTGCTATGTTGCCCAGGCTGCTCTCGAACTCCTGGGATTAAGCGATCCTCTTGCCTTGGCTTCCCAGAGTGCTGAGATTACAGGCATGAGCCATTGCACCTGGCCTAAACTCTTACTTCTAATGATAGATTCTCTTGGATACCTCATGCAGATAATCATATAAGTAGTGAATAAAGATGGTTTTTGTTGCTTTCTAAGCCTATGTCTTTATATTTTTCTTCTGTTATTGACCTATGTAGGACCACTTTACTAAAATTGCAGCTTTTCCTGGGCCTTGGCTTTATGTGTGTGTTAATGTATGGAGTAGAAAGGGGTATCTCAGAACTGAAGTCTCCCACTAAGGGCCAAAAGTCTCATTTCTAGTCCCTACATATGAGTCAAAGGATAAATATAGGTTAAGACTAGCAACCCATTGTAGGGAAGAAACATTGCCAACTTGTAGCCTAATATATATATTTTTAATATGTTACTGTTTTTTCCATGTTACTGGCACACACTTAAAGATTTCTGTTTCATGGTGGCTAAAGGATTAATTTAAAATAATTTTTTTTTTCCTTTTTGAGTTGAGTTTCACTCTGTTGCCCAGGCTGAAGTGGAGTGGGGTGATCTCAGCTCACTGCAACCTCTGTCTCCCGGTTTCAAGCGATTCTTCTGCCTCAGCCTCCTGAGTAGTTGGGACTACAGGTGTGTGCCACCATACCCAGCTAATTTGTTTTTTTTTAAATTTTTAGTAGAGACGGGGTTTCACCATGTAGGACAGGGTGATCTCGAACTCCTGACCTCAGGTGATCTGCCTGTCTTGGCCTCCCAAAGTGCTAGGATTACAGACGTGAGTCACCACACCCAGCCTAAAAGAATTATTTTGATATATCCTTTCTGCATGAAATTTCTGTGGGAAGGCTTTTCAGGTGATCTGATCTGATACAGTGTTAGGACTGGAAGTATAGCTTATACTATATAAATTTCCTTAATTGAAATTTCACATTATTTAGGAACTCTGTACCCTGAAGCTGTCTCACTCTGGTATTTAATGTCCTACAATTAGTTTAAGAGAGCAAGCTTGGGTAAGTTTCTTAAAACTTCCTTATATTTGTTTCTTCATCAATATTAGTAGTATAGTATCATCTCCTATCTTATAGATTATTATAAGAAATAAGTTAATAATGTAAAGCATTTAGAACAGTATTAGTTATTGGTCTCAACCTCCTTTTAGCTGTTATCTACAGCCTTTCTGGTAGATTTTACTTATTCTGGGAAGATAGTGGTGTATTCCTCATAATCTCCTTGTACATTCCAGGTCCTACAATAATTCTCAAACATTTTAGCATCCTTACATAGACTCTCCAATATCCTGGTCTTATTTCCCTGATCTCCTCAAATCTACTGATTTTTCTCTTCCTCAGACAAGTGATTTTTCACTTATTTGGTAAAATCCTAATTCTGGATTAACTCGGTTATCAGATTCTTTCATTCCTATACCACCTGAATGCTGCAGTAAAAAGTTACCTCAAAGGACATTTAAAAAAAATTATAAATTCATGATTGTTGATCACAGACCCTAATACTGCATGGGAATCCACTGCATTATCCTTGTCAGCTAGTTTCCTCATCTTTACCATGACTGTTTCAATCATCTGTTCTCCTCAGACCTCCAACATGCCCTTTCTCTTTCTACAGAAAACTTTTCCTGTTACTTTCCAGTGAAAACCGGAGTACTTGGTGCAACCCTTAGTTGCCCACTATCTTTTCTATATTTTCTTTCTTCTTAATGTTAAAATAGAGGTAGTCTTGCTTTCTATCTAAGGCTTTCTCCCTTTCTCTGCAGTACCTTATGCTGTTGATGATTTCCCTTTTTTTTGTATGTTTAACTTTTCTTTACACTTGATTCTTCTCGTCAGTATTTAAACACGCTTAATTCCTGCTATTAAAAAAATAAAAACAATAAGCATTAATGGGTACCACATTACTGACCTTTCTGTTCTCTTTCCTAGCCAAATGCTAGAAATTATTGTTTCCATTTCTCACCTTTGACTCACCTGTTTAGTTTATTCATTCCACTGTAATAGTATTTGCTTATGATACCAACAACCTCTCTGTTAGTAAATTAAGTGAATATTTTTAAACTTGGTCTTATTTGATCTCTCACTTGGTGTGCTAGGGCTTCTATAAAATACCACAGACTGGGTGGCTTAAACAACAGAAATTAATTTTCTCACTATGTGGAGGCTGGATGTCAAAGATCAAGGTGTTGGCAGGTTTGTTTTCTTCTGAGGCCTCTCTCCTTGGCTTGCAGAGGGTGCCTTCTTGCTGTGTCCTCACTTGGTTTTTCCTCTGTTTGCATGCATTTCTGGTGTCTGTGTCCAGATTGGATTAGGGCCTGGAAGATGAATTTACTCACCTCTCTAAAGGCCCTATATCCAAATACAGTCGTGTTCTGACGTACTGGGGGTTAGGGCTTCAACACGTGAATTTTGGGGGAGACAGTTTGGCACATAATCTCCTAGCAGGTTTAAACAGTTTTGAAAAACTATCCTTGGCTGGACGCATTGGCTTACACCTGTAATCCCAACACTTTGGGAGGCCGAGGCGGGTGGATCACCTGAGGTCAGGAGTTCGAGACCAGCCTGACCAACATGGTGAAACCCTGTCTCTGCTAAAGATACAAAAATAAGCCAGGTTTGGTGGCACATGTCTGTAATCGCAGCTACTCGGGAGGCTGAGGCACGAGAATCGCTTGAACCTGGGAGGCAGAGTTTGCAGTGAGCCAAGATTGCGCCACTGCACTCCAGCCTGGGCAACAAAGCGAGAGTCTGTCTCTGGAAAAAAAAACAAAAAACAAAAAAACTATCCTTTAAACTCTTTGGTTTTCATTTTGCCTCTCTGATCTATTGCTCTTCAGCCTTTTTTTAACAGGCTTCTCTTCTGCTTGGTTATTAAAAGTAGAAATTTCTTGAGTCTTGGTCCTTTGGTATTTTCTGCTTCTCTTACTTCTGTTATTTCTCCCCAGGCAGTCTTACCACTTTGATTTCCATTTATGAAGGAACTGCATACCTGTTGTTCCAGCACTTAATTTGCCTGAGTTTCAGACCTATTTAATAATGCCATTTAGCTTATCCTAGAGGTACCTTAAAAAAACGAGTTCAAATCTGAACTCATAATAATCCCCATCCATGTGATTTGACCCTAATCTACCTCCTTAGCCTTACTATTCTTTGTTACTCTTTGCCATAGCTGCACTATAGCAAAGCACGGCCTCTTGGTCCAGGCGTAATATACCTTTTCCTCCAGAGTCTTTGCTCTTATTTCCTATGTTAATATGCTCCTCATTTTTCATTTACAACATTACCCAGTTTTCAATACATACAAAAGATAAAAACATTAGTTATTAGGGAAATGCAGACTTAAACCATAAAATAATCACTAAAACCAACTAGAAGGGGTAAAATTAAAAAGACTGTCAACTACAAATATTCTAGGAAGCCATCCAGAACACTCGTAAATTGCTGGTGTGAGTATAAAATGGGAGAGCCACTTTGGAATACCACTGGCAATTTCTTATAAATTTAAGCATACACCTTTGGATCCAGCAATTCTACTTCTAGGTGTTTTCGGAAAAGGAATGAAAACATGTCCACAAAAAACTTTTAAAAATTATATTTACAGTCGATTTACTCCTTACAGCTGACAACTAGAAGCAGCCCAAATGTCAATAGGATTAATGACTAAAAATTTTTTGGTATATTCATACAATGGAATGCCACTCAGTAATAAAAGAACTACAGAATGGCAAATGTACACAACATGACATGGATGAATCTGACATACTTGGCAAAGGAAGCTGGACATGATACTGTATTATTCCATTTATATTAAGTTCTAGAAGAGGCAAAGCTACTCTGGAGTGAAAAAATAAAAACAGAACAAAGGTTGCCTTTTGCTTCTGGAAAATGGTGATATTCAACTGGGAGGGTGCATAAGGGGCCTTCTTGAAGTGATGAAAATGTTCCATATCTCATAGAGGTGTGTGTTACATGGGCTTATCTATTAAAGTTGTACAGCTAAGAAGTATGTATTTCAATGGCATACATGTATCTTAGATAAAATAAACAAGTTTTATCTAAAAATTATAGAAATAATTGAGTTAGGTGACAGGGAGTGGGAGGTGTAGATGAAAGAAGAATTGCAGAACGTTGGTGGTTGCTGAAGTTGAGTAATGGATGTGGGGAAGTTTAGTATACTATTTTGTTTGTTTTTTGTGTGTTCAAAGTTTTCCATATAAAGATCTTTTTAAATCAAAGTTACGAAGACACTTAAACAGCACCTGTGGTCTGACTGCCAGCTTAATAAAGAATGCTTACTAATGTAATTTTCTTCTCTGTGAATCGTACCCTGATTCAGCACTCCTTTCTCCCCACCAGCCACTATCCTGAATTCCTCTTGACTTTTTAAGACATCTTCCAAATATCATTCTAAACGTCACGTCCATGGGGGAAAGCCTTTTCTGATTCAGAACACTCACTAGTTTTAAGTGCCCCTGTTAAGTCCTTTCATAGCTTTTATCTTAATTATGATTTATTTGCTTAACTATTATCAACCTCTACACTAGACTAAGCCTAAGTTTTTGGAGGGAAAGATATATCTATTCTTGCTGTTTTAATGTCTAGAATAATAATACATTTATTGAATGATTATGTTGGTGTAGTTTTTTAAAAAAATTGAAGGATACCCAAATTGAAGAGCTATTCTATTACTGCTTATGTTGTAAGGTCAGTATGTTATAAAATGTATGAATGTGAGAGAATGACTGAGAAATGATAATGGTTTCTTTCTGATTTTATTGGCATCTGATAAAAACAAGGGGCAATAAAACTGTGTTATTAGATCTGGAACTATATCCGGAAAGTCCTGTCAGTTGGTTCTCAAATGCCCTTGAGCTTTATTATGCTTCTTCCTTATTAATGTATTAAGCCGTGTGAGTGAAAGACCCCTTTCCTCTTTACAAAGAATATTCTAAATCACCTCTTTTTTCTCTCTTCTCTAATGTGCTTCTTCCTTTGACTATTAGTTTTGGTATTTATCAGGGACAGCGATCTTTAAGAGCTTGTTGTTTTGTTATTTTTTGTACTGCTTGCTGTATGTTTTAAATTTTGATATATCTTACTGCCAAATGAAGGTGTGAGCTCATAAGTAATAAAGATAGAAAAAATCTGCTTTGCTTATAATTATACCATTAAACATGTTGTCCTTAATGCAGATACACACTATTGGTATTGTAGGTGCAGGATTATGTTTTGATTTTTGCCAGTTCATATTTCCATGGAGTATTTAGGCAATTTTAACAACATAGATTTCTGTAATGAATGTTTTTTTAACTTATGCTGCTGCTTGAGAGACAGAGTCAGACTGCCAGGGTTTGAGTCCTATGCCCAATATTTCCTAGCTCTGTGACTTTTGAGTTATCTGCTTTTTGCCTGTTTCTTCCTCATTAAAACAGAGATACTAAGTGTACCTTATAGTGTTGTTGGGAGGGCTATTTGAGGTAGTATATGTAATGCCTGGTACTTATTAAATGTTAGATCTTTTTTACTTTCTTGGGTTCTAGGGAGTCCAATAAGTAACAAATTTTTCCTCTAAGGTTTTTTTCTTTATTGGTGGCAAAATATACATAGTATAAAATTTACATTTCAACCATTTTTAAATATACAATTCAGTGGCATCAAGTACATTCACAATATTTTGCAACCATCCATCTCTGTCCATTTCCAGAAGTTTTTCATCATCGCAAATAAAAACTTGATACCCATTAAACAATAACTCCCATCTTTCCTCCCCTGATTTCCTGGTAACGTATGTTATACTCTGTCTTTATGATTATGACTATTCTAGGTACCTCATAAATAGAATCATACAGTGTTTGTCTTATTGTCCTCTCATTTCATTTGGCATAATATTTTCAAAGTTAATTCATGTTGTAGCGACTTCTAGTTCCATTTTTTGTGGTTGAAGAAAGTACTTCCCTAATAGAAATGAAAACATGTTTGCAAGGCTTTTTTTAAAGAATGCTTATGGATTTAGTCATAATAGGTAACAACTGAAAACATTGGTATGGCTGGGTCAAGTTGGACTAATTCACTGTAGCCCAGGGTCATGTAAGAACATGGAGTTTTCAAGGTAGGCATGGGGGTGGTATTGAGGGGAGGGTAGTAAGCATAAAAGACAGTGCTCAGAAGAAGATAAGGGTGCCAGGTTTCAGTTCCAGGGATGTTCACAGTAAGGATTACAGTGGGCTAAATTTTAAGATTAATTTTATAAATTCTAAACACATCCTGTTGACTTTAACTGCAACTCTTAAAATGTATCAATAACATGACTTTATAATTCCTGGAAACTGATATTTTCCCAATACTTTGAAGAGGTTTAAAAATAGTTGACTAATATTAGAACCAATATTTCATGTATTGATTTTTCTCTTTAAGTGACAGTTAGTTTAGAAAATGCTAAACTTAAGTTAGCAGTATAGAGTAGGTATATAGTTATACTGAGTATGAATGTCTTGGTAGGCTTGGAAGCCTACCATTTATGTCCTCTTGAGGTACCTGAATTACCAAAAGCTTTATGTATTCTGAAGTTATTGAAAATAAGAGCTTTTGGGAATTCAGGTAGTTCAGGAGTGACTTTTCTAAAAAACAGAACTGAGCACCATACACTACTTCTTATAGCCTTTTAATTACTGCCAATTGCCTAGAATAAAGTTCAAATTCGAGGGCAACACAAACATGGCCCTTTGTGAACTGACAGACATTTCCTAATAATTCCTTACATACATGATACCCTTGAGCCTTACAGAATTAAGAATTTCTGAATTTACCTTGGTGTTTGATGCATCTGTGTTTCTATACGTGCTGTTTATTTACCTAAAATAGACTATTCTCTATTTAGCCTCAAAAGTCTCATGGAAGGTTTTAAAAAATCCTGTCTAAGCTCTGTTAATTATATTCTTTATACTATTATATTTAGTAGTTAATATTATAAACTACCTTACAGTAATTTTTACAGATACCTGGCTTACTCCCTAAATTGAGTTGCTTGAGGGCAGGAATTGTGTATTAATCTTTGCTGTATTTTCTTTGCCTTGCTTACTGTAGTTGATTGGTGCTAATTGAATAAATGAACATTTATGCTTTTCTTTTTGAGAATATTATATGGGTAGTTCCTTTAGTTGTTTAATAGAAGATAGCACAGACTTCTATACAGATTGGTTTTTATGGGAAAACACAAGAGAATAATTAATTAAAACATAATTTCATCTAGAAATTTC
This sequence comes from Homo sapiens, assembly GCF_000001405.40. NCBI lineage: Eukaryota > Metazoa > Chordata > Mammalia > Primates > Hominidae > Homo > Homo sapiens. The sequence continues at coordinate 152,488,681 of NC_000004.12, read as the reverse complement.
TGCAGTTGGAGCGAATATTTTTTAAGTTATTAACTTACCTAGAGTGGAAGATTGAATTTTTGAATGATAGTGTTTTAGTTATTAAAGTAAATGGCATGTAAGAGAACTTTTAAGTTCATGTGGCAAAACAGGGAAAAATTGCAAAGTTAGAGTCTGTAAGGTTTCTGATGTTTCATAGACTAACAAAAGGTTGCTTTATTAGCAGCATTAATGAACGAATCGCTTTATTGGCCTAGGCATACTGGTAGCATTGTCGTTCCAAAGAGCTGAGAGTTCTTATTTCAATTCATGATTATGTTAGACAAGTGAAGTGAAAGCCGTTGACCTTCTCTTAAGGAGAAAATAGAAAGTTTTTACAAATAGATTATAGATTAAAGCCTTTTAAGGAACATGATGAAGAACTAAATTACTGCTAAATCACTTGAAAAATTTATATTTTTTTATGCACCAGTCTTATAACAGTAGGTTTTTTATAGACCTATTAATTGATATTTAAAATAATAACTTTAATAGGATGATTTTGTAGAGTTAGTCAAAGTGATTGACAAAAGCAAATTATTAAAATAGTCAAACTTTCAATTCTCCAAAGAATGTTCAGTTTTAAAAGCAATATGAGATACAGGAAGTATTAAACTGGAGATGTAATGCCACTTGGATGGCATACTTTTAACATTATTTTTTATTTGTTTAAATGGAATGCATTTTGCTTATTAGAATCATTTTGGAAGTGCCAATTTGCTTCTGTTAATTTACATTAAAGATTAAAATAGGAACCACTGGTGACCTTCTAAATCAAAGTTCTTCAAAACGGTTGTTTTAAACAGCAAGAATTACAGAACTAAGTATTGTATAGCTATTAAAACTGAAAATTATGTAGCAGCAGTCCATTTTAAATTTAACAATTTTAAATGATACTTCAAAATATAAAAAATACAAGGAAGAATATAAGATGCTTATGTATCTGTACTGCCAAAATTTAACAAATGTTAACTTTTTGCTATCACTGTTTCAGAACTTTTTAAAATAAATTAAAAATATAATTGAAGATTACTAATCTCATTCTTTTGCCTCTCTTCTCAGAGGTAATTACTTTTCTAAAGGTATCCTGTAAGTTTTCAATACTTTTTACCACATATTTGTATAAAAAGATAAACAGTACTGATTTCCTTTTAAAATGTGAATAATAATATACTGTTGGCATAACTTTTTAACTTGCTTTTTTCACTCAGTGTTTATTTACATCAAGATTTATTCATGTTGATATTTGTATGTACTTAAAGTTTGTTTATTTTATCCTCTGAATTATTAGTTTGGTCCATTATTTATGATGTTTAGTTTGATTACTTGGTTAAGGTGGTGTGACCTGATTTCTCTATTGTAAAAGTATCCTTTTCCCCTTGATAATTAATCATTAATCTGTGGGGTAATGCCTTGAGACTGAGTAAACATTGTTTCTCAACAGCCTTTCACCCAGTGTTTTTAACATCCATTATTGATTTATGCCTGAATTATTGGTTACATTGATGCTTGCAAAATGATTTTCTACATCTATTATTCTTTCCACATTTATTAGCTGGCATTCTTCTTTCTGTAAAGGAGTTTCTGTCCTTTCACTAAGGGCTCATGGTTTCTTCATTAATTCGGTGAACTAAAATCCATTATTGTTATGTAGTCATGCACTGCATATACGACATTGATCCCATGAGATTATAATGGAGCTGAAAAATTTCTATCGCATAGTGACGTTGTAGCTGTTATAACATGTTAGGACTAACGTCACAACCAACATATTACATGTTTGTAGTGATGTTAGTGTAAGTCAAATCTACTGTGCTGCCAGTCTAAAAGTATAGCACATATAATTGTGTACAGTACATAATACTTGATAATAATAATAAACAGCTATGTTAACGGTTTATGTATTTACTATGCTATACTTTTTGTTGTTATTTTGAATGTACTTCTACTTATTAAAAAAAAAAGTTAACTGCAAAACAGCCTCAGGCAGTTCCTTCAGGACGTACTCCAGAGACATTGTTATTATAGGAGATGACAGCTCTGTGCATGTTATTGTCCCTGAAGACCTTCCAGTGAGACAGTATGTGGAGGTGGAAGACAGTGATACTGATGATCCTGACCCTGTGTAGGGCTAGTCTAATGTGTTTGTTTGTGTCTTAGGTTTTAGCAAAACAGTTTTAAAAGTAAAACAGGAATTTTTTAAAATAGAAAAGGCTTGTAAAATAAAGATAAAAGGAAAGAAAATATTTTTGTGCAGCTGTACAATATGTTAGTTTTACGCTAAATGTTATTACAAAAGTCAGAAAAGTTTAAAAACTAAAAAGTTTATATGAGCTAAGGTTTATTATTGAAGAAAGAAAATGTTTAAAAATAGATGTAGTGTGGTTTGAGTGTATATTTACAAAGCCTACAGCCGTGTGCAGTAACGACCTAGGCCTTCACATTCACTCTTCACTCAATCATTAACTCACCCAGAGCAGCTTCCAGTCCTGTAAGCTCCATTCATAGTAAGTGCCCTATATAGGCATATGATTTTAAAAAATCTTTTATACTGTATTTTTACTGTACCTTTTCTATGTCTAGATATTCTCAGACGCACCATGTTACAGTTACCAGGCAGTATTCAGTACAGTAATATGGTATACAGGTTTGTAGCCTAGGAGCAATGGGCTATACCGTGTAGGCTTGTGTAAATACACTCTGTGATGTTAGCACAGTGAGGGAATAGCCTAACAAACACATTTCTCAGAAGATATCCCTGTGGTTATGTGACGCATGACTGTGTATCCTTTGGTGACTCAAATTGTTAAAATTTAGCCAGCGAGAACTCAATCAGTCTGGTTTCTGTTTCTTTGACATGCCCCCTCATTTTTATAGCACCAGTTTGCTTTGTGGCACAACAAAACATTCTCTCCTTACCTTATGGTTTTCTTACCCCAGACCTGGACTTGGCTATTTTACCAAAAGTTCTTGTTTCTCTTAGTGGGGAATGGTATTTGGAAGCCAACATCATGGATGCATTACTGGGTGTCATTGCTTCTATTGGTTCTTTTCATTAGACAGAATAAGAAAATATACTTTTAAAAACTAGTGATATTTGAATTCCTAGTGACACCAAGGTTCTTTTCTTTCCTTGTTTCATATTCCTCTTCCATAATGAAGATCCAGTTTACCAATAACATCAATATATGTTTATTCATTTGCTCTGTCTTATACATGATATAACATTGGAATTACTATAGCAATACCACTACTAATAATAATCTCAATAAAGTTTAAGATTTCTATGCAGTTTTTTATTTATAGCGTATAGCCCAGTGAAGGTATATAGTCAGATCGCTATGCTTATAGTTATTTTAATTATATTTTTCACATAGGCAATTTGAAACTTTTTCTAATAGGAAGGTTAAGCCTATTTACTTATCTTGACATAACTAGTATGTTTAATCTAACTGATATGTTGTATTTACTGTTGTTTTATGTTATATATGTTTTTCTTTTACTCTTTTTTAAAAAGTTATTTTTACTAATACAAAAATCTTCCTTTCTCTAGATATTTAGAATGTTGGTCTTAGCTCTTATAGTTTCCCAGTCTTTTTGGTATTTTTGTTGTCATTACTATGTTTAATTTTGTTAACTAGAATTCATGTTTTCTTTTCTTCATCCATTTAATTGGGCTTTATACTTTTTTTTTTTTTTTTTGAGACAGAGTCTCGCTCTGTCACCCACACTAGAGTGCAGTGGCGCGATCTCAGCTCACTGCAGCTTCTGTCTCCCAGGTTCAAGTGATTCTCCTGCCTCAGCTTCCCAAGTAGCTGGGATTACAGGTGCTTGCCACCATGGCTGGTTAATTTTTGTATTTTTAGTAGAGACAGGGTTTCGCCATGTTGGCCAGGCTGGTCTCGAACTCCTGACCTCAGGTGATCCACCCACCTTGGCCTCCCAAAGTGCTGGGATTACAGGCATGAGCTACCGTACCCATTCTATATATTCCTTTGCATAAATGTTGTGTTCTGAGGAAAATTTGTGTCTGAGCATTTAATAATTTAAAAAATTACCATGTGAGTGGATTTATTTTATATGAATAATGTGCCACATGTAAGTTGTTCTGCAGTTGATTTTCCCTTTTTGTGGAGCTTTTACAATATTGTTAGTATGTTTACTTGTCCCTTTTTCCCCTTGTATGTGTAGCCAAGTAATTATAAAAAATGGTGCACTTTGCCATATCTGAGCTTCTCTTTTTCCCCTCAAGTAGATACTGTGCATTTGAACTGCAAAAAGGGTCATATTCTTGCTTTATCTATAATCTCTTTTAAAGGCAAAGGCTGATGGTTACTTTTTCTTTAATAAGAATCTTGATTTTTCATTTTGTATATTTGATATTTATCATTTTAAGAAAAAAAAATCCTCTATACATAGTTGTTAGAAATTTATGTAGAATGGATGTTGGAACCCAATCATAAGGCTGTAAAACCATAAAATAAGTAGTAATAAATTTTAAAAAATGAATAGGATTTGTATGAAGAAAATAACAACACTTCATTCTAGGATCAAACAAATGAAGAGAGAGCTATTTTTCAGAATGAAAAACCAAATAGTGTTGCATGTAGACTCTATTCAAAGTTCTAGTCTGTAAAATTAATAGCAATTCTAGTCAAAATAGCTGTTTTATCTTTTGAGAAGTTCGGGAAGTTTGACAATCTGATTGTCAAATATATGTTGTAGAGTATGTTAATGAAACTATCCAGTGTAAAATTTAAAAATAAAGACCAGTATTGTTATATTGTACTGTATTGCTTGCTATACTGTAGTGGTGTAGTAATTAAAACACCATTCTAGTGATACAGGAATAGGGTCCAAATAAATAAAAACTGAGAAGGAAATTGTATACACATGCAAGTGTGTGTGTGCACACACACACACAACACAGAAAGGGTTTTTTTTTGTTTTTTGTTTTTGTTTTTTGGAGACAGGGTCTCACTTTGTTGCCCAGGCTGGAGTGCAGTGGCATGATCATGGCTCATTGCAGCCTTGACCTCCCAGGCTCAAGCAATCTTCCCACCTTAGCCTTGTGAGTAGCTGGGACTATGTGTGCCACTGTTTCCAACTAATTTTTGTACTTTTTGTAGAGACTGGGTTTTTCATGTTCCCTAGGCTGGTCTTGGACTCCTGGGCTCAAGTGATCCTTCACCTCAGCCTCCCAAAGAGCTGGGATTACAGGTGTTAGCCACCACGCCCAGCCTCAAAAAGCTTTTTTTTTTTTTCCCTATAAAGAGCCATATATCTAAAAAGGGAAACAGATTTGACTCTATTACAATGGAATTCTGTGAGAGAAAACATTTTAACAAGATCAGACTATCTAGTAGAAAAATATTTGTAACATATAGCAAAGTTTTAACAAACATAATAAAGACCTTCTAAAAATTAATAAAATTGAAAAAATGGGTTATGAATAAGTACAAATAATTCAAAGAGTGTACACAAATTAGTTTTCATAGAAATATGCATAAAGATATATGTACAAGTATGTTAATTTTAGCATTATTTATAATACCAAATAATAATATTCCAACAAAATAGTTGGAATAATCTGAATGTTCACCAGTAGGGAAATGGTACATCTGTATTTTAGAATATTAGCAAGCTGATTAAAAAGAATAAGATCTTTGTGACCAGGTATGGCAAAATATCCCACATTATTCATGAAACTATAGAATGATCTGTGTAGTATGATCTCATTTACTTAGCTCAGTAGGTCTATTGTTTGTGGTAAACTTAAAATTATTTTATTTATCTTATAGGATAGGGACTTTTAAGTTAACCTATTAATATTATTAGGAACTAAAATATATCACTGTAAGAGAATAAAGACAAATATAGAATAAAAGGAACTAAGAAAAATATTTTACATCAGATTAATTGGAAATATTGGTATGAATCCATGAGTAAATAAAGAAATATCTCTCCCCCCACCCTGTTCTGTCTACCAGAAAATATAAGAAGCATGGACAATCTCAGTAGCAATGGTTACATGCATCTTGGTTGCTAAATATGGCTCCCCATTGAAAGAATTCAAGATGTCTTAGAAAAATAGATGATCCCAGTTCTTAGGAAAACACACAGCAAGCCAGAAAACAAGGAAGTGGTGAAAAACTGAGGAATTATGTAAAAAAGAACCAACTCAAAGGAGTTCTAGTGGCCACCTCCGAAATAATGATTGCAATCACAGGCATATCTTGGAGATGTTGTGGATTCGGTTCCAGACCATCACAATAAAACAAATATTACAATAAAGTGAGTCACACACATTTTTGTTTTCCTAGTGCATATAAGTTATGTTTATACAATATTGTAGTCTGTTAAGTGTGTAATAACATGTTTAAAAAATGTACATGCCTTAGTTTAGAAATACTTTATTGCTAAAAATTGCTAATAATGATCAACTGAGTTTTTAGTGAGTTGTTCTAATCTTTTTCCTGCTGGAGGGTCTTGACTCGATGTTGATGACTGCTCGCCAGTCAGGGTGATAGTTGCTGAAGGTTGGGGTGGCTGTGACAATTTTTAAAAATAAGACAGCAATGAAGTTTGTTACATCAATTATTCTTTGATGAAATATTTCTCTGTAGAATGTGATGTTGTTTAATAGTGTTTTACCCACAGTAGAAATTCTTCAAAATTGGAGGGCAGTTCTCTCAAACCCTGCTGCTGCTTTGTCAACTAAGTATGTAATATTGTAAATCCTTTGTTATTATTTCAATGATGTTCACAGCATCTTCACCAAAAGTGGATTCCATCTAAAGAAATCACTTTCTTTGCTCTTTTTTATAAGAAGCAACACCTCAGCCATTAAAATTTTATTTTGAGATTTCAGCAATTCAATCATGTTATCAGGCTCTGCTTCTAGTTCTCTTGCTATTTCTATCACATCTGCAGTGATTTCCTCCACTGAAGTCTTGAGCTCCTCACATCCATGAGGGTTGGGATCAACTTCTTCCAGAGTTCTGTTAATGCTGGTGTTTTGATCTCCACTCATGAATAATGAATGTTTTTGAAGGCGTCCAGATTGATGAATCCTTCCCAGAAGGCTTTCAATTTACTTTGCCCACATCTATCAGAGGAATTCCTATCTATGACAGCTATACCTTTATGAAATATATTTCTTAAATAATAAGATTTGAAAGTCAAAAGGGCTTCTCAATCCATGGCCTGCTGAATGGATGTGGTGGTAGCAGGCATGAAAACAACATGAGTCTTCTGGTATATCTCCATCAGAGCTCTTGGGTGACCAGGTGCAATGAGCAATGTCAGTGAGCAATGAGTAGTATTTTGAACGGAATCTTTTATTCTGAGCTACAGTCTCAACAGTGGACTTAAAATATTCGGCAAACCATGTTGTTAAATAGATGTGCTTTCATCAAGGCTCTGTTCTGTTTGTACTGCACAAGCCAGAGTAGATTTAGCTTATTTCTTAAGGGCCCTACAATTTTTGGAATGATAAGTGATCATTGTTCCACTTGGAAGTCACCAGTAGCATTGGCTCCTAACATGCTGAGTCAGCCTATCCTTTGAAGTTTGGAAGCCAGGTATTGACTTATCGTTTCTAGCTAGGAAAGTACTACATGGCTTCTTCTTCCAGTAGAGAGTTATTTCATCTCAATTGAAAATCTGTTGTTTAGTGTAGCCACCTTCATCAGTGATCTTAGTTAGATCTTCTAGATAACTTGCTGTAACTTCTCCATCAGCACTTGCTGCTTCATCTTGTACTTTTATGGAGACAGCTTCTTTCCTTAAACCTCATGAAATAACCTCTGCTAGCTTCAAACTTTTCTTCTGAAGCTTCTTCACCTCTCTCAGCCTTCATAGAATTGAAGAGAGGACTTTGCACTGAATTAGGCTTTGGCTTAAGGGAATATTGTGGCTGGTTTGATCTTCTGTGCAGAACACCAAACCTTTGTCCATATTAGCAGTAAGGCTCTTTCTTGTTCCTATTATTCATGTGTTCACTGGAGTAGCACATTTAATTTCCTTCAAGAACTTTTCTTTTCCTTTTTTAACTTGGTTAACTGGCACAAGAATCCTAGCTTTTGGCCTATCTTGGCCTTCATCATTCCTTCCTCACTAAGCTTAATTATTTCCAACTTTTGATTTAAAGTGAGTAATGTGTGACTCTTCTTTTCACTCCAACACTTAGAGGCCATTGTGGGGTTATTAATTGGACAAATTTCAATGTTGTTTTGTCTTAGGGAATAGGGAGGTCTGAGGAGAGGGAGAGAGATAGGGATTGGCTGGTGGTTGGAGCAGTCAGAACACATGCAACATTTATCAGTTAAGCTTGCCATCTTCTGTGTTTGTGATTTGTGGTGGCCCAAAGCAGTTAAAATAGTAACATCAAAGATCACAGATCACCATAACAGATACAATAATAATGATAAAGTTTGAAATATTGTGAGAATTACTAAAATGTGATACTGAGACACAAAGTGAGCACATGCTATTTGAAAAATTGCACCAAATAGACTTGCCCAATGCAGGGTTGCACAAACCATTATTTTGTAAAATCCACAATATGTTTGAAGTCCAATAAAATGAAATGCAGTACAAGGAGGTATACCTATAATTGTAAAACCTTTGATTGAAAAAAATAATCCATGAGTCCAGAGAGATAAGAAGAAAAGGAAGGCCCTCCTTTAGAGAATTGTAGTAGCAGTGTTAGAACTGGAAAACTGTACTGTAAACTCCAAAGAAACAATCTGTGCCAACAGCATCAATGGATGCCAAAACCTTTAGGTGTAAGAGTGCTGTGAACATGATACGTATGCAGTGGTGCCCAATTATTCTGTAAATCTTGTACGACTACAAAGGGAAAATGTGCCTTTGCAATAGATCTATAGATTGCCACTTGAACTAAGTGGTCACACTTATAATGGGACAGCCTGATACCATGTTCCTTTTGTTATGATATAATGCGGAATGATGTAACCTTGGGTGTATTCTTGCCTAATGTTTATCTACAATCCAGTCAGGTTTCTAGACTTGATCTTGTTTCCAAGAAATACAGGAAGTTGTGGAGTAAGTCAGAATACATTCTGGGAAGCAGTCAGACAAATCTAGGATGTGGGACATTCTGTAAGAAAACTGGCCATGAGTCCTGACACATCATTGTCTTAAGAAAAAGATATGTGTGTGTGCGAGAGACTATTCTAGGACAGGCGAGACCAAAGAGATTTAACAGGCAAATGTTATACATAAATTTTCATTTGCCCTTGGATTGCTCTCTCAACCCTGAAGGCTTAAAAATAGATATCTTTGAGACACTTGAGAAAACATCAAGATACTAGCTTACCTTATTTTTACTTTTTTTTGACTAGATGTCTTAATGGTTTTATTACTTTGTAAGACTTGTTTTAAAAGATATGTTTCACTACTCAGTATAGTCTATGATAAAATCAGTAAATATAAAATATTTGTCATTTGCATCTCTTAGGAGGTTCGTCTCCATTGATGAAAGCTCAGCTTATGTGTAACTGTCTTCCAAAGTAGCTTGCTTGGAAGGACATTCACTATCATCATATTCTGCTTTATTTCATAGCTGTGTAATCACATCTACTACATCCTTGTTTATCGTTTATTAGATTACTGCTTTTAAGCCTATTTTAGTTCTTTAATCTGAGAATAACAGTTGACTCAGTTAATTTCATTAAAGCAAGATTGCCTGTAATTTTTTTATAACCTTAGAAAAGTACTATGCCCAACAGCAAAACAAAAACCTAATTCAAAAATGGGTAAAGGACTTGAACAGATATTTCTCCAAAGAAGATATAAAATGGCCAATAAACACATATGAAGAGTCTCAACACCAGTAGTCATTAGAGAAATGCAAATCAAAACCACATTTAGATACAATTTGGCTATTAGCAAAGACACAGAAAATAGCAAGGATTGGGAAGGATGTGGAGAAAATTGGAACCATGCCTGCACTACTGGTGGGAACGTAAAATGGTACAGCTGCTATGAAAGACAGTTTACCAGTTCTTCAAAAAGTTTGATGTAGAATGATTGTATCATCCAACAATTTCACTGTTAGGCTTATCTCCAAAAGAATTGAAAGAAGGGACACAAACTGGATAACTTATACAGCAGTGTTCATAGCAGCATTACTCATACTAAATAAAAGATGAAAAAGGCCAAATGTCTGTGAACAGATGAATGGACAAATGTGTTTATACATATAGTAGAATATTATTCAGCCATAAATACAAATGAAATTTTGGTACATGGTACAACATAGATAAACCTTGAAAACATTGTGCTAAGTGAAATAAGCTAGACAGAAAATATTGTATGATTCTACTTAGATGAGATACCCCAAGCTGGCAAATATATAAAGCTGGCAAGTATAATAGAAGTTACTAAGGCCTAGGGTGAGGGAGGAATGAGAAGTTTGCTTAATGAGTATAGAGTTTCTATTTGGAATGATGAAAAGTTCTGGAAATGAATAGTGGTGATAATTGTACAACATTCTGAATGTACTCAATGCTACTGAATTGTCCATTTAAAAATGGCTAAAATAGTACATTTTATGTATATTTTATGATACAAAAATATTTTTAAAGTAAAAGTTTGTATTTTGATGTTACTTGTGAAAAATATTTTCACTAATAAAATTTTGTTGTTTCATTGCTGCCTCTTTGAAAATGTATTAAAAATTATATGCATTTTGAAATATTACAGCTATATAAATGAAAAAGAGTATCAGTAAAGAATTTTAGCTCAATACTCTCATATCATGTTATTTATTGTCCTTTCTGTTTCACATTAAGATATACAGAGTCAACAATTTAAATTTGCAGATTAAAAAACACTTTCTGCTTTTGGCCCTATAGAAATAAACCAAACTGGAAAAGGTGTCATGTTTCCTAGATTGTGGACACAGAAAAAGAAGAGCTCAAAAGGACAAGTAACTCAGCACAGTAGATGGTTATTGACCTGATCATATTTAAGAATATCCTAAAAATGCAAAAATGTTAAGAAGCAAAACTGGGAAATACTGGGATGATATATGAAAAATTCAAATGACAAATATGCAGTGGTTGAGTATTTATGGGTTTTTTTGGGGTTTACTATTTTTTCCCCCAAATTTAATGTCTCCTCTTTTAAATACTTCTACCGGATTCTCTTTAGATGATGCTGCAATTGGATTGAGACATTTTCATTGTTTGGCTTTGTAAGATTTCCAAATGCGTATAGTTGTTAAAATACGTATTCAATGAGGGTGGAAGGAAACACACAAAAATAGAAGTATGTCACTCTGGTAAGAGATGATAGGTCCGATGACTGCTAATACTTTTCCAAATGGCCTTATTTGGATCCTTCTTAGAACTTTTATATTTTTCTAATATTGACCTACCCCTTTGGAACTAGAGTCCCATTGTCAAGAACTGTGAAGAATCTTGACATTTTACCCTACTTGCAAGCTAGCAGTTACTCAGTTGTAGTTTTATGGATGGTGGTTAAAGATATGAGACTCCTGAGTTGGAGTTGAAGGACAGTTTATTAGTGCAGCAAGCAGTAGCAGTGACCAGAGTATTAGCTTCCTTTTTTTTTTTTTGCCGCTTTTCCAAGCCCTGGTTCCCATATAGTAGTGTGAAGAGGAGGGCTACATGATGCTTGTACACACTGTGGATTGCATAACAGATGCGGAATCCTCAGCTTCTTACAGAATCTGAATAGTAGTGTATAATAGGAAGTAAGAATGCCTTTCTTTGCTTTGGAGCAAGATACTGTCTTTGTCTCCCAACACTATTGCTGTAAAAGTATCCTCAAAAGGATAGTGCAGACCAAAAGGGTAGTTGAGTGTCTTGCTCCTAAGAGGTGCAGAAACATGAGAGTCTCATAGAAAATTGTCTCCCAATAATATTTTCTGCTCATTTCTATACTATTTTGTCTTAAGGCAAATTTTTTTCATGAGTATACCACTCTGATTTATCTGACAGAAGATAGTGAAGTATCTGTTCAAATAGTTAGCTGGCTTTTAAAATCAGGTTATTTGCTTTCTTATTGTTGAGTTTGAGAGTTCTTTCTTGATTCTGGGTACAGTCCTTTGTCAGATGTGTGATTTGCAAGTATTTTCTCTGAGTCTGTGACCTGTCTTTTCATATTCTTCAATCTCTTTTACAGAACAGAAGTTTCTAATTTTGATTACTATCAGGTTTTTCTCTTATGAATTGTCTTAGGAACTTTTTGCCTAGTTGAAAATCACAGAGTTTTTTTCTTTGTTTTGTCCAGATGTTTTATTATTTTGTGTCTTACATTTAGATCTGTGATCTGTCTTGCATTACCTTTTGTTTGCATAAGTTATGAGGTAGAGTTCAGGTTCATTGTTTTTGCGTATGGATATTTACTTGTTCTAGCACTATTTGTTGAAGAGACTATCTTTTCCTTCGGTGAACTGCCTTTTTACCTTTGTCAAAAATCAATTGCCCTTATTTGTAAGTATATTTTGCTGGATTTATTATTCTGTTTTGTTGATTTCTGTGTGTGTCCTCTTGCTAATACATCATTGCCTTAAATAGTAACAGTTTTATGGTAGTTATTGAAATTAGTGTTCTCAAATTTTGTTCTTTTGCTGAATTGTTTTGGATATTATAGTACCTTTGCATTTTCTTTATAAATTAGGAATCAGCTTGTTGATAGCTACAAAGATACTTTGAGATTTTGATTGGTGTTATGTTTAATGTACATGTCAGTCTGAGGAGACTGACATTTTGCCAATATTGAGCCTTCCAATCCATGAATATAGTTATTTTTCCATTTTTTAGGTCTTTGATTATTTTCATCAGTGCTTTATAGTTTTCAGCATGCAGATCCTGCACATATTTTGTGGAAGTGTATCTTTTCCAGATGCTATTGTGAGTGCTACTGCTTTAAAAATTTTTGATGTACTAACTTATTGCTGATATATAAAAATATGGTCGATTTTTACATATTGATTTTATATTCCACAACTTGTTAAAATCATAATCATAAAACCCTTTGGATTTTCTATATAGACAACATGCTTTTGAATAAAGGCTGTTTTACAAAATTTCATTTTAAATTTGTATACCTTTTATTTCATTTCCTTTCTTAATTGCACTTGCTAGAGCTTTCCAGGACAATGCTGAATAGAGGTGGTAAAAACACATCTTTGCTTTGTTCCTGGTGTTTTATTACTCTTTTATTATTAGTGTTATGTTTAGAGATGGGGTCTTGCTCAGTTGCGAAGGCTGGAGTGCACCGGTATGATCAAAGCTCACTGCAGCTTCAAACTGTTGGGCCCAAGTGGTCTTCCTGCCCCGCCTTCCTGAGTAGCTGGGATTACAGGCATGTGCCATCATGCCTGGCTAAGTTTTTTATTTTTTGTGGAGATGAGGTCTTGCTGTGTTCACAGGCTGGTCTTGAACTCCAGTCTCAAGTGATCCTCCCACTTGTACTGGGATTACAGGCATTAGCCACCACACTTGGCCTCTTATTATCATTATTATTATTAATATATATAAATAAATATACATATATTTATTTATTGAGACAGAGTCTTGCTCTGTCAGCCAGGATGGAGTGCAGTGCCACAATCTCTGCTCACTCAACCTCTGCTTCCTGGGTTCAAGTGATTCTCCCACTTCAGCCTCCTGAGTAGCTGGGATTACTGGCGTTTGCTACCATGCCGGGCGTGGTGGCTCACGCCTGTAATACCAGCACTTTGGGAGGCCAAGACGGGCGGATCATGAGGTCGGGAGATCGAGACCATCCTGGCTAACATGGTGAAACCCCGTCTCTACTGAAAATACAAAAATTAGCTGGGAGTGGTGGCGTGCGCCTGTAGTCCCAGCTACTTGAGAGGCTGAGGCAGGAGAATCACTTGAACCTGGGAGGTGGAGGTTGCAGTGAGCCAAGATTATACTATTGCACTCCAGCCTGGCAACAGTGAGACTCCATCTTAAAAAAATGTTATGGGATGAAATTTTAAAAAGACCTTTGAAAGATACAAGATAATAGGATTCAATTCTGTATAAGGTAGAGATAAACTGTTGATTTGTACTAGTTTGATTTGTGAAATATTACAATTAGGCTAAATCAAATAGGTGATGGGTAATTTGAGAATTGATTTCTAATGCTTTGTCCTAGATCATTCAAAATCTGATGTTCACATAACTACTTAGAACTCTTGACTAGTTGTCTGTGCTTTTTAAAAACCTTTACCTGGCTGGCTACAACTTTTCTACCGCCATAATTAAAATTGAAAACAAAATAATTAGTCTCTTAGGAAAATAATTTACGAACACTATCTAAACATGCTAGATTTAAAACTACCAGTATTTACATGGTTAGAATTCATGAGCAGTCTTCATTAGACTTACTGCTGAATGACCAGCATACAGTCGCTGAATTCATTGTGCATCTTTTAAGGGAAGATTGTTTTGCTTGTATCTTTGCAGTCTTCTCTGAGATCTTTAATGTTACTAGAAGTTATAAAGTTTGGTTAATTTTCCTAATAAGCCTTTATCTGATTCTGTGGGCTATTTAGGTTTGGGATGGGATCTGTTGTCTTAATTTGGTCACCATTGGCTCTTGGCTTCAAAGTGGACCCTAAACTATATTCCTAGTCTGTCTAGTATTTGTCTTTTTTTTGCTGAGATATGTGACCCCTGGGGAGGTTTCCCTTATTTTCAATAAGTTAATCTTTCTCTTTTAGGAAGAAAAGACAAATTTCTCATAAGGGAGGGATTTTTTCCTTTTTTGTTCTAGAGTGCCTTTCAAATTAACAATTTTGTTCATATCAAAAGTTGCCCATAATGATCACTGTAAGTCTCAAGTTATTCTTGGTGAAAATATGCCATTTAGAAAGATAAGTATCTGAATTGGAAGAAGCATGTTTCATGCTTGGAGAGGTTGTGGAGTTAGACTGACTTAAAAAGTCAGTTTTGTGCAGCCTGGGCAACATAACAAGACCCAGTTTCTATGGAAAATAAAAAAAAAATTAGGCAGGCGTGGTGGTGCACACCTGTAGTCCTAGCTACTCCAGAAGCTGAGGTGGATTGCTTGAGCCCAGGAGTTTGAGGCTGTGGTGAGCTATGGTAATGCCACTGCACTTCAGCCTGGGCAAAAGAGTAAGACCTCATCTTTTAAAATATATATACAGGTTTTTCTTCAAAAGATTCCAAAGGTACTGCTTTAAAAAATGTAAGATTTTCTAAGCAACAGGGCCGAGTACTTTGCTTTAAAGTTTTTATGAATGCCTGGCTTGGCTATCTGGTTGCTTTTGAAATCAACATCTTACTAAACTATTAATGCTTTTAAAATGTGTGCAGAATTACATATTTGTAAATTTAACTTGAGTCTGTCTAGGAAAGCATTAGCAAGACTTTTGTTTTTGTTTTTGTTTTTGGAGACAGTCTTGCTCTGTCGCCCAGCCTGGAGTGCAGTGCAGGTCACTGCTCACTGTAGCCTTCACCTCCTGGGCTCATGCTATCTTCCCACCTCAGCCTCCTGAGTAGCTGGGACTACAGGTGTACATCACCACACCCAGCTAAGTAAAAAGATGTATTTTTCATAGAGACGGGGTCTCCCTATGTTGCCAGGCTGGGCATTAGCAAGATTTTACGGGAAATTTTTTTTATCATTAGTAGAAAATAATAAGGAATCCCTTGCTGGTAAAATTTATATTGAAACTACTCTTAAACATATTTATATAAAATGACCAGAGATATTTAATTTACCTTTATATAATAAATAGAAATAAATTGAAATACATTATTAGGAGATTCAGATTTTTTAATTAGTAAATTAGTGTGATGGCTTAAAGTTATTGAGAGGTAATTTTTCATCTTTGATTAGAAAAACTTAAAAATTGTATAATTTACATACACAAAGTATATATGAGCTTTTTATATTGATGAACTTTACAAAATGAACACACTTTTGTAACCACAACCCAGATCAAGATATCAGCTTCTCAGGAGCTTCCCTGTATCTGTCATATTCCTTTACATGAAAGGTAATTAATATTCTGACTTTGTAATTAGAGATTAGCTTGGCTTTTTTTTGAATTTTTATAAATCATAAAGTATATAAGACTATATGATTTATAAGTTTTTTCAAACTGGCTTCTTTCCCACAGCAGTATGTTTTTGAGATGGATATTTGGCTTACAGCATTTTTCATTTTCACTGAGGCTTAGGGTTTCATTGTGTGAATATCCTTAGTTTATTTCTCCCTTCTGCTGATGGACATTCAAATTATATCAATTTTGGGTTCTTACAAATAGTGCTGCTGTGATAATTCTCGTACATATTTTTTTGTGCATATATGTACACATTTCCATTGAGTGTATGCTCAGGGGTAGTATCACTTAGTCTTTGGGTTTATCTTCAGCTTAGTAGACACTTCCGAACAGTTTCCCATACTGTTTGTATTATATTATTATACATTTTTACCTGCAGTATTTTAGAATGTCAGTTGCTACAGATTTTTGCTTACACTTGGTATTGTCTTTTTTTAGATAAAAGTTAGTCATTTTGGAGGGTAGTAGTATGTCTTTGTGAAGTTTTGTTTGGTCTTTAGCCTATCTTAAAAATCGGTTTGTTTTTTTTGTTGAGTTGAAGTATTTTTAAAGAATATATTTTGGGTATGAGTCTTTAGTGGAACATGTGCATTGCTGATATTTTCTCCTACACTGTAGCTTGCATTTTCATTTTTAATTTATTTAAATTTTATTTTATTTTTTAAGAGACAGGGTCTCACTCTGTCACCCAGGCTGGAGTGCAGTGGCCTTATCATAGCTTATTGCGGCCTTGAACTCTTGGGCTCAAGCAGTCCTCCTGCTTCAGCCTTCTGAGTAGCTGGGACTGCAGGTATGTGCCACCACACCTGGGTAATTTTTAAATTTTTTTGTAGAGACAGAATCTCACTATGTTGCCCACACTAATCTCGGACTCCTGGCCTCAAGCAGTCCTCCTGCCTGGGTCTCCCAAAATGCTGGGATTACAGGTGTGAGCCACTGCGCCAGTCATTTCCTTCTTTCCTTCTTTCTCTCTTTCCCTCTTTCCCTCTCTCTTTCTCTCTTCCTTTCTCTCTCCTTCCTTCCTTCCATCCTTCCCTCCCTCCCTCCCTCCCCATTCCCTTCCCCTTCCCTCCCCCTTTCCCTCCCTGCTTCCCTCCTTCCTTCCCTCCTTCCTTCTCTCTTTCCTTCCCTCCTTCCTTCCCTTTTTCCTTCCTTCCTTCCCTCCTTCCCTCCTTCCTTCTCTCCTTCCTTCCCTCCTTCCTTCCCTCCCTGTAATTGTAATGAAATTGTTTGTTTGTAATGAAATTCAGTTTTTTTATGTGCTGTGTATTAAATCTATGCCTAAATATCGTGACAGTATTTATCTTGTCACTATATAAGCTTTATTATTTAAAATTTTATATATATAGGTCTCTAATATATCTTATTTTTTTTCCCACCTTTTCTGTGGCTTGTGGATAGATGTTATTCATTTTACTGATTTTGATTTTAACAGTAGTAGTCATAGAAAATCTATTGATGTGGCTTACTCATGAGAAAGCATTTTTATTTTTATATGTGATATTATAATTTCTAGTATGGCAACATTTTCTGCTAGTTATGATATGTGATTTTTACTCTGCAGATTCTTTAAGAGGAATTTAAAAACAGCTTTATTCCTGACTTTAGAGAAGGCAGTCAGTTTTACTTAATATGTCATTTTATGTCTTATTTGTTATGTTTTGTTTTTGAGGAGTCATACTGGTAGTTTAAAAATACTGAGTTTTATCATCAAATGCAGCTACAATGTTTAAGCAGATGACTTAATCTCCGTGAGGCATGAGGTGATTAAAAAATGTATGTATATGCTTTTTCAAATACAGAGTAAATTGCCTGGCAGACAAGAAGAGCTTCATAAATATTATTTAGTGCTTTTTATTCTAGATTTTTGAAATAAATTGGACTCGACTTGATGCAAAGGATTTGTACTATAAGTTTATTATAAAATTATTAACCGCTAGCTTTTGTAAATAGTAAAATTGATTTGCCCATTATACATTTCTTTTTGTTATGCATAAAATATTTTAATTTTTAAGTACCAACATAGGATGGATTTTTAAATGCTTCCTCATGTTAATTTTTTAATAAACATAGAATGAATACTGTGTGAAATATTTTCCCACTTTATTGGCTCTGTTTTAACTCAGTAGACTCTATAGTTAGATTGTCTAGGTGCCACTTAAAAGATGGTAACTAGATACCAGAATGTGTTACATTATATGTTGATTGTCAGGAAGAACTGAATGCATGAATGCTTCCCTAAGACATTGTTAGCATGCCGTGGTCTTGATCTATAATTTTTTGTCTAAGTTGTGATAGAGCTCATTCTTTACATGGTCTAGTAAATTCAGCCAATGTCTTTATAATTCATTAGCATCTCTATATATTACCTATAAAATTTAAATTATAAGGCTATGAAAAAATTGTTTCATATGTATAATATACCAAAGTTTTAGCATATGGTTTGGATTTTAAACTGTTTTACTGAAACAAATTACCGTCATTAAATGGAATTCTTAGGTAGACATTACAGAGTAGGTGTAACTCTGAAGTTGAAAATGGTTTCATCTTCTTTTTTAAAAAATTTTATTATATAGGGAATCTCAACCACCAGCAGGATTTTAAAAAGGCTATCTAAATATTTGGTAAGTAAATATTCTCCATGTTAAATATTTTGCGTGTTACTTAAGTTTACACATATGCTACATGAATGACATTTACAATAGTGAGTGTAAATTATAGTTATAATTAATATTTTAAATTTTACTTGGTTACTAGAATTTTTGTCTCCTTAAACCTATTCCAATCCTTTTCTCTCTTGTTCTTTATGTTGTGTCCAGAGATTCTTTCAGTGTACAGCCTTATTATTAAGAGTTCAAGGAAAGAAATGGTTTTAGTGAGCAGGAATGCTAATACTTTATGAATAAAACAGGATTTCCCCTACTTGAGATTTTGTAGTATTTCTTTTTTGTGAAAACACTAATACAGATTTGTTCTTTAGCCATCCATTGCTTGACTCCTCCTTGTATTTAGGTCCTGTTTGCTGCAACATGCCAACATGAACCAAATACTGTGGTCAGGGTCTATGCATTTCCTGTTTAGATTATTCTTTGTTCCAAGCTTAAAATATGAAAAATTTTGTAGGTGTCTGTAGTTAAGAATTTCATAAACTTATGATTTCATAGATAAAGCTTTTACTTTTTTATTTTTGAGTAAAGGTAGGTGAGTCAATCTCAGAATGTATTTTACTTCAACTACATAGTATTTTATACCTGTGTACTATGGTGATTATATAGATATAAAATGATTTGGTTAATCATAATAGATTTTAAAGTTATTAAATATGCTTCAGAATGGGAAAGAAGTGCTGAGACATTGCATAATGAGGTGTCATAGTATAGGCTTTTGGTTGTTTTTAATATAGTCAATAGCAGATTATTAAGGAGGAAATATTTAGTGATAAGCATTGGCTTCTTTTATTATACTTTTTAATGTGTTTGAAACAGCAAATATTTGACCAAATTATTTTTCTTAAATTTTATAGTAACTACAGTAGGTGCCTAAATGTTCAACAGTTATACTGTTCTGTTTACTGTAAATTTGTAATAAATATAAATACTTTTAGGAGCAAATGATGCCACAGAGATCTCTTAAACAGATTTTTACTACTTTAGAAGGTGGTAACTGATTTCTGGAGTTGTATTAAGTACAAAAGAGTAACTTATTGTCATTTTTTTCCCTATTGATGCGTATATTTGAGTTAGAGGGAAGCAGTCGTCTTTGTGTTATATGCTTATCATGTATATTTCATCTTAGCAAATTTATTAATTTTAGTGACAGTTTTATTGAGATGAAATTTATATACCAGGAGATTTCATCTCTAAGTGTACAATTCAGTGATATTTTAATATATTCACCAAGTTATGCAACTACCAGTACTTTGTAATCTTAGGTTACTTTCATCATCCTTCTTCTGGACGCCCTCTATCACCCAGCCCTAGGCAACCACTAATACACTTTCTGTTTGTATAGGTTTGCCTATTCTGGGCATTTTATAAAAACAGAATCATAAAATATTTGTCCTTTTGTGTCTGGCTTCTTTAATTTAGCATGATATTTAAAGCTTCACTCATGTTGTAGCATGTATCAGTGTTTCATTCATTTTTGTGGCTGAATATTTCTTTGTATATCATTTGTGTATTCATCAGTTAATGAGTTGTATCCACTTCTTTTTTTGGCTATTAGGAGCGCTTTTCTGTGAACATTCTTATATAAGTTTTGTGTAGATACGTTTTTGAGTATATATGGATGGGGTGGGATTGCTCGATAATATAGTACCTGTGTGTAACTCTTTGAGGAACTCTCAAAATGGCTGTACCATTTTACAATACCACCAACAATGTATGAGGATTGTAATTTCTCCACGACCTCATAAACACTTATTGTCAGTCTTTTGTATTTCAGCCATTCTAGTAGGTATGAAGTTGTATCCCATTGTGATTTTGATTTGGATAATGACTAATGATAAGCATCATTTCACATGCTTATTGACCATATATCTTCTTTGGAGAAATATCTGTTCAACTCCTTTGCCCATTAAAAAAAAAAAGATTATCTTTTTAATGTTGAATATTGTAAACATTCTTTATATATTCTGGAAACTAGTCCCTTATCACATACATGATTTGCAAATATTTTCTCCTATGGATTATCTCTTTACTTTTATGATGGTGTCCTTTGAAGCAGAAAAGTTTTAATTTTGAAGTTCAGCTGATCTGTTTTTTGTTGCTTGTTCTTTTGGTGTTATATTGCAGATTTGTTTTTAAATAAATACTCACTGATAGCCTGGGTCTATGACAAAGTTTTAATCGTCATAGGACTACGAAAAAGCATTGGCATTTCTTGTGTTTGACAGTCAAAGCCCAAAGGAGGCAATTATCCTTGTATTTGTGCTTCAGTTCCTCAGCTAATTGTTTTAAGCAAAACCTTACGTTTTGATCCCATGTGTTACTGTGAAAATATTAGCTGTGTGTGATATGTTTATTGATATTAGTCTTGTGAATTTATGTTTAGTTTTTTTTGGATTGAAGAAGGGAGGGGCCATCCTTAATAGATGTTATTAGTCCGTTCTCACGCTGCTGATAAAGACATATACCCAAGACTGGGTAGTTTATAAAGGAAAGAGGCTTAATTGACTCACAGTTCCTCAGGGCTGGAGAGGCCTCAGGAATCTTACAGTTGTGGCAGAAGAGGAACCAAACACATGGTGACAGCAAGGAGAAGTGCAGAGTGAATCGGGGGAAAAGCCCCTTATAAAACCATCAGATCTTGTGGGAACTCAGTCACTATTATGAGAACAGCATGGAGGTCATCATCCCCATGATTCGATTACCTTGCACTGGGTCCCACCACAACACTTGGGGATTGTGAGAACTGCAATTCAAGATGAGATTTGGGTTTGGACACAGCCAAACCATATCAATAGTTTATTATGACAATTACTGCATATTTTATTTCATAGTTTAAGAAACCATTGCTTTTTAGACTAAGGATTATCAGGTTCTTATCTTTCTTGTGAAGAAGGAATAGATTTTGATAATCTCACTGATTTTAATCTTGTACAGATTATTATTATTATTATTTTGAGACGGAATCTCGCTCTTTCGCTCAGGCCAGAGTGCAGTGGCGCGATCTCAGCTCACTGCCAGCTCTGCCTCCTGGGTTCACGCCATTCTCCTGCCTCAGCCTCCCGAGTAGCTGGGACTACAGGTGCCCGCCACCGCGCCTGGCTAATTTTTTGTATTTTTAGTAGAGATGGCATGTCACCATGTTAGCCAGGATGGTCTCGATCTCCTGACCTCGTGATCCGCCCACCTCGGCCTCCCAAAGTGCTGGGATTACAGGTGTGAGCCACCACGCCCAACCCAGATTATTTTTAAGCAATGATATTTTGGTGTTTTTGTAAACTTATGTATGGAATATGTAAGTTTTTCCTCTATTAAGTAAATGTCTTTAATTTTTTTTTTTTTTTGAAATGGAGTCTCGCTCTGTTGCCCAGGCTGGAGGGCAGTGGCACAATCTTGGCTCACTGCAACCTCTGCCTCCCGGGTTCAAGTGATTCTCATGCCTGAGCCTCCCGAGTAGCTGCGATTACAGGCATGTGCCACCAAACCTGACTAATTTTTGTATTTTTAGAAGAGACGGGGTTTCACCATGTTGGTCAGGCTGGTCTCAAACTCCTGACCTCAGGTGACCACCTGCCTCTGCCTCCCAAAGTGCTGGGATTACAGGCTTGAGCCACTGCGCCCAGCCAGTGTCTTTAATTTTTAAGGTACCAATTTAGTTCCTTATTTTTTATCGTTATGTGACGTTATGTGATCAGTTGAAGGTGTATTTCATGTATTTTGACCTATAATGTTGTCTAGTTTAGTTTCTGGAGAAATGGTGTGTAACAGTGGAATGTCACTTGTCTTCAAAGCATTAGCTTTCTGTGTAAGGTTGAGGTTGTAATATAAATGCGCTAGATGTGTTTTTATTAGGGGAATTGACTATTCTTACCTTTCATGTTATTTGACAGTATTCTTTGTCAACTTCAAATAACGGCCTATTTTGATGAGATTTTATAGTGCTAGGATCACTGATATTCTTGTTAGTTGATTTAAAATCATGGTGTTCATTGGCTAACAGTCACTTGAGTGGCTATTAGATGGGTAATATTGTTCTCTTTTTTTTTTTTTTTTTTGAGAAAGAGTCTCACTCTGTCGCCCAGGCTGGAGTGCAGTGGCATGATCTTGGCTCACTGCAACCTCTGCCTCCTGGGTTCAAGCGATTCTCCTGTGTCAGCCTCCTGAGTAGCTGGGATTATAGGCGCATGCCATCATGCCCGGCTAATTTTTGTATTTTTAGTAGAGATGGGGTCTCACCATGTTGGACAGGCTGGTCTCTAACTCCTGACCTCAGGTATCCACCCACTTTGGCCTCCCAAAGTGCTGGGATTGCAGGCATGAGCCACCGCGCCTGGCCAGATGGGTAATATTGTTCTATACATTGATATTCTTATGGTTTATGTTATAGTATTCATGGAAATTTAGCAATGGAAAAGGAAATGAAAAACTTATTAATGATGTTGTTAAATTTTCAATTGTGATGACAGTAAGGAAAAGACATAATTGAGAGCTACCTCCAATTGTTTATATCAAATGTGGTAATTAAGAGGATTTTGGTGACCTATTTATGGCTGAATTAAGGCAAAATAGCTTTTATATCCGATTCTTTCCTCTTCCCTTCTCTTGTTCTGTGTGCTTACTATCATAATAATTGAGTATACATTAATTTTCTTTAAGTATTTATATTTTAAATAAGGTTTTGATGTCAGTAGAGACTTTTTTTTTTCCTTGAAGGTAAGTACCCTTTAAACCACTAATTTGTCACTAGAGTCTATAGTCGCTTCCATATATAATAGGTAGCACAGCTTCTCAGGTCATGTCCTGCTTTGCTGCTCTGCTGACCAATAATACACCTTGGAGATACTGGTTCTGGTTATATGAATAGAACAATTAAATTGTTCTTCATTAGATGGATCTTTGATTACTAATCTTACTCAGAAAGGCTCAACTGGACTTGGATTATTCTAATTGCCAATACTGTTTTTGCACAAATGTCTGCAAATCATTGAACAGTAATACTGACCCCTTTTTCTTCCAATAAAGTTATTGCAGTAATCACATCATTGCAGAGAATATTTCTTAAAAGCTTTTTTCAATATTTACTTCTTTAATGAAAAACTTAATCCAGATTAAGCCACATACATAGACGTCTTGACTTTATTATTTTGAATACCTGAGATTTCCAAAATCTCTTTAACTGTCTTCACACAATTTCTAGTCTGTCATTTTAATTAATTACAACTGTTCATTTCTTCTGCTTTTGTTTCCTCTTCATGTGCTGCCTAGCGTTGCTAGAGTTTCATCAGTTTCCTGCCTTGAGAGGTTTCTAGTACAAATTAACATTTTCCCTTCCTAGTTTATGCAGGTTCCTTCCTGGTAATTTTTATCTTTTTGATCTGTTTCATTCTGCATGTTAGTTATTTGGAACCATTCTACTGTGCTCAAATGAACAGTCCTATCCCTAGTTCTCTTATTCCTTTTTCATTTCATATTTTATACCCTTTTTCCTCAGTCTGTCTTAAAGAATAAAGTGTTTTCATTTCAAAAGCTTATTATCTCTGTTTTTAATCTTAGCCCTTCTTTCCTCTACTATTTTTCTTCCTCTTAATGCTCCATGCTGGGTTCTCTGCCTTATCAGACTTAATCTTGAAAAGTACGTTACTTCCTTCCCATTATCTCCAAGGTTGTTATAGTCCATTCTAGGTGTCTCCAATTTCTCAACTCTTACTCAATTACTTTCTGAAGTTTGACTATTATTTCTACTAGTGTTCAGCTTTCTTAAGTGTAAGTAAACACATTTCTTACTTAACTAGGTAGATAAACATTAGCTGGACGGATCTGGCCGTAAACATGCTATTATTTCCAAGATAAAACTGAGTTCCAAATGGCTAAATCTTTGTCTTTTCACTTTTCATCCATTCCTGTCTTTTTTAGCATTTGTTTTTTTGCTGCTTAACATTCACTTCTCCTTTGTCTTCTGTAATAAACCTTAATGGTTTTTCTCCTCTCTCTGGCTAAATGTTTGTTTTCTTTGTTACTGCTTTCTTCTTTTATATACCACTTATATATAAATTGGGTTGAAGCTTTGCTCTTAGCTCTTTTTCATTACACATCATTTTGAGGAGATGGTCTCGTGTTCATTATGTAGATTATCACAAATTTGATGACTCAGAAATACCACATTTTTCTTAGTGACCTGTTTTACCACTTTCTCAGTCGCCAGGTCCTTAGCACCCCAAAATTGTTATTTCCCAGTGGAAAGTTTGTCTTGTACAATGCTTGCTATATGGTTGGAACTAAGTAAATGCTTTTTGAATCATGAACTAACTCCTTATCTGTCTTTTTTTTTCTTAAGATAATGGTTTTAACTGTCCACCTATTCTCATGTCACAAGCCCTGTAATATCTCTGACCACTTCTTGTCTACACTTGTTAATATTAGTTGTCATATTTTGGTCCTAAGTTTGACTAATGAGGAAGATGACATTTTTGTCTGCAGATGGTGGAAATAAAAATCACAGAGATTGTGATTTCCTTATGGTTTTGTGGGTAATGGTGGAGTTTAAACTTACAACGAAGTTTCTGGTGACATGTTTCCTAGTTTTCACAGAAAACATTCTTTTTTTTTTTGAGACAGAAAGTCTCACTGTGTCGCCCAGGCTGGAGTGCAGTGGTGTGATGTGTCGGCTCACTGCAACCTCTGCCTCCTGGATTCAAGTGATTCTCATGCGTCAGCCTCCAAGTAGCTGGGATTACAGGCGCCCACCACCACGCCCAGCTAATTTTTGTATTTTTAGTATAGATGGAGTTTCACCATGTTGACCAGGCTGGTCTTGAACTCCTGGCCTCAAGTGACCCACCTGTCTCAGCCTCCCAAAGTGCTGGGATTACAGGCATAAGCCACCACACCCAGCCAAAAACATTCTTTATAATGATACAAGTAATATACCAGACAAGAAATTACTCAGTGTACTATGTGAGATTAAAAAAAAAAAAAAAAAAAGACTGGAAGTGGAAGTGGGAGTACTTCAAATTCTTGTCTGATGAGGTAAAGATTTTAACTTGGTGGAAGGAATAGAAATCAAGGATGTGAGAAATTTTTCATTAATTAGAATTTCGAGATTCTTCTTTTAAGAATGCAGTGATGCTAGTGAAGTGGTTGAGTGAACCATCTTTCAGCTAACAATTATAAGATCTGGACAAAATATTGAAAGAAAAACTTTAACTGTTTTAAAAGCCATGGAAAGTAACCAAAAAAGCAAAGCCAGATGAGAGCCTCCAACTGCAATGTGTAATTGTATGTTTGTGGCTTTCTTGCCTTATGGTGCATTTTCGCCTCCTGTCTTTCAGTGGCATAGGAAAGAAGTTACGGGTAGCCTGGCAGTTGGAAATTTACTCAGGGGAATCATGGAAGCAATAAGTAAGATCCAAAATCTGAGTGTAAACTCTGTCCAAATCATGGCTAATCACGAAACTATACATGCATAGGGGAGACCCCAGGGGACCCAGTGTAAAAACAGGCAGAAACAAGAGCGGAATCTGCTCCTGAAAGAATTGAACCCTGTGAGATTTGTGATTGCTTCTTTTTTTGACAGTACATTTCTCAACTTGCATGCAATTTGCGTGGCCAACAGCTGGCTTGAGGTATCAGAGCACAGAACATATTGTTGACAGAAGAGTTAAAATTTAGGGAACAAACACTGAAAGCAAGATAACATCAGAGGATGTAGGCCACACATCTCAGTATAATCTCTGCCCATTTCCTTCACTGACCACCAGACTACCCAGGTGCAGAGGGGATGCCCTGGGCATCAGGTTAGAAGAAGGAAGCAGCTGGAAGGTGAAAGAACTAAGCAAAATCATTGTTGCTTACTATAAGGGAGACACACAGTAAGTCCTCACTTAACATTATTGATAGGTTCTTGGAATCTGACTTTAACTGAAACAACGTATAACAGAACATTTTTTTCTCATCAGTTGTATAACAAAGCAGTGTTAAAGGAAACGACAGTATTCAAGGACCTTGCTGTTTGTGTTTTGCTTCAAGTTGCTGTTTCCAAGACCTATCGATGGTATTAAGTGAGGACTTACTGAAGTTTGCAGTTTGAGTCCATACGAGCCCATTAGAATCATACAACATGAAAACCAAATGGTCCTTTGAAAGATTGCGACAAAATCTGGTTGCTATAACTTGCTATTTACAATGTGTATTTTCAACTAAAAATTATTAGATATGCAAATAAAGTGGAAATATGACTCATTTTCAGGTAAAGAAAATCATTCAATAGAAATTAACCCCAAGTATAGCCAGATATTGGATTTAGCAAGCAAGGACTTTAAAATAGCCCTAAATATAATCAGAAGAATTTAAGGAGTCCTATGTTCAAAGGATTAAAGAAAAATACAGTCACCCCTCTGTTTCCATGTTTCTGCATTTGCAGATTCAACCAACCGTGGATCAAAAATAGTTGGGAAAAAACATAATAAAATTTACAGTACAGCAATAAAAAATAATGCCAATAAAAAACAATAAAGTCTTGTTCAGTGAATAGATAGGAGATCAAAACAGAGAAACAGATACTGTAAAGAAGAAGCAAAAGAGAATTTTAGGGTTGAGATCAGTAACTGGAATGAAATTTTTATATTATATTTTATTTTATTTTATTTTGTGGTGGAGTCTTGCTCCGTCGCCCAGGCTGGAGTGCAGTGGTGCGATCTCGGCTCACCACAACCTCCGCCTCCTGAGTAGCTGGGATTACAGACATGCACCAACATGTCTGGCTAATTTTTGTATTTTTAGTAGAGACAGGGTCTCACCATGTTGGCCAGGCTGGTCTTGAACTCCCTCCCGACCTCAGGTGATCTGCCTACCTTGGCCTCCCAAAGTACTTTGATTACAGGCGTGAGCCACTGTGCTCGGCCAAGCAAAACAGTTGTTTGGAGATGGCAAAAGAATCAGTTAAAGATAGATTAATAAAAGTCATCTATTTGAAAGAGAAAGAATGGAGAAAAATAAGCAGAGTTTGAGAGACCTTTGGGGTAATACAATGTTTGAACATGCATCTAAATGGAGTCTCAGATGGGGAATAAATAATGGCTGAAAACCCCCACAACTTTGGTGGAAAGTATCAATTTACATATCCAGGAAGCTCAGCAAACTTCAAGCAGGATAAACACACACAAAAAAACAGATGTTAGCACATAAGTGGTCAAATTGCTCAATACCAGAGAATTTCTTGAAAGTAGCCAGAAATATCTTACCAGAAACAATGGCGACCTCTAGCCATGGATATGGTATATTCAGCTGAAAGGCAAAAAGCTATCAAATAAGAATTCTGTGTTCAGCTAGAAGTGAAGGTAAAATAAATACATGTTCAGATAAACCAAAACTGGGAAATTTTCACCAGCCAGCCACCATTGCAAGCATTTCTAAAGGAATCAATTTCAAGGGAAATGGCACCAGATGGCAAGTACCATCTACAGGAGGAAATCAACATCAAAACTAGTAAATACATAATTTACTCTAATTTTTATAAACTATATTTTTCCTTATTTTAAAAACAAGTACCTGTGACTTGAAGCAAAAATTATGATGCTGTATTGTTGGGTTTATAATGGAGTTTGGGAATTTACATATTGTACAATTTTTAATATGTAATGACATACAAATTAACGTGTTAATAGTCTTCTAACTTATGAACATGGTATATCTCATTAAGGTTATTGTTTAATTTTAGTAATGTATAATAGGTTTCTAAAAAACTTAAAAATGTGGTAAAATATGTACAAAATAAAATTTGCCATTTTAGCTGTACAATTTGGTGGCACAGTTGCATTCACAGTGTTGTTCGTTCATTACTACTTTTTCCAGAACTTTTCTATCATTCCAAACAGAAACTCTGTACCTACTAAGCAGTAATTTCCCATTTCCCTTCCCCGAGTCTCTGGCAGTGTCTAATCTACTTTCTGTCTTTATGAATTTGGCTATTCTGTATTTCATATATAGTAGTCCCCCTTATCCACAGTTTTGCTTTCCACAATTTTGGTTATCTGTGGTCATCCATGGTCTGAAAATAGGTGATTATAGCACAATAAGATGTTTTGAGAGACCACATTCATATAACTTTATTACAGTATAATTGTTCTTTTTTATTATTGTTGTTGTTAATCTTTTACTTTGCCCAATTTACAGATTAAACTAATAAGTATATATGTATAGGAAAAGACATAGTATATATAGAGTTTGGTTCTATCTGTGGTTTCAAGCATCCACTGGGGGGTCTGGAACATATGCTCTGTGGATAAGTGGGGGACTAGTGTACTTCCTGCCCTACCCCTTGGTTTGGAGTCGCTGCTGTATGAATATAAGGGCAGTCTGCCTGTGATGTGACTCTCCATTGATCACCTGGGTGTATGAATTAATTGCTGTCTATAAAGAGTCTTGGAATGACTATTGAGTTTGCTCTGTGTATGTATACATACAACAGTATGGCTACTGTTGTAGCTGATTTGGCTATGATACTGTAGTATCTTATTTGCTCCAAAGAGATGGAGTAGTGATGAAATCTGGTTTACTAGGTGGAAGCTAGTGTAAAAATGGGTACTCTGTTTTATTGAATTAGCTTGATTGGAAAAAGTGAAGTGCTGATGGTTTTGAAAATATGATGATAATGATGTCATCCTTCTGGTTTAAATATTTTGTAGCACTTGTGGTAGATTGAATGCTGGTGTCGGTAGTAAAGTCATGCTGCAGTTATAGTCTGAACCAGCTGTACTGTTTTGGGTAGTAACTTAGACAGTAGAGAACACCACTTTTCTAGGCAGGGCTCCTCACCTCTCCTAGGGGGCCATTTCACTGCATCTTGGAGTGAATATACAGAGAGGAAGTAGCTAGATCCTAATTTCTACAAGTTATATCAGTTGGGGAACAGTTGTGGTTGTCAACCTGTGTTAGGGCTGTATTGGTTTTGCTTTCAGTTGTGCTATAAAGTGGAAAAAATTGAATTGTTTATTTATCTCTTATTGTGAAACTTTCCTGTGGCCCATAGAAGTGGCATAGCAAGCTGAACATAGCTGGGTTTGTTCTTCATTGCAAGATCCTACCCCCACCTCCCTTTCTTTCCTGCCTGGTTTCTTGTGTCCATACTGCAAGCTCTTTTTCCCAGTTAGAAGTAAGTTAGTTCACTCTTAATAGAGCTGATTTACAAAGGAATTTTATGTGTGTCATACTGTTTGATTCTCTGAAAGGTAGATATGGGACTGTGGTAACAATCCAGCATGATGTTAACTGTGCTCTCATTTTTAAATGTGCAAATGGATGTATGTGAAATGGTGGTTTGTCTGATACAATATTGGCTGCTAAGACATGTCTGACCTAGAGCCTAGATGTGTTGGCTTCTTAATAATGCTGGATGATGTATATCTGGATCATTCTTTTTAATTGACTGAGATGATGCGTATCTTCTACCTCTTGAGAGTTAGGAATGTAAAGGGCAAGTGAAAAATTTGTTAGATGCTCTTAAAAGATGAAAATAGATGTGCTCCATCACTAGTATAGTTTCTTTTTGACCACTATGTCAACCTGTTTAGAAAGTATATTTTAGGCCGGGCGCGGTGGCTCACGCCTGTAATCCCAGCACTTTGGGGAGGCTGAGGCGGGCGGATCACGAGGTCGGGAGTTCAAGACCAGCCTGGCCAACATGGTGAAACCCCATCTCTACTAAAAATACAAAAATTAGCTGCGCGTGGTGGTGCGTGCCTGTAATCCCAGCTACTTGGGAGGCTGAGGCAGGAGAATCTCTTGAACCCGGGAGGCAGAGGTTGCAGTGAGCTGAGACTGCACCAGTGCACTGGCATGGCAACAGAGACTGCCAACAGAGCGAGACTCCATCTCAAAAACAAAACAAAACAAAACAAAAAACAAAGAAAGTATATTGTAAACATCAAATTAAAAGAATTTCCTGAAGTAACTTTTTTTTTTTTTAGTAGGGGTGGGGAAGATATGAGTAGAAGAGAAATGAATTGGAAACTGAGTACCACTACCCTTTTTCTTACCTTCTATCCAGAAATCTTTCTTAAATTCCACAGTATCAGTGTAACATCTTTTATCTTTTGAGCTGTCTTTGAGATTCTTTACTTTGTCTCCAGACTGTTTGTTAGGATTCTACTAGAGAAGTTGTTTTCAGATTTTAATTTCTCTGCTCCATTTTAATCTTCTAATTTTTTAATGAAAAAAAATCCAGTTTTATTGAGTTCTTTTTTTTTTTTTTTTTTTTTTGAGACAGAGTCTTGCTCTGTCACCCAGGCTGGAGTGCAGTGGCACGATCTCAGCTCACTGCAAGCTCCGCCTCCTGGGTTCACGCCATTCTCCTGCCTCAGCCTCCCAAGTAGCTGGGACTACAGGCGCCTGCCACCACGCCCAGCTAATTTTTTTTGTATTTTTAGCAGAGATGGGGTTTCACCGTGTTAGCCAGGATGGTCTCGCTCTCCTGACCTCGTGATCCGCCTGCCTCGGCCTCCCAGAGTGCTGGGATTACAGGCGTGAGCCACTGCACCCGGCCTATTGAGTTCTAATTAATGCATAATTTGTTGAGTTTTGACGTATATGTGCACTCATGAAACCATCACCACAATGTATATATCCAGTGAATATATACATCACCCTTAAAAGCCTCTTTGTAATCTCTTCACTCCCCACTTCGCAGGCAACCACTGATTTGCTTTCTGTTACTGTAGGTCAGTTTGTATATTCTTGAATGTTATGTAGGTAGAATCATATAATGTGTCTCCTCTTTTGTCTGACTTCTTTCAACCCTAGCTCAATATATTTGAGATTTGTCTATATTGTTGGATGAATGATCAAAACTTTGTTTTTGTTTTTTTAACTGGGGAATAGTATTTCATTTTTAGTATATAGTACAATTTATTTTTTGCCCATTTCCATTTAGCTGTTATTGCTGGATTGGGTTATTAACAGTTATTGACTATTATGAATAAAGTGGTCACAAATGTTGGTGCATGGTTTTTTATGTGGACTTGTGCTCTTATTTCTGCTATGAGTGGAATGGCTGATTCATATAGTAGGTGTATGTTTACCTGTATAAGACACTGCCAAACTTTTCCGGTTTGTATCAGTTTATATTACCACTTGCAGTGTATGAGCATTCCAGTTGCTTCACATCCTCAGAATTCTTGGTATGGACAGTATTTTAATTTGATTTGTTTTAGTAGCTGTATAATAATGTCTTATTGTGGCATTCATTAATCATTAGGAAAATGCGAATTATGTTGAACATCTTTACCTATGCTTGTTTGCCATTCACATCTTTTTCTGTTGAAGTATTTTCTCGAATCTTTGCTTATTGATTTATTGATTTATTTATTTTGAGTAAGAGTCTTGCTCTGTCTCCTAGGCTGGAGTGCAGTGGTGTGATCATAGCTCACTGCAGCCTTGAACTCCTGAGTTCAAGTGATCCCCCTGCCTCAGCCTCCTGAGTAGCTGGGACTACAGATGTGTACTACAACACTTGGCTGTTTTTTTTTTTTTTTTTTTTTTTTTTTAAGGATTTTTTTAAAGAGATAGGGCCTGACTGTTGCCCAGGCTGGTCTCAAACTTCTGGCCTCAAGCCATCCTTCCACTTCAGCCTCCAGAAGTGCAGGGATTACAGGCTTGAGCCACAGTGCCTAAATTTTTTCATTGTATTGTTTGTCTTATTATTGAATTATAAGAGTTCTTTCTATGTGCTAAATACTAGTCCTTTGGATAATTACTTGCAGATTTTTTTCAGTTTGTGGTTTGCCTTTTTTTCTTTACCCATGTCTTCTCAAGTTCAAGTCTTTTATTTTGATGAATACACATTTATAGTTTTTCTTTTATATTTCATGCTTTTTGTGTTGTATTTTGGCAGGCCAAATAATGACCCCTGAAAGATGTCCATATCCTAATTTCCAAAAGCTGTATATATGTTACCTGATATGGCTCCACAAACTTTGCATATGTGATTAAGTTAAAGATTTTGAAATGAGGAGATTAGCCAGGATTGTCCAGGTGAGCCCAGTGTAATCAGAGAGTCCTTGTAAGAAGGAGGCAAAACCAATCAGGGCAGAAGAGATGAATGACTGCAGCAGAGGTTGGAATGATGTGCTTTGAAGATGAAGGGAAGGGGCCATGAGCTAAGGCCATGAGATAATAAATTTGTGTTGCTTTACACCAAGTTTATAGTAATTTCTTACCACAGCCCATATAGATTTTGCCTGTAAGTGGAATGCCGCTGTAACAAATACCTAAAAAGGTGAAAGTGGCTTTGAAATTGGGGTATTGGCAGAAGCTGGTAGAATTTTGAGGAACATAATGGAGAAAACCTAGATTATCTTGAATGTACAGATGGTAGAAATACAGATGTTAAAGGCTCTGCTGGTGATGCCCCAGAAGGAAGTGAGGAGCACAGTAGAGAAAATGTGTATCGTCTTAGAGAATACCTAAATCATCATAAAGAGACTGTTGGTGGAAATGTGAACATTAAAGGTGCTGCTGCTTGTGAGTGCTTTGAAGGAAATGAGGAAGATGTTATTGGAAACTGAAGTGAAGGAGATCCTTGTTTAGATTGTAACAGAAAGTTTACCTGAATTCCGTCCTGTAGTTATGTGACTAACTCTCCTGTGTTGCCTGGGTATAGCAGCAATCATTTATACATACATTTGCAGTTCTGTTCTGTACTTGTTATAAAGTAGTTTTAATTAAAGTGACAGATTTATGTTTTTATAAATTAAATTTATATTTAAAAAATCAGTATTTAGAACAAATATCTTAGTGGACTATATTCTTGAGATATTATTATTAAAGTCTTTTTACAGCTTCCTTTCAAATAAATGGATATGTAATTTAAACCTTTAATTTCTGGATTTCCTGATGACTTTTCTTTAAAAAGAATAATTTTTAAAAACACATTTTAATTTATAACTAAAATGGTTATTTAAGGAAACACATATATTAGTTTTATTTAGATATATGCTTTTTTATTATTAATTTGGAAAGTGGAGGTGCATTGTTTGGTAGAATAATTTTAAATGGTAGCTCTTGTTAATGGCTAATATTTATTAGTGGATACAACTTACAAATATCTGTACATTCAGTCTTTATCCTTATCTTCCATATCTTTTTCTTCTGCATTCTAGGTTTTTTTGTTTGTTTTTTGGAAGGAGGATATATAAAGTAATTATTACTACATTTTTAGCTGTTGCCAAGTTGAAAGTCAGTGTTTAGTTTTTTTTAAAAAGGGCTATTTAGTGTGGAATTCCTAAATATTATAGTTCCCTCTTCTGTCCTTTCAGAGCTATTGCACCCTGTTAAATTTTTTTTGCATTCAGTTCAACCAGTGTTTGAAAATTACCAATAGACTTAAAGTACTTCTCTGAAGTTAGAAGAGCTCCTATGTCTGATGCTATATTGCTAGTATTTCTATTCAGGTTGGAATTTGGAATAGTCATTATCAAAAGTTATTTGTAGGCAAAAGAAAACAAAAAGAAAAAAGTTATCTGTAGGAAATATTGGAGACTGGGGTACAAGGTAAGTGACACAGTGAAGAAGCACAGACAATTTCAGAATATGAGACACCTAACATGGTTTCTGCAAGGTATTGGCGTGGAAAAAAAAAAAAAAGGGGGGGGGGGCTTAGAGAGTTACTCTCCAGTAAAAGAGATATAAGAAGCAGTACTATAGTTATATACAAAGGGTAGTTCTTTGGATTCTGTTTAGATCAAATTAACTAGAAAATACATTTTTAAAATAAGATGGGGAATTTGAATATTGACTGGTATTACTTAATATCGTGGAAATATACTTATTTTGAATGTGTATAGTGACTTTGTGAGTATGAAAGGCAGTGGCCAAATTATTTAGTGATACATAATGATGTATATGGATGAGGGAAGTAATGACGTGATGTCTGGAATTTACTTTAAAATACCTTGGAAAAAATGAATAAAAGATAGATAAAGCAATATTGCTAATATTTCAGTACCTGTTAAATATAGGTGACAGTATATATATAGAGGTTCATTATACTCCTTTCTCCACGTTTTGAAAAATTTCATTTAAAAATTCAAAAAAATTCTAAAAAATATTTTTTCTTTTAGAAACTAACACATGCTGAAAAAATTCAAATTTTGTTCACTGACCACGTTTTTGCTGCCACCACTCTTTCAACATTTAAAAAATGTTCTTAAATCTTTAAAAATTCGATTTACATTTTCATTAAGAAAATGAGGCATTTGCTGGCCATTTCATCCTTCCTCTTGTATTTTTTCTCCTTACCTGCTGCCACCGTTTACTAGAAAAATATTTCTCTTGTTTTTTCTGTACCTTCTCCTTGAAATATAAAAGTTCAGTGAAGGCAGGAGAGATTTTAGCCCGTTTTTGTATGGCTGCATCTTCCTTATCCATACCTGCATAGCATGTGGTAGGTGCTGAGTAAATATTTGAATGACTGAATGGGTGACTGAATAGACTGAATGAACCAGAGTTGTAGAAGACATGGGGTGACGTGGGGTTTGGCTAAGGACAGAACCAAGGAGAACCCCTTTGAAAATTCACTCTGTGGGATTTACAGGGGAAAATGTGGGCTACTACATAAGAAATTAAGATAAGAAATCATCTTTCCTGTTTGACTGTAAAGCCTTAATATTTCAAGCATTTAACATATTCTCAGCATAAATAATTAAGTTTTTTTCTTCTTTTTTCTGAAACAGTCTCACTCTGTTGCCCAGGCTGGAGTGCAATGGTGCGATCTTGGCTCACTGCAACCTCCGCCTCCCAGGTTCAAGTGATTCTCCTGCCTCAGCCTCCCGAGTAGCTGGGATTACAGGCATGTGCCACCACGCCTGGCTAATTTTTTGTATTTTTAGTTGAGACGGGGGTTTCACCATGTTGGCCAGGCTGGTCTCAAACTCCTGACCTCAGGAACCCACCTGCCTCAGCCTCCCAGAGTGGTGGGATTACAGGCGTGAGCCACTGCGCCTGGCCAGTAATTAAGTTTTTATACTGTAAGTTCTCTAATTGTCTTTAATGTATTCTTGAAAGTGTTTTCCTCCTAATTTATTTATTACTGCAAGGCAATCCGTTCTTGAGGTTCTATTTAAAGTTTATGTATTTCTTCTCAGGAAAAAAAATTACTTAAAACTAGTGGTTTGTACAGTCAAGATGAGTTTTAGAAGCTGTTCTTATAATTTCTTTTTATGTTAAACATATATAATGTCACATTTCCCTTTTCCTAACAACTGATCTTCTTTCTTTTTCAACGTGTATTTATAAGCTAGATTTTTAAATTTTGCTCCAGGGACTGCTGTAGTTGTTCTACTACTTAAAAAAAGAAAGATGTTAGTATTGAACACTATTCTGAGACACAGCTGATAACAATTGTGCTCAACAATGAAGATGGCTAAAAATTGGGTTTTAAAAATAACAGTGAAAATTCAGAAGCATTTTATACTTGCTATTCTAAAGTGAGTATTTTTCTAATCTCTGCTTTAAAATTACTGAAGTCCTTTTAATGACCAACGCTGTATTTTAAGGAAAAAATGTGAGCAAAGATTTTTAGTGATTCTAAATTTGTTTTGCTCTCTGGATCTCTTTAAACTTTTAAAAATTATTGAAGACCCCAAAAAGCTTTGACTTATGTGGGTTATCTCTCTTGATATTTACCCTGTTAGAAAATAAAGCTGAGAAGTTTAAATAGTTTTCATTTATTAAATTTATTTAAAAATAACAGCTAATTACATGTTTACACAATTAACAAAGTCTGGCTTACAGGAAGACAGTTGGATGCTCATATCTGCTTTTGCATTCAGTTTGTTAGGATATTACATGCTCTATACTCTGACAAAAACTTTACTTTGTGTATACTCAAGAGACAGAGTAAAAAACATAAGTAACATCTTAGTATTATAGAAATAATTTTGATCTTAGAAACTCCATGTAAGTGTCTCAGGAACTCCCAGGGTTCATATTTTGAAAATTGCTGGAGTCATCTCTCAGAGGCTATGTGTGACAAATGGTGTTTTTAAATGAAACAATAATTTTTAAAATATAGTGTCAATTGGCTAAGTTTTTATTTGATACTTTTTTTTTCTTTTTTTTTTTTGAGACAGGGTCTTGCTCTGTCGTCCAAGCTGGAGTGCGGTCACAGCTCACTGCAGCCTCCACCTCCTGGGCTCAAGTGATCTTCCCA
Organism: Homo sapiens; assembly: GCF_000001405.40. Lineage (NCBI taxonomy): Eukaryota > Metazoa > Chordata > Mammalia > Primates > Hominidae > Homo > Homo sapiens. Next base: position 152,451,696 of record NC_000004.12, on the reverse strand, counting down.
CTTTAGCTTCCCAAGTAGGAAGTAGGTGGGACTACAGGCAAGTGCCACCATGCCTCAGTAATTTTTGTATGTTTTGTGGAGACAGGGTTTACCATGTTGCCCAGGCTGCTCTCATACTCCTGGGCTCAAGCAGTCTACTTGCACCCAACTCAGCATCCCAGAGTTCTGGGAGCCGGATTCTTATTTGATACATTTTTACCTTTAGGGGAACTATAAAAATTAGCTTATGCTTATTTATGCAAATAAATTTGAGCATTGAGGAAGGATGTCTCTTGTTCAGGGTTGTGTTTGTAGATTTCACATCTTTTAGACTACCATTTAAGAGAAGTGATCACCTTGTATCTTAAGGAAATGAAAATCATTTGATAGAAATGGATTGTTAAATATTTTTAAAACAAGTTTTGACAGTTACTTGCAATTAAAGGGGAAAGCAACTTTAAAATGCATTAGTTAATTGAAGAAATACTCAAGATCCTTAATTGTTGTTAGTGAGCAAGTATTAATGTTCTTTCCTCTTTGAAAACGTATCTGTACCTAGACAAAGTTAATTATAAACTTTTTCATAAACAATATTATGCTTCTTTTTCTTCTAATTTTTAAACCTTATCTTTGTTGGTTTGCCTTCCAGCTCCATCTATCTGCAACCTAAGAATCAACAATACTATACATCAAATTAGCTGATGTGGAAGGAAAATGATAAATAATGAAAATACGTCATATTGCTTATACTCTAAGTTATAATTAATATAAGATCCAAGGGATATTGGTGTGGGGGACGAGGAGGAAGGAACATTGCAAGTCAAGCTATTTCACAAGTATTCTATACCTTTGAATCTTTTATTTCATAGTTTTCTTTAGAAACAATAGTGATGCAGACTGAATAGCTAGTAAGATAACTTTCATTAATAGCAGTATGGCAGGGATTTTTAATTGATGCTTGTTGGTAATATTAGACACATGATTTATTTATAGGCTTTTAATTAGAAAACTAATACAAATATCAAATTGTTATGGACAGGTTATACATTTTTTGGCAACACAAATCCTACCAGGTTTTAATGCCTGGTACTTGTTTTTACATTAGTATGTGGTATTAATTTTTTCATTACTACTCTTAGCTTCCCTAGCTTACCCATTTGCTAGGAGTACATAGCAGCACTAGGACATTTTTCGCTAACGTGGCTGGCATGCATCTGAAAGTGTGACAGAGCAGGGGTATAGCTAGATTTTAGAAGTTCTTTTGCTCATTTAAGAAACTTAAACTTCAGATTTGATAGTACTTCAGATTCTACATAATGTGCTCTTTCGATGAATAGCTGTGTAGCAGCAGCACAGGAAAAGCAGAGTTCTTGGCAATACCCAGTTCAATTGCATCTGCAGATGAGGATTTAAAATTCTGTGCAGCAGACAGTACCTCCAGCAGGCGAGTAAAAGGTTACTGCATTATTTTTCTTGTTTGTTACCATAGCCTTTATCTACCAAAGGATTTTTAAAAAATTGAATGTGAAGTGCATGCCTGTTTTTAGATATTCTGGAAATTGATTTAAGTATAACATGAATATCAAAAGGGCAGTGCAAGGTGAAGGCAGAGGCAGTGCTGGATCTTTTTAGCTTTAAACCAGGGAAGAAATTGAGCATGTTACATACACAAAGAAGAAACCTTTCAGTGTCACAGACAATGGGAAGTTTTAAAATACGTATTTTAATTCAAGGTGTTTATTATTTAGTTTTAGACTATCTTCCCCAAAAAGGGTGCTCTTACATTAGCAATCATTGGTCTATGAATGTTCATTTAAGTTACAGTAATTTGAAGTATGATTATTTGTGAAGACTATAAAGTATTTGTATTAATGCGACCCTCCCTTGTCCTGGAAATTGTAATGTGGATTAATTACATTGTATAAACAAATACCTTTGTGCATTATTGGCAAAGGTAGAATGCTTAAGTATAAAAGGTATAGTATAGCTAGCATACTTAATATTGTTGCTTATGTTTTCAGGGTGGTTTGTGGTTTTTAAAATAATCTTTTAAATAAAATGCAGACAAGTAAGTGGGAGAAAATTCAGTATCAAAACAATGAGGTTTTTGATGGCTTTTTACTTGTGGTCAGTACCTACCTATATAGCCATATGTCCTTTTTTCTCATTAAAACTCTTCTAACATTTATGATAGCAGGAGCCTCCTTGGATTATCCAGCTTGTTTATTACATCATTATCTGCACCAGTATTTTTGCTATAGATTTTTATTGTTCATTACTTCTCAAGTCTACATAAAGTATCCAGAGGGAATTTTTGCTTGTATATTTTATTCAGTTACCCTCCTACCCTCTTCCATCAGTCCTCAAAGATTTGTATTAGCTACTGTCTACATTTTGTTTATTTAAAAAATACTTAGGCCTATATTTTTGTATTGTAGATTGAATAATAAGATTGAAAACAATTCTGTAAATTAATCTATAGTATAGAAGTAAAATTTGTTGATTATTCTTACTGTGAGTATTTGGCAGGCTTCTTGAATTGTAGAGTCATAAAAGGTCAGCAGTTCTGATTGGTAAGTTAAAGAATCCATCCAGTAATTTGCTCCCTGTTGTTTCTCAAAGCAATGCAGCAGCAGTTCTTTTCCAGATATTAAACGGTTCTTGAACAGTGTGTGTGGAGACGGGGAGGGGTGGAGCTCATTCCTGTTGGTTGTTGAAATCGTGTGCATTTACAGAGGGAACAGGTTGGATAGGCTGAGCTGAAGGAGTAGGCAAACAGATCTAAACTGATGGAAGACAGAAAGTGGTTAGTATAATTTTGGGGTGTCTTGAGTTTGCTCCTTTGTTAAGTACTTGGGCTTTAATATAAAACAATTTAAAATATTAAAGCACCTTACCTTCTTTCTAAAGAGTAGCTGGGAGACTTCTGTTTTAATATCCAGTTTTTCTTGGCGATGAGTTTGTGGCTGGCATCTTCTGTAGCAAAGCTGTTGTTTTATTCTTTTTTAGTAGTGTTTCTTTCAGCCAGAGAGCTGCAGAATGAGGCAGTTTGACAATTTTGAGTATATATGTGACATCACCAGTTCTGATTTTTTAAGTCAAATTCTCATCTAATGAGCAAGTCAATGTGTGGCTGTGGCTGCAGCATTATTTCTTCTTTAATGAAGAGGTTGAGCCGTTCGACCTGCTGCTCCGATTTGTTCTCTTGTAGCCATACATCAGACCAGTTGCAGAGATTATCCATCGAATGTCCCAGGCAACCAAAGGTAACTACATAGATTTATTTCAAATAAAAATATGCAATGAAAATGGATGCATTATGACTAAGACCAAATGATTAAAAATAAAAGACCAATTAAAGATGTTCTTAGCAGTTTTCTTGACCTTGCAGTAGATATCCAATATCATTTTGTCATCATCAGATTGTGTAGCAATGGAAATGCACTGCAGTAATTGATTTTGTAATAGGATCAGGTGATTTACTAGCTGCACTGACAACCACTTGCTTGCTTGCTCTGAGCTGTGGAGCACTCTAATGGATGTTGTGATTTCAGCCTGGAGTTTATGTGAGACTGCCGGCCACTTAAAGCAGCAGCACTTATTTTAAAGATTAGATTAGTTTTTCTTTCTTGTTTTCTTCGTTTCAAGTTTTGTGAGTAGCCTCAGTAACTTTATGGTTAAGTTGTATGCCTTCATGAAATTTTAGAGATTATATATTATTTCATTCATCAATTCATAGTCTTTCTGCTCCATATTCCTAGCTAAATATCAACATATTCTGGTATTGACCATGAGAGCATATCTCTAAAATATGAGAGTTATTGGTAACTATGCTGTGTTATCTAAATGAAGTGGAATATTCCTCACATTCGTAGATTTCATTAGCTTCAGACTCTAGCTGTAATTAGAATGATGGTAAGGTTCTTGATCTCTTGAGTTGTACTGCAGTTGTTTTGCATCCTTTTTTGGTCTTTTACTTTCTTAGTGGTTTCATGGGTAAGGCACCATTTAGGAAATATGAGTTGTATTACTTCTAAGGGATACTGATGAGGATATATAAAGCTATTTTAAAGTAGTGTTTAAGGATATAGCAAATTAAAAATCTAATATCAAGTATTATAAATTTCAAAGTGATTATTTTAAAATAATTTTTGTTTTCCTTTTCTATGCCTTTTAAACAAATAATTGGTTCAAATATAGAAGTGTAGGAATATTGCTAACTGTAAAATAGAACTACTGTCATAGAAACTCAGATGCTGTCAAAGACTTTGATTACTTAAAAGTTTTGCTGATGGTGTTAGATTAGAAAAGAAACTCTCTTCCACTCCCTTCCTCACCAATACCTCTACCTCATGTAAAGTGTTTTATACAGACTCCACCACATAAAAATACTGAATTCTTTATCATTCCCTGTTTCTGTTCTTGCCATGATAGAGACACCATTTCTCTCAACCACATCTAAAAACATTTACAAAAATTAAATAAGATTAACAATTTACTGTAGTAGAAACGGGGCATAAAATTGTCATCACATGTGGTATTCAAATCACCATGTTAAGAGAACTTTCCTTTTTGATGTACTCAAATAGTCACTTGTAGTGTTTGAAGCCTTAGTGTTTCTAGAAAGTTGAAAATATTATCTGTGCTAGTCTGCACATTTCCTTTAATTCAGATACTTTAAACATTAATTATGGAAAATTGAAAATAATTTAAACACTAGTATTTGTAATCTTTTATTATTCAACAGGTAAAAAGTTTATAGACTCTCTTGACTTCCAAGAAAAAAACCCTTCTGTGAACACTGATGAACATAAGCATGTTAATATCATTTAGGATTCGGTCAAGGATGTGTCTGAATTTCATATATATTGAAAATGTTTAATGATGGGCCACCAGCAAATTAATCATGGATATGTTTTACTGGAGTGCCGTCTATGACAGCTTCTTTTCATGATGGGTTCAGCAAATAGGAAACGAGGAAGTAAACACCAGAGTGTTGACTACTTTTTATAAAAGTTAGAAAGATAACTATGATTGGTCTGTGATTAGACAGTATTTTATGTAAAATAAATGGGCAGCGTGAAGTTCTAGCCTCAGTGGAGCTGCCTTTTCTAAAGAGCCCTGGATCGAGCATTAAAAGAGTTGGATTTAATTTGGCTCTGCCATTAATCTATTTGATAACCTTGATCAAATTATGTATGAACATTTTAAAGTCCCTTAAACATGCTCTTAAAATGTCCATTAAAAAGATTTCAATTTACCCTTACCAGTGGGAAGTATTAGAATACTTGACCTTGAAGCTATAGAAGTTAGAGTTAGGAAGAAGGATGAAGTTTCTTAAAGAATCAAGTTGTAGGTGATGTTAAAACCTCTCCTTTCACTTTTTATGTCTTTTTTTGGGGGGGTGGGTGGGTAACATGTTTTTGCTAAGAATACTGTTTTATCTCTTTGATATCCAATATTTCCTAAGTAGGATAGTAATTCTGGAAATTATCCTAGTGGTTAATAGAATAGACCTGGGATTAAAATCTGGTGCTGCCAATTTTTTCTAGACTTTCTAACAAAGATAATGTCATTAGGGAGTTTATTCAGTACCTAGGATATTTTTTAGTAAACACGTTTTAAGAAGGTTGGCCATTATGTTATTGGTGCTTTCTTCCTGTATGGCCTATTAGATAAGCGCTGTGCAGTCATCTTTGTTGCCTAGGCAAAATGGTTTGTAGGTTCATTGATTGAACTCTTACTTTGGACCAAGTGCTGTACTAAGCACTTTGGTTTTTTTTTTTTTTTTTTTTTTTTTTTTTTTTAAAGACAGAGTCTTGCTGTGTCACCCAGGTTGGAGTACAGTGGCGCGATCTTGGCTCACTGCAACCTCTGCCTCCTAGGTTCAAGTGATTATCCTGCCTCAGCCTCCCAAGTAGCTGGGATTACAGGCACCTGCCACCACACCCAGCTAATTTTTTTGTATGTTTAATAGAGATGGGGTTCTGCCATGTTGCCCAGGCTGATCTCTAACTCCTGGCCTCAAGTGATCTGCCCCGCTTGGCCTCCCAAGGTGTTGGGATTACAGGTGTGAGCCACTGTGCCTGGCCTGTACTAAGCACTTCTATGTTAATTATGTCATTTATGAGAAAGACTCTAATGATTATTTTTAAAGATGAGAGAACTGAAGCTCAGAGAGGTTCTACAACTCCTAAAAATCACACAACTGGGAAATAGCAGAACCAATGTCAAAACTTTAGGCATCAGCCTGCTGCTCAAAGGAAGTGCTCATTGAAGCGCTTCGGATTTTGAAATTTCTGATAAGTATAATGCAAATATTTTTTAAAAATCCCAAATCTGAAACATTTCTGGTTCCAAGCATTTCAGATAAGAGATACTCAGTTTGTATTTGTACTTTCAATTAAGCTGTGAGTGTAGAGATGAAGCCAAATTTCATCTGAAGATGTAATATAAATGATTACCTAATTTTTTTAGTCTTGAATAAGAAATGATTTGTTCACCTCTTACTCAGCAATAATTCGTAGGAAAAATTATTCATATAAAGCATATTTGTACTATTTGGAGTAATGTTTTCCAAAGTGTGGTTCAGGGCTGGGCACGGTGGCTCACATTGGTAATCCTAGCGCTTTGGGAGGTAGAGGCAGATGGGTCGCTTGAGTCGAGAAGTTTGAGACCAGCCTGGGACACGTGGCAAAACCTCATCTCTACAAAAAATACAAGAAAATTAGCCAGGTGTGGTGGCATGTGCCTGTAGTCACAGCCATGTAGGAGGATCATCTGAGTCTGGCAGGTCGAGACTGCAGTGAGCTGAGCTATTATTGTGCCACTGCAGTCCAGCCTGGACAGCAGAGTGAGACCCTGTCTCAAACAAAGAAAGTATGGTTCAGGAATCACTTGTATCTATCACTTTGGATGGTGGTTAAAAGTACCAGTTTACATCAGGGCACATTGAAAGAATCACCGGAATGGGATCCAGAGATCTTTGTTTTTAAATAAGCCTCTCACATGATTCTTGGTTATACCAAATTGTTACAACCAATGATATTGAGAATGTTTTCCTGTTTTACCTTGTTTCTATGCCTTGCAGCTTTTCCTTTAAGAATTTGTTTACAAACCATAGATGGTTTGTAAAATTATCCTTCTGACTTATGGTGAAATGTAAATTGGTTCTTTTGTGGTACTCATTTTAGGAACTTGTTTAGGATTAAAAGTATTCATAAACTTTGACTCAGAAAACCTACTTCTAGGAATTATAGAGATAATTCCTAAGGAGATACTCAGATTCGCAGGAAGACTTAGGCACAAGGATGTTCGTACCATTATCATCTATAATGGTGAAAAACTGGAAACAACTCAATTTCAAACATCAGATAAATGGTTTGTTTTTTATATCCATTTGTTTGGACTAACCATCCAGCCATAAAATGTTATATGGGGAAGATTTTGTAAGACATAGGAAAGTGCTCATGATTTAATGTAAAGTCTCGAAGAATATAAAATTATGGTCATACATATATGTACATATAGTGCATATGGTCTTAGGTTAAATCATATGAAATTACCGTTTTTGTAGGTCAAGAGTAGTAGAATATCAGCATTTTCATGTAGTGTAACCTAACATGGCACCCATTTTTAAAGCACATGTTTGTAGAGAAGCACATGTTTGTAGAGAAGCACATGTTTGTAGAGAACGCTTTGTAGAGAAGGAGCTGGAAGGAAATACAGCAAATTTATAAAGTGATTATCTCTGGATGATGATATTATGGATAATTTGAAATATTTCATCTTTACATGTCTTATGTTTTCAAATTTTCTACTATACCTTAGACTCAACCTTTGAAATAGGACAAAGTAAATTAATAAAACAGGGAACAGTTGCAAACTTTCTCTGAAAAACATTAAAATTTTTTAGAAGATTGTAAATCCTTTAAGCTAGTATAAGGACCCCTTTATACTAATATTCTTAACTCTTGTATTAATTATTGAGTGTGTTTATGCAAATGGATCATATATGCCTTTACCTACCCACCCAGCAAATTTTGATTGGATTTTAATCTGCAGTAGAAAGTGTCTTTCAAAAGAAGAGAAAAAAATCAATTTTCAAAGTTTTTAAAAAGAATTGGGTTCTTAAAAGACCGCCAACTATATGCAGGAGTCAGTTGGGTAGCCACGTTAAGCACAAAGCCCTGTTTTAGGCTGTGTGGTTTTGATTTTTAATTGTAATTTAACTGATCGATAAAACTCTGTAGATTAAAATTAGTAATTTGTGTATTTATTTTAAAATATTACTGTATTTTTTTGAAAGGAAAATGTTTCTCCCACTTTCATACACTTTAATCGTTTAATTTTAAAGAAATAGCTTAATTAAAGTAACAGCTACCATATTCTGGTTATCTGCCATACACCAGGTTTTGGGTGCTTTAATATGTTTTTTGTTTTGTTTTGTTTTTTTGAGAAGGAGTTTCACTCTTGTTGCCCAGGCTGGAGTGCAATGGTGCGATTTCGGCTCACCACAACCTCCGCCTCCCGGGTTCAAGTGATACTCCGGCCTCTGCCTCCCGAGTAGCTGGGATTACAGGCATGCACCACCACGCCCGGCTAATTTTGTATTTTTAGTAGAGACAGGGCTTCTCCGTGTTGGTCAAGCTGGTCTTGAACTCCCAACCTCAGGTTATCCGCCTGCCTCGGCCTCCCAAAGTGGTGGGATTACAGGCATGAGCCACCGCGCCTGGCCTTGGGTGCTTTAATATGTTACTTCTTTCAATCTTCACCTAGAATGTATTAATTAGATATGAGCTTTGTTTTAGCGTTGAGGAGGCACTGAAACTATTATAAGCTTTCCTGAGATCATATTAAGTGGTGGATCTAGGTTTTTACCTCAGTAATGTCTAACTTAAAGACCCATGTTCTTATCCCTGATACTGTCCTTGTTGGTCTGTCTGAAACTTTTAAGTGTTCATAACTTGGGAAACAAAACTGTTGTATAAGCCTTCCTAATTCAGACTGTCAAAGTGTAGAGCAAAGTATATAATGAGTCATTATTGCTGATTTTTATTCAACTATTTGTTACCTGTCCTTTAATCTGGTCAGTACATGTGTACTGGCATTTAACGATCGCCTGCTAATAGCTAACCTCTTGTGTAAACCACTGGAAATACTAAAACAGAGAAGCCAAAAATTACTTCCTTGGAGTTTACAGTCCTAATGAGAGAGACAGACAACAAAATAGTTACAAGGTATTTCAGAACATAGGTATGGAATAGAACCTGTTGGAACAGAAAGTTTTTAAACTAATAATGTTTGGGAGTAGTGGTGAAGAGTTACTTGGGAAGCCATCTTGGAAGAGGTGAATTTAGAAGGAGCCATAGATTTCGTTTTTGCTACCAGCCTAGGAATTTACATTTTAATACAAGAACCCCTGCCTCCAGAGTGATCTGTAATTCTACTGAAGTTTGAGAACCACCACTGTAGATTGTAGTTGATGCTACGAGAAAGCATATAATACCCTGAGGAAGCTGTGTGGAGTGGGAAATGAGAAGTTGGAAACCTCAGAGCAACAACATTGCTTTGATAAGTAGGGGAAGTTATATGATAGTTACGATTAATATATTATAAGCAATATCTTTTAGTGCCTAGAAGTAAGATTGGAAATGTCTTGAATTTTGTATAAGATCACAAAACTTACAGGAAGAATATCAAAATTCCGATTGAGGTTACTTTTTTCTGGGAGGGATGGTGAAATGTTATTCTTTACCCTACAATGTGTGATTAAGAGTGAATAAAAATCGTGTTAACCTTTTAAAGATAATGTTTAAGAAACAGGTTTAATTTTTAAAAGAAAAGTGAGCATAGGAGCAAAGTTTTGTAACATATTCTGCTTCTATATAGGAAATTAATTCCTAAATTTTGGAAATGACTAGTTGAAAGTAATAGCAGTCTATCCTCCAAAGAGAGCTTTTTAAAATTTATTTTTTAGAATCAGACCTGGGTTAACTTTTAGATATAATTTGGCATAACCAGCAAGTCATTGGTTATTCAAAAATAAAGATTGGAAATAATTGCCATATAGTCTTGGCTCTTTGCGTATTTTGTGATACTGATTGTTGCTTCCTCCTTTACTTCCATTTTATTATTAGAGCTTCATTAAGAGTGAATTGAAAAGAAAACTGAATTTTATTATTTTAAAAATCTGAATAGTTGGATTGGGGCAACTTTCTTCCTATTTATGAGACTTCACTCATTTATGTTGGTCTTATATTGACATTAAAGAATCAGTGTCATATACTGGTGAATATTAACAAAGAGACAAGATTAAGATTAAAGAAATTGAACCTTTAAGCAGGAGGCGTGTGACTAATGGAGCAAATTTCTGAAAGGCTTAGGGGTAGAGAAAATCAAAGCTACTGATGGTATTAATAGTCTTAGAAATGATGGAGATTACATTTTTCCTCTCAGAGACAGGCGACAAAGAAGGGAGGAGTAAAGAAACAAAACCTTTGAGATTGAGATATCACAAGTTGATAGGTACACAGCTCTCTGAAAGCTTCAGTCATCTCAATAAGGAGAGGAACATACTTAGCCATATAAGTTCGAGTTGCTGAATATACATTCTATGTAGGTAGGTCTGTGTAATTTTGATACGTATTTTCTGTTTATCACAGTGGAAATTGTTCTTGATCAATGTTTTTATTTCAATAAGAAAGATATATTGCCGCTTCCATCTTAAAATTTCTACATAGAAGAGACATGACGCTTAGTGAACGTTATTGAAAAAAAAAAACCGTATAAACTTAAGCAATGAAGAAAGAGAAACAGTGTTTCAGAATGTTACAGTATTGAACCTGAATTGGTAGAGAGAATAGAAAGTGGTGTGAACAGTCAGGGTCCAAATGACATTCTATATAAAGCATATAGGACATGATTTGGAGCAGGGAGTGGGATGGGGAATGCTTAGATTACATCTCTTTACTAGATGGGTGTACTTGTTCTGTGCAAGGTACCATTTTCTCCCCTTTTTTGTTAGCTCATATATCCCTTCCCAGTTTTGAAGAGTGCTCCACTGGTATTTATAACTTTAGTGATTTGACATTTCAGGATATACCTGTTTCAGAAAATCATAAGAAGTTTTAAAAATGCCTTGATGTAAAACAAAATTTCAGGTAAACTTAAATATTTTAAGTTTTTAATAATTTGTGTTACCAAAATTAAATTTTGGTTAGAGTTTGACATTCCTAAGTGATAGAATCATCTTAAACACATGTTGTCAACAGAAATTTGAATGCTGAAGTCAATTTTTGTTATTGTTATTGTTCTGCTTAGTGAAGAAATGTATCCTCTCTAACCAGGGACAGTATGTACTGCTTTCTCCTTAATACTTTGAGATTTTCATAAAGAAAATAATTTCAAAGGTGTTGTGCTGCAAGCTAAAGAGATTATTTCTAAAGGAAGAATTTGTCATTCTAATGGTTGTCATCTTCCTTGTGGCATTATTATAAAATTAAGAAACTGAAAAAAAATTTTTTTAGAAGACATAGTATATACCAGAATTTAAATTTAGTTTGGCATAAGAGGCCACATATTCTACCTATGCTATTACAGTCTGTATTTGTTATTGCCTAATTTTGACTCATTTTGAATATCTCACTCCAGTCCTTTTTATTAGTATTTCTTAAAACAAAAATGGGCAATATGTTGGATTGACTGAAAATAATTTTTAAGTGTTTAGTAGCAATAAAATTTAATCTTTTAGTGCAGATTGGTTTACCCCATAACAGCACATATGGAAGAAGTAAAGCCAGGTCTGTATGAAGCAGGAGGTGACATTGGACTTTTTTTTTTTTTTTTTTTTTGTGACGGAGTCTTGCTCTGTCACCCAGGCTGGAGTGCAGTGGCACGATCTTGGCTCACTGCAAGCTCCACCTCCTGGGTTCACACCATTCTCCTGCCTCAGCCTCCTGAGTAGCTGGGACTACAGGTGCCTGCCACCACACCTGGCTAATTTTTTTGTATTTTTTAGTAGAGACGGGGTTTCACTGGGTTAGCCAGGATGTCTCAATCTCCTGACCTCGTGATCGGCCCGCCTCAGCCTCCCGAAGTGCTGGGATTACAGGCCTGAGCCACCGTGGACTTCTTTAAATAACCATAGTACAGGCAGTTACTTTTGTTATATAACAGTATAGTTGTCTCTGAAGAAAACCTGAAGCTCTGCAAAATCGGGCCCTGAAAATCGGTTTCTGAGTGGCTTGTTCCTGTGTAAACTTGTAATCTCTGTAGTAACGAAACCAGTACCCATTCTAATAAAAATATTATATAGCTAAATATTTACCCCAGTTAGTTCTAAGTTCTAGGATTTATGCTTTCTCCTTTGAAATGTAGGTCCTCGAGAACATTCATTTCTACTTATGATGAAATTGTGAAAACTAGTAAATCTGATCCAGGGTGTAGTTTTTATCAGTTGCCTCTCACCCCTTAAAAAAAAAAATTAACGTGGGAAAAATATTGTCATGGATTTTCTATCTGTACTCACAGCTTGACCAGATGGTTTTAACATTGTGGAATGCCTAGCAGTTTAAAGCCATTAACTAGCCTCTGGTTACCCTCTTCTGGATTTCTAGTTTTTTTCTTAAGGTCATCATGTATTGCTTAAGCTCTGTCTTTGTGAGAAAGCTTGTCCCTGCTGGCTTTAAAACTTTACTATGCTGGGGAAAATTTTGGACTAAAGTGACATTCACATTATACTGACCTCATCGCCCAAATGATGAATGAATGAACTAATGTACACTACAAGAACATGTCTTAATAGGAAAGTAGACTGTTGTCTGTAGTTGTCCCATTGTTTTATCATTGCTGCTACTATATTGACATGAAGTAGCAGTGGGTGTGCATGTTTGTATATTTTTTCTGTGCTGTTAAATAAGTCCACGCACATCTCCCATGTGGGTAGGGTAGTACTGGGTGATGGAGTAGGTTTACCAGTACCATTTGTCCCTTACTTTACTTGTATAGCTTTATGTTTTAAAATAGAGTGTTTTTGTTTTTTTGAGACAGAGTCTCAGTCTGTCACCCAGGCTCGAGTGCAGTGATGTAATCTCGGCTCACTGCAACTTTTGCCTCTGGGGTTCAAGTGATTCTCGTTCCTCAGCCTCCTGAGTAGCTGAGATTACAGGTGTGTGCCACTCCTGGCTAATTTTTATGTTTTTAGTAGAGACAGTGTTTCACCATGTTGGCCAAGTTGGTCTCGAACTCCTGACCTCAAGTGATCCACCTGGCTTGGCCTCCCAAAGTGCTGAGATTACAGGCATGAGCCACCGTGCCTGGCCACTTTTTGTTAGAATTAATACTTTGAAGATACCATGGATTTGGTTCTAGACCACTACAATTAAGCAAATATCATAATAAAGTTAGTCACAAGAATTTATTGTTTCCCCAGTGCATATAAAGTTATATTTACATGGCATTGTAGCCTATTAAGTATGCAATAGCATTCTGTCTAAAAAGTGTGCATACCTTAACTAAAAAATACTTTACTATTTATTTATTTATTGAGACAGTCTTGCTCTGTTGCCCAGGCTGGAGTGCAGTGGTATGGTATTGGCTCGCTGTAACCTCCGCCTCTCAGGTTCAAGCGATTCTCTTGCCTCTGCCTTCCAAGTAGCTGGGATTACAGGCACCCGCCACCACACCCGGCTAATTTTATATTTTTAGTAGAGACCGGGTTTCACCATGTTGGCCAGGCTGGTCTTGAACTCCTGACCTCAAGTGATCTGCCCACCTCTGCCTCCCAAAGTGCTGAGATTACAAGCGTGAGCCATCGCGCCTGGCTAAAAAATACTTGATTGCTAAAAAATGCTAACAATCACCTGAGCCTTCAGGGAGTCACGATCATTTTACTGCTGTAGTCTTGCCTCAGTGTTGATGGCTGCTGACTGATAGAGTGATGTTGCTGAGGGTTGGAATGGCTGTGTCAGTTTCTTAAAATAACAATGAAGTTTGCTGCATTGATTGACTCTTCCTGTCATGAACGATTTCTCTGTAGCGTGTGATGCTGTTTGATAGCATTTTATGCAGAGTAGAACTTCTTTCAAAACTGGAGGCAATCCTTTCAAATCCTGCCGCTGGTTTATCAATTAAGTGTATGCAGTATTCTAAATTGTTTAACTTTGTCTCAGGAAACTACTTTCCTTGCTCATTCAGAAGAAACAACACCTTATCCATTCAAGTTTTATTATGAGATTGCAACAGTTTAGTCACATTGTCAAACTCCAGTTCTAATTCTAGTTCTCTTGCTATTTCTACGCGCCTGCAGTGACTTCCGCCACTGAATTTTTTTTTTTTTTGAGATGGAGTCTGGCTCTGTCTCCCAGGCTGGAGTGCAGTGGCACGATCTCAGTCAGCTCACTGCAACTTGCGCCTGCCGGGTTCAAGTGATTCTTCTGCCTCAGCCTCCTGAGTAGCCCTCCACTGAAGTCTTGAACCCCTCAAAGTCATCCACGAGGGTTGGAATCAACTTCTTCCAAACTCCTGTTGATGTTGATATTTTGACCTCCTTCTGTGAAACACAGATATTCTTAATGGTATCTGGAGTGCAGTTATCCTTCTCAAAAGGTTTTCAATTTACTTTGCCCAGATCCATCAGAGGATTCACTATGTATATATATAAAACAGCTAATGTATTTCTAAAACAAGACTGGAAAGTAGAAATGACCCTTGATTAATGGGCTGCAGAATGGGTATTGTATTATTAGGCATGAAAACAACATGAATCTCCATGTACATCTCCATCAGAGCTCTTGGGTGACCAGGTTCGTTGTCATTGAGCAATGAGTAATATTTGAAAGGAATCTTTCATTCTGAGCAGTAGGTCTCAACAGTGGGCTTAAAATGTCTAGTAAAGTCTTGCAATAAATGGATGTGCTGCCATCTAGGCTCTGTTATTCCATTTGTAGAGCACAGGGAGAGTATATTTAGCCTAATTCTTAAGAGCTCTACAGTTTTTGGAATGGTAAATGAGCACTGTTCTACCTAAAGTCAACAGCAGCATCAGCCCCTAACAAGAGAGTCAGCCTGTCCTTTAGTTTGGAAGGCAGGTATTGACTTCACCTGTCCAGCTAGAAGAGTCATGGATGGCATCTTCCAGCAGGGGGCTGTTTCATCTACAGTGAAAATCTGTTGTTTAGTGTAGCCACCTTCGTCAGTGATCTTAGTTAGCTAGACCTTTTAGGTAACTTGCTGCAGCTTCTGCATCAGCATTTGCTGCTTTACCTTGTACTTATATGTTATCAAGACAGCTTCTTTTTTTAAGCCCGTGAACCAACCTCTGCTAGCTTCCAGCTTTTCTTCTGAAGCTTTCTCACCTCTCTCAGCCTTCATAGAATTGAAGTGAGTTAGGGCCTTGCTCTGGATAAAGCTTTGGTCTAAGGAAATGTTATGGTTGATTTGACCTTTTATTCAGATCACTCAAAACTTTTTCCATATCAACAATAAGGCTATTTCACTTTCTTATCATTTATGTGTTCACTGGAGTAGCACTTTTAATTTCCTTCAAGAACTTTTCTTTTGCATTTCTAGCTTTTGATTTAAAGTGAGACTCTTCCTTTTTGCCTGAATGCTTAGAGGCCATTTTAGGATTATTAATTGGCCTAATTTTAATATTGTTTTGTCTTAGGGGATAGGGAGGCCTAAGGAGAGGGACAAAGATGGGGGAATGGCTGGTTGGTGTAGTAGTCAGAATACACAACATTTTTGCCGTCTTCCATGGGTGCGGTTTGTGGCACCCCAAAACAATTACAGTAGTAACATGAAAGATCACTGATCATTGATCATCATAATAGATACAATAATAATGAAAAAGTTTGAAATACTGCAAGAATTACCAAAATGTGATACAGAGACATGAAGTTACCACATGCTTTTGAAAAAATTGTGCTGATAGACTTGCTCAACATAGGATTGCCACAAACTTCCAATTTTTAAAAAAATATACTATTTGTGAAGTGCAGTAAACTGCAGTCCAGTAAAATGAGGTATGCCTGTAAAACAAACCCGCAGAAAAAAAATCGTCTACTCAGAAGAGCACTGACAAGTATCATTGAATTATTATATCTACAACTTGCTAATCAAGCTAATGTAGTGTGAGTTGTAGATACAACCATTTTAATGCAGGGGTTCCTGAGATCTGAAAATTATTTTAAGTGTGCCTCCAGTGTAGAAAGATTGAGAAAGGTTGAAAGTGAAGATCAATAATGGGATGAACTGGAAATATGCCTACCTGATAATACAAAGCAATGAGAGAAACATAGTATCACTTCCGTCATATTCCTGCCTGCGATGCATAATGTGAATCCAAAATTAGACAAACCAAAATTAAGGGCCGTTATACAAAATGAATGGCTTATAATCTTTCAAAGTTGTTAAAGGAATGAAAATAAAGAAAGGATCAAGGAAGTATTTCAGATACAAAACTCAAATGGGTTCTGAGGAATAGACAGTCTGATATGTCAGTGCCATTTTCCTTACTTTAACATTTATATTGTGATTATGAAGAAGTATGTCCTTTTTATAAGAAATGCATACTTACGTGTTTGGTAGGGGATGGTGCATCATGTTGGAAACCCCTCCCCTCCCCTCCCCTCCCCTCCCCTCCCCTCCCCAGGCCTCTCGTTAGTAGTTTCCAAACCTTTTGCATGCTGAACCCATTGCTCAAATGAAGGCAGAATATTAAACATGTAAAGGAAGAGCTTGTGTGTGGGGGGGGGGGAGCGGGGGGAAAGGAGGTTGGGGGAACAGAGAATTAGGAACCCCTGAGTGACTACAGAACTTCTGAAAACCACTGTTCTGTAGGATAAAATCTAAACTCTGAAGCACATTATACAAACCTCTATCTATACACATCAGTTTGTCTGAAATTGTATATTTCTCAACAATATTGATCTATTTGTATTTCAATATGTTGTATGCTCTCATATGTCTGTATCTTTGCAAATGATATTTTCTTCTCTTTAACGATTTTTGTCTTACCCTGCTGGTAAGGAAGTCACCTTCCCTCTCCCTTCTGTATATCCTTGTCAAGGAACTATGGAAATTGAATGGCATAGGTCTTGATACAAGAACCTCTCTTTTCTCTTTATAAAAAAGTCAGTAAATAGTGGTGGAACATTCAGGAGAAAGTTGGGGACATAGAGACTAAGAAGGCAATGCAGTATTATTAGGACAGGGGGTAAACTAAGGCATAGAGGACAGATTTGATGAACATATTATCTTTTTTATATACATTATAAGAAGTAGAAGGCTAGAAAAGTGAACATGCTTGCTATTGCACGTCTCACTTTCCAATTTCATGAAGAAAGCAAAAACTACTTCTACTTTATTACTTCTTTTTGATGTTAATTGGTACCACATAGCAAGTTTGCATTATAGTACTGAGCTTTAAAATGCAAGGATATACTCATGTATATACACAGACAATAAATAATAGGTTCTTTTCCACATTCAGGAAGTGAAACTCAGCTGTCCGTACGACACTTACTGTCCATATATAGGCATCCCTCAGTATCTGCAGGGGATTGGTTCCAGGACCCTCACACCAAAATCTAGGTATACTAGTCCTGCAGAACCAACATATATGCAAAGTTGGTCCTCTGTATACTTGGGTTTCTATATCCCATTAATGTGGAGAATACTTTTGATATGTGGATATGGAGAGCTGACTGTATTTATTGAAAAAAAATCCACGTATAAGTGCACCTGTGCTGTTCAAACTCATGTTGTTTGAGGGACAACTGTATTCTGTTACTTCCTATAGTTTCTAAAAGCATTAACCAACAAATACATGTAAGATGCGTGGAATAATTTTTCCATTTCCTAGAAAATAGTCAATCATTTTTTTTTCAGATTGTGAACTAGAAAGCATAGTGAATATAGATTTTTAAACATGAAAATGTAAGTGTCCATTTTAAATTGTTATGGATATTTCTGTTTGCTGAAGTTCAAGACTGAAGACTACTGGAAAAAATCCTGTGACTGAGAGCACATAGATTCCTTCTTTTTAGGTAGAGCGCAACAGTCACCATGACTTCAGTGTTTGCATATGGAAGCTAAAATCTGTCTGAGAAAGGGCAAACAATCACAGGAGTCATTGATTTATTTATTTGTTCATTTTTAATGCAAATTTTAATTGAGTGAAAAAGTGGTGGAAAAAACAGTTGACTAAAGAAGATATGAGAAGGGTTAATACATGAAGAAGTCCTCAATAATATTAGCCACCATGGAGATGCAGATTAAAACCACAATGCCATACTACTTTCCATCCACAAGAATAGCTAAAATTAAAAGAAGTCAGTCACCACTGAATGTTGGTGAAAATAGGAAGCAGCTGAAACTCTCTTACATGGCTGGTGGAAGTGTAAAATGGTACCATTCCTGTGGAAAACTAATTGACAGTTTCTTAGAAAAAACACTCACCCTATGAGCAAGCACTCCTAGTTATTTACCCAGGAGAAATGTCCACAAATAGGCTGGCACAAGAATGCTTATAGCAGCTTTATTCAGAATGACCAAAAACTGAAAACAACTCCCCAACATTCATCAAGAGAAGTGATAAATAAATTGAGGTATATTCATACAATAGAAAGTACACAGGGACAGAAAAGAATGGATTTCTGATACATGCGACAACACGAATATCAAAAACAGTATGCTGAATTAAGGAAAAAGACAACAAAAGTAATGCAGCATGAGTCATATAAACATCATATAAAAATGATGTTTCAAAATCCACAAAACTAATCTGCACTGATGGAACAGTAGTTATCTAAATGTGCTAAGGAGTGATTAGAATGGGAATGGGACATGAGAAAAGAGGGAACTTTATGGAGTGATGAAAATATTCAATACCTTTTTCTTTTTGAGACAGTGTCTCGCTCTGTTTCCCAGGCTGGAGTGCAGTGTCGCGATCTCGTCTCACTGCAACCTGTGCCTCCCAGGTTCAAGTGATTCTCCTGCCTCAGCCTCTTTAGTAGCTGGGACTGCAGGCTTGTGCCGCCATACCCGGCTAATTTTTTTTTTGTGTTTTTAGTAGAGATGGGGGTTCACTATGTTGGTCAGGCTGGTCTTGAACTCCTGACCTCAAATGATCCACCTGCCTTGGCCCCCCAAAGTGCTGGGATTGCAGGCATGAGCCACCGCACCTGGCTGAAATATTCTGTGTCTTGATTAAGGTGTTGTATATATAGATATATATGTTTTTCAAAACTCACTGCGCTTTCTACTTTATATAAAAAGTACCTCAATTAAATTACATATTAATTGAAGGCAAATTAAAAACATCTCTGTCTGTAACTCTCCTACTGTGAGTCTGTTCCATGTTGAAGAATGCTCTTGTCTTCTTTTCTTTGCTCTTCTTGGTTGGGACTTCCCTGTTCTAATATCAGGTATGCTCACGTTAGAAAGCTAGGACAGAGGCCTAGAATACTGATTTTTTTCCATTTCAACAGGCAAGGTGACAGTTTTCCTAGAGTTCACAACTCTTGGTATTCCAAGTCAGCACATAGTTCACGGTGAAACATTCTCTAGGAGGTAGAGAGAATT
This sequence comes from Homo sapiens, assembly GCF_000001405.40. Taxonomy (NCBI): domain Eukaryota; kingdom Metazoa; phylum Chordata; class Mammalia; order Primates; family Hominidae; genus Homo; species Homo sapiens. The sequence continues at coordinate 152,432,130 of NC_000004.12, read as the reverse complement.
GTGACCGAAGAATATGATAGGACCAAATAAGTAGCTATACTAGAAGGAAGCACATTTGAGACCACTACCCTAAACAGCCAATGACTACAGAACCAGAGAAAACCAGAATCTGCCAAATTTCAGAAATAACTCAGCATCTTTACAGGGAGCCTCTACACAATCACAATGAGACTCTGAAGAGTAGCAAGTACTGATTCAAATCCTTTTAGCTGTGGACTCCACTCTGCCTCACAATCATTTTAGAAGAGGGTTTTGAGCTTTAGAATAAGCCCACCACTGTATAAAACTAGTGAGTCTGTTTTTTAAGGTAGGATTCCCATCTTAGTAATCATAATTTTGGCATGGCAATTATTAAATATGAACCACAAGGAGAAAAAAATGTCCTCTTGTTATTACTTTTTAAATTAGGCATTTTAATTTCATTTACTACTGCTTGATACTCTCTTCTCTGGGTTCCTGGGAGGTTTCATTTGGTAAGTATTGTTCAGTAAAAATTATGGGACACCATTGTTTTGGACTGTGCTCCTGCCCTAGGCCCCAGTGGACCAGATCAAACTAAAATGTAGTCATTCATGTTAACTGCCACATAATCAAATAGAAACTTCCAGGAAGCAGACAGATCCCAAAGCAGACCATTTTTTTCCCTGAGAACAGGAGATTCCAGTCTAGCTGAATCCCCTGTGCTTTAAACCCTTAGAAAAAGTAAACTGAAGTAACCTGATATTAACAAATCAGCTTTTTTTTCCTGTTCTGTTTCCTTGTTCCCACCTTACAAAACCCACTGTTGTGCTGTTGCTCAGTAGGACCTCTCATTCTACCTTGCAGAATGGGGGCTGCCCTGATTCATGAAATGCAAATAAATGCCAGTTAGATCTGTAACTAAACTGTTGTAATTTTGTCTTTTGACAGAATGCAGTTAAAACTCAGGTATATCCACACTGCTTTTATTTCGTCTCCTTCCCATTTCAGAAACTCCTGTCTAGATTTCTTTTCTTGCTCTCTAAGGCAAACAATTACCACAGTTAGATGAATATGCCTGGCAATCGCTATTGACAGATAGACTCTCAGAAACACTCGTTCCATTTTCCTTTTCAAATTCTTGGCAGGAAGACTGGGTGGATATATTGAAGGAGGTACTGTTTGATTGTACTGCACACAGTGTGGTTTCAAAAATGTGTATTTGAATTGGAAAAGAGAAATATATGTCAGGCACTGGGGATACAATACTGACCAAAGGTATATACCCTGAATCCAAAAATAAATATAATGTAGTTGCTGTAAACATATTAATTTTAAAGATTGTCAGAAGAATATCCATCTTAGTTAGACCTTTGCAAGATATATAGATAAGAAAATTTCTGAAAGTTACATAACTAAAATAGAAACCAGTCAAAATGAACTTCATTCTACCCTGGTTTCTTCCCTCTAATGTTCTTATCTGTCAATACTGTGACTGAAAAAGCCAAACCTACCACCACCACCACCACTGACAAAATCCAAAAAACTACAGATATCTACAACATTAATTCTAACACCAAGTAACATTATAACCCACTTAAAACTGTTCTTTTTTCTTTCTTTTTTTAGTACAGACAGAACTTTTTTTTTTTTAATGGTAAGAAATATCATGATTTTCTTATAAAGACCTTCTGTATGTACAAATAAAGCTATACTATCATAGTGGATAAATCAGTAAACAATATCTTATGTAATCTGTAATTTTTCACACAAGAAATTTAAAAAGTTTTTCAGGTTATAGAACAGTATTTCTGGACACACCTAACAAGGCAGTAGCTGACATTCTCAAACTTCAAAACACCCTCACTTTCAATACAAATAATGCTGTGTTGTACATTTAACCTAAAACTAAGAGAAAGCATTGTTGGTTGGCCACAACTTGAATTTCTTATTACAATGAGGACTGCTTCAGGATTTTACCACTAAACTCAGCCGTTCAGAGAACTAGGAAGATAGTAACCATGGTCACTGTTCTTCAAAAGCACTGATTTCAGATTTGTTGAAGGGATATTTCTTAGATCTTCAAGTTTCTGAAAAGGTTTCCTTCATTCTGGTTTTCTGGATTTCCTTGTCATTCTGAAGTTATTCCTCTTGCACAGGCAAAATTAGAGTACTCATTCAATAACAACAACAACAACAACAACAAAGCCATAAAATATGCCTTCTTTTTTCTACAACACCAATTTAGCTACTCAAGATACAGAACTAAAATATTAGCAGAAAATCTTGTAGGTATGAAGCCAGTTATGTATTCACATTAGTAAAGATGATTCCACTGCATTCATTTAATCAGCAAACATTTACAGAATGCCTACTACATACCAACAATATATTAGTGACTGCATATTCATTTAATCCCGAACTCTGAAATCATTATTCCTGGTTTACAAAATAGGAAACAGGCTTGGATTAAGGTTGCTTGCCCAAAGATTTATAGTTAGTAAGATTCACTACCAAGTTTGAAACTCAGATATGTCTGAGCCAAAATTTCTGCTCCTTCCACTAAGCCAAGCTGTCTTCCAGCATGGCTTCCAGCATACTTAGTATCTTGCTGTATCAAGAGAAAACAAGGTACAGGTGACAGTGACGTGATGCCATTATGACTATCTCTTTTTATATAAAAAGACCCTTGTTGAGATAACTACAACTCTCTCTTTCTCAGACCTCCTACACATTGCTTTTCCTTCAATCATCAGGGTCATGAGCCTTCTCCCCTCTCCTCCCCCGCCGCCCCCCACCACCCAACTTCCCCCTAACAAAGTAAAAGAAATCAAATGAGATTTGATTAAAGTGTTTTGTCTAGACTGCTTCAGGACTAAAGGGTCTTGGTAATTTGTACCAGCACCTCACTTCTTCCCCACGCCCAAAAACTCACGTACACAGTTTGATTGTTCTTGCTTTCTAAAGTGTTCTCTTTTTTTTGAGATGGAGTTTCGCTCTTGTTGCCCATGCTGGAGTGCAATGACCCGATCTCGGCTCAACACAACCTCCGCCTCCCAGGTTCAAGTGATTCTCCTGCCTCGGCCTCCCAAGTAGCTGGGATTATAGGCATGTGTCACCATGCCCAGCTAATTTTTGTATTTTTAGTAGAGACGGAGTTTCTCCATGTTGGTTAGGCTGGTCTCAAACTCCCTACCTCAGGTGATCCACCCGCCTTGGCCTCCCAAAGTGCTGGGATTACAGGCATGAGCCCGGCCAAAGTGTTCTGAAAGCTATGTGTGAATCTGTTAAGTACAATCTATACTTACATTTGATTATAAATATTTTGACGATCTGAATTGGTAAGATTTTAGGCAAAACAACAAAATCAAATCCCGTGGACTCTGACCCAAAGAATATATTCAGCTTTGTTTGAATATATTTCATCTTGCTTCCTTACCAATTCTCAACACAACTCCAGAATAACTGTTATTAACTCTTATTGAATCTTATTTTGTACTAAGCCTTGTTAAATGTTTTACCTATGAATTGTGATTTCATTGTTACAGCAAACCTATGATATAGATGCTATATAACAGATGAAGAAATGAGGTTCAGAACCTGTGCTACGCTGCCTCGCAGGCACAATCCATCTGATAAAAGTAGTCCCTTGAATCTCTCTTTCTGAATTCCAGTCCCAGGACAGTGGAAATACACAGTATTGTGGTCAAAGATAAACCATTCTTGGCTCCAGGTGAGCTAATGGTTTTAGATAAGAATAAAGAATATTTATTAGAAATAAAAAATTTTGTAAGTATAAAATTAGACTAGGAAAAAGCTCCCGGTTGAATTTTATATTTATAAAATCCTTTACTGAAGTTGAAATCTTCTCCTTGAAATTTCTGCTTGGTATGGCCTCTCTGTTTGCCTCACAAGTGAAATTTAATCCTAATGTTACCTTATTTTCCAAGCATAACCACACCAGTAGGCTGCTTTGTCATGAGTTTAGTATGGTGTCAGTAGAAACGAGACCAGCAGTCATTAGGGTTACCTAATTCAAATCTTGACTCATTTTGGGTACTTCCTACAAGATTAGAATAATTATCTTCCAAACCAAAAACATACCCAAGGTTCCATGGGAAAGGGTGTAGCTTCAACTCTTTTTAGGTGGCAAGAAAATCATTCTCTAACCTCTCAAAGGTCAGGAATAGGGTCGATGGTCCTTAAAATTTGGTCTGGGGACCACTGGTTGCTGAACCTTTTGCAGGAGGTCTGAAAGGTCAGACCTGTTTTCACAATACATGTTAAGAAGTTAATGGCTTTTTTGTTGTCATTCTTTTCCAAGTGTATTTGATTATACAACTTGGGATGATGTTCCTCTGATAGTTAATGCAATTATACTTATGTTTTAAAAGTTTGTTAGTTTTGATTTCTAATACAGTAAGTCTCAACAGATAGAACTCACATAACAAAACACTTTTGGGAGTCCTTCATAATTTTTAAGAGTGTAAAGGAGGTTCTAAGACCAAAAGGTGTGGAAACTGCTCTTCTAGGTTTCAGAATTATGAAGCATACAAAGACTCTTCATCTGGAAGGGTTTAGAGGTAATTTTATCTAATCCCCTTATTTTACAGGTTTAGAAACTGATTCTAGACATTTAAGTTCCCAGACTAATGTCACAGAAGCTAATGAATTGCAGAGGTTAATTGGAAGCCTGGTCTTAACACTCCCAGGTTATCTTAATGAGTTCATGAGGATGGCATATGGATAATGCACTTCAAAGGGTGTTGTAAGTATTAACTAAGTTAATACAGGTCAAATGCATATATTAGCACTCAATGCACGGCCATTGATCAATAAATGCTAGTGGTTCTGATCAGTGAGAATCTAACCTCTGCTTAAATACCTTTAGTCATCAGCAGCTTCCACTCCCTGAGTAACATGTTGCATTTCTTGATCAATTATATTTTTACAGAATTCTTCCTTTACTGAAGTTGAAATCGTCTCCTTGAAATTTCTACTTGGTATGGCCTCTCTGTTTGCTACACAAATAAATTTAATCCTAATTTTATCTAGCTTATTTTCCAAGCATAACCACACCAATTTCATTAAATGATTCCTCATGTGGCATGACTTTAAACTCCGTCACCATCCTATTTGTTTTTCTCAAAGAGCTCCAGTTGACTGCTCCTGTGAAATTGTCCATCTATTAATGTAAATGTTTTTTCTAATTTTACAGAGCTCCCCGTTGTATTGTGTACAGTGTTAAAATAGTTTTCTGAGATTTCTTGACTCTGTTTTCCCAAGTTTCTTGTGGCCCTTCTCTTTCCTTCGTCTCTATTCTGTGCGGTTTTTATTTCACTCCCACAGTTTCTCATTGCTGTGAGGCCCTGTTATGGAATGAGAGCCCTGGTTTTGAAAGTTCACAGAGGCTAGACTTCTCTTGTCCCTGTAGTCCTGGCTGAGGGCCCACTACACTTGTCTGTTATCCGAGTGGGCAAACGACCTACCCGTTTTCATCTGCTGGGCGGCCGGTTATTTGGGGGGATCCCCCTGTTACAGGTCTGATCTCTGTTGCTTCCTTTGGGAGGCCGAGGCGGGCGGATCACCAGGTCAGGAGTTTGAGACCAGCCTGACCAATATGGTGACACTCCTGTCTCTACTAAAAATGCAAAAACTAGCTGGGCATGGTGACGTGCGCCTGTAGTCCCAGCTACTCTGGAGGCTGAGGCAGAAGAATCGCTTGAACCCGGGAGGCGGAGGCTACAGTGAGTCGAGATTGTGCCACTGCACTCCAGCCTGGGCAACAGAGCGAGACTGTTTAAAAAAAAAAAAAAAAAGTTTGTAGCCATTATCTCTGGAAATATTTACTCTTCCTCATTCTTCTGCTTATCTCTTTCTGGAACTCCAACTAGATATATACTAGACCTTTGATTCTATTTTTCCACACCTCTTAACCTGTCTAGCTTATTTAGTCATACATCTCTCAAGCTGCATTCTTCCTTGGAGCTTTATCTGTAGGAATTCTTTGAGCCTTGATTGAGTTTATATTGCTTCAGAGAAAACTAAGGTTTGCTTCAGCTAGTTGCCCAGGAACATTACCACCTGGTTACCACTTTTAATTAAGGTCACTGCTTGAGGATTTCAGAGCGACACAGAGCCCTGTATGAGGGCCTGTTTATGGTTATAAATTCTTGGGGTGTAGGCAGGGGTGGGGATCCTGCTTCTTTACCTGGAGCTAAAACTGAGACAGAAAAATCCCTGACTGTCCATTTTTGTGTGGTGGGTTTATTTTCTGTTCACCCTGAACAATGATAGGTGTTCACCTTGTAGAGCTCCCCGCTTTATGTGGGGGTTTCCTATTAGAGAACTATCATATGTGGCCTGTTGGCTTATTTTCTTGCCTTCAGCACCTGTGCCAGTACATAAGTTAGAAACCCAAGGTTTCCAGGTTTCGAAAAACTCTCAGGGCAAAAGTTCGTTTTAGCCTATGCTTAGCTCCCAGGGTCCTTTGTACTTGGCCATATGGATTTCTTTTTTTTTTTTTCTTCATGTCAACACTGTGGTTATATTTATCTGTCTAACCTACTCTTTTAATTTTTGTTTTATCTGGTATTTTAATTGTTTCATTTGAGAAAGTTTTTCATAGTATCTGTTTGGTAGTTGGCCATTCTACTAGGAGTTTAGGAGTTATACTTAACTCCTTCCAGGGAGATGTTGGAAGATTTTTACTAAAAATACAATATTTAAGGTGGGTATTGAAGTACTATCAGAGGGGACCTGGGGTGGAGTATGAAAACAAAACAAAACCTTACAAACGGGAATAATTAAGAGTTAGGATATGTGAGATGTTTGGTTTTGCTGGGCTTAAAATAGAATTGTGGGGTATGGAATTGCTGCAAATGAGGAAGATGGACTCAGAGATGAGGCTCAAGAGAGGCCACATGCAACTTTTGAGAGTCTTTGTGTGTCACAGTAAGGAAGATGAACTTGTGAAATCACCAAAGGGTGGAATATATAAGGAGGAAGCTGACACTGTCATATCTATGCCTTAGGATGTTTATTTTGGCAGCAGTGAAAACAAATCAGGTAGACAAGAGTGGAGCATTGCTCTTCAAAATTTAGTCATTGACTGGCAGTAATGGCATCATCTGGGAGCTTGTTAGAAATGCAGAATCTCGGGTCCTATTTCAGATTTACCAACTCAGAATCTGCATTTTAACAAGACTCCTAAGTGTTTCATATGCATAGTCAGTTGATGTCTCAACCAGTGACCTGCAGAGCCAGTGATCTGCAAAGCAAGTGAACGTTAGCTTTATTTTAAATTTCAAGAAAGAAGTCTTAATTTGCCTAGAGTACATATCATTTGATGTTCACAGTGTCACTTTATTTGCCTAATAACTAGCTGACTCTAGATCCTTAGCAGCATTAGATTTAGTATTTGAGGTTTTGACCCTATGTACCTTTGATAAGTAGTGATTTGTAACTTATGAATTAAATTTGAATTCCTTAACATGTTGCTAGTTACAAAACTCTAGTGTCTCTAGCAGACTATTAAGAAATTGAGCAGGTTTCGTTCTCCATTCACTGTTAACACATGCGGTAACTCACCAGGCGCTTAAAACAAGTGGGCTGTGGTGCAGGGTACTTCTTGTTTAGTGACAGAAATGAAAAGATCTAAGAATATGATGGTTTTAAATAAATATGATAAGAGATGAAGAGAGTTTTAAGTAATAGAACTATTCTAAGTTTTGGATGTTTGGTTTAGTGTCTCTAGCTATATTTCTGTTTAATGTCAAGGCATAATATATTCGAACCATTTTATTTATTAAATTTAATAAACATTGATTGTCCTATTAGTCAAAGTTTCAGAAAAATGCAAAAAGTCTTGTTCTCAAAGGAATGCTCCCTGGACCATGCACATCAAAGTCGTGGGTGGCTGCTTGTGGGGGTAGAAAATATTAAAAATGCAGAAACTGGGCCCTACTGCCGAATCCCAATGTACATTTTAAAATAAGCAGCTTCCTGGCCAGGTACGGTGGCTTTCACCTGTAATCCCAGTATTTTGGGAGGCTGAGGCAGGAGGATCACTTGAACTCAGGAGTTCAAGCCTGGGCAACATAGTGGGACCCCCATCTCTGCAAAAAATGGAAAAAAAGTAAAAGCATCTCCCAAGGAATTCTGCCAGCAGGAAAGTTGTGTTTTCCCCCCTCAAATCTGGAAACCATAATTGTTCACTTTTTGACCTTTTACTGGAATACAGCATACTCTGAGAAAAGTAACAACACTCAAATAAAAAAATAGAACATTCTATTCCAGAACCTCCTCTAGTGACTCCTTCTAGAAAGCAGTCTAGCACCCCACCCCTCCAAACACAAACATAACCACCATAGTGACTTTTAACACCATAGATTAGTTTTTCCTTTTTTGAACTCTTTAAAGTGGAATAATACAATTTATACTCTGTCTGTTTTGTGTTGTTTTTGCTTAGCATTATGTCTGTAAAATTTGTCTATATTGTTAGCTGCAGTTTGTCATTCTCATTCTCATTGCTGTGTGGTTCTCTGTTGTTTAAAAGTACCAGTGGTAAAATTATCATTTATGTGGTTTATCTCTGATGGACATTAGAGGTATGGTGGTACCACTGATAGGCACCAAAATCAAGTTTAATAACCACTGTTGTATATTATTTGGGAAAATGTGTACTCTTGACATGTTTGGCAAATTTTTATTTCTCCAATCTAAAATTTAGAAAATTATAATTTTAAAATTATCAATAAAAATTTACAAAGTTTTTACTGTCAAATATTATCTAATAGCTCAACTAGCTCATGCTAGAGTAATACAGCCATGTAATACAGCATTACCAACTTTTCTAAGTGGTCTATAGCACTGAGGAATTAAATAGCAAATAAGGGAAGCATTTCTTCATGAAATCATTTCTTTTAATAAATTAAAAAGAAATGAGAGTATTAGAATACCACCATTTTGCCACCTTCAGTGTATTAATGGATGGAGGCAATGAATATCAACAGCTGCTAAAATCATAAGAAGGAAACCAGATGCTAGATGACACATAATGAAGTAACACATTATTAGACAAAGGAACAAACCAAGTTCAATAAAGCCTCTGGATCCAGCTTCCAATTTGCCACAAATAAAGAGACCAGATGAATATGCTGAATTGCATTATGTGTAAATAATCAGTCAAATCTACACTACGAAAAGTCAGATCAAACATAAATTTTAAGAAAAAGAAAAGAATGGAAAATAAACCTGTAGATTAAAAGAGACTGAATAGAAGTAGCAACTCTTCTTAAAAATGGTCAAGATTAAATAATAGTTATCTAGGGAGGCTTACTTAGCTGATAAAGTGATAAATACAGGATGTAATTAAGAATAATTTAAAAGAAGTGAGTTACTTAGAGGAAGGGAAGGGGCTATGACTGAATCAGCACTTGGAGGAGCTTCTGGGCTCGCTGGCAAATTGCTGTGTGGTGGTCACAAGAATGTATTCTCTTAATATGCTAAGGTATAAAGTTTTTGTATAGTTTTCTGTATCTGTATTTTATTTTACTCTAAAGGAAGTAGTTTTTTAAAAAAGATTATAGATTTGCTAATCTAATATAAACTCCCCTAGAGCTTCATCAGTAATAGTCTAGTGTCATCTGGATTATCTTCAGCAATCATTTTCATTCTAAATTGTCATAGTGTCATCTCAAAGCAGAAAGAGACAGAGAGTTTGACAAAGTGTCTTAAAATGCCTGATGTCTGTCTTAATGATTCTAATAGAAACTCTTCAGTACAATACTCAGACTTACTGCGCTTACAACTACATAATGGCTTATAAATTTGGGAAACTCAACAGATTTGGGAATACAACACATATCTTGAAGCCAGTTAATTTACTTTTTACATACCTCTTCACTATTCCACTACCAGTGTGCAACTGGTAATTCAGTTGAATTCATAAAGAATTCACTGAGTTTTTCTGAATTTCTTCTGATTTCAAGAGGCTAGAAGAACTCAGATTATAAAGCATCAGGTTATCACTTTTACTATATAGGCACACCATGGTTTATTGCACTTTGCTTCTGATTTTTTTTTTAAACAAATTGAAGGGTTGGAGCAATCCTGTGTTGAGCAAGTCTCTTGGTGCCATTTTCCAGCAGCTCACTGTGTGTCTCTGTGTCCCATTTTGGTAATTCTGGCAATATTTCAATCTTTTTCATTATTATTATACCTATTATGGTTATCTATGATCAGCGATCTCTTTTATGTTACTATCATAATTGTTTGGGGATGCCATGAACCACACCCATAGAAGAATAAAAGATGGCAAACTTAATAAATGTTGTATGTATTCTGACCACTCCACCAACCAGCTGTTCCCATCTCTCTTTTCTCAGGCCTTTTTATTCCCTGAGACACAACATTGAAATTTTGCCAATTAATAACCCTACAGTGGCTTCTAAGTGTTCAAGTGAAAAGAAGAGTTGCATGTCTCTCATTTTAAATCAAAAGCTAGAAATGATTAGTGAAGAAGGCATGTTGAAAGCAGAGACAGGGCAAAAGCTAGGCCTTTTGTGCCAAACATCCAAGTTGTGAGTACAGAGGAAAAGTTCCTTTCTTTTTTTCACTTTTTCGTATGTTTAAAAAGTAGAGACAGGGTCTCGCTATGTTGATCAGGCTGTTCTTGAACTCCTGACCTCAAGCAGTCCTCCCACCTCGGCTTCCTCAAGTGCTGGGATTATAAGCATGAGCCACTACACCCAGCTGAAAAGTTCTTGAAGGAAATTAAAAGTGCTACTCTGGTGAACACATGAATTATAAGCAAAACAGCCTTATTGCTGATATGGAGAAAGTTTTAGTGTCTGGATAGAAGATCAAATCAACCATAACATTCCCTTAAACAAAAGCCTAATCCAGAGCAAGGCCCGAACTTACTTCAATTCTATGAAGGGTAAGAGGGGAGGAAGCTTCAGAAGAAAAGTTGGAAGCTAGCAGTTTGGTTCCTGAGGTTTAAGGAAATAAGCTGTCTCGATAACATGTAAGTACAAGGTAAAGTAGCAAGTGCTGATGGAGAAGCTGCTGCAGCATGTTATCTAGAATGTCTAGCTAAGATCACTGATGAAGGTGGCTACCCTAAAAGATTTTCAATGTAGATGAAACAGCACTCTATTGGAAGATGCCATCTAAGACTTTTCTAGCTGGATAGGGGAAGTCAGTACCTGGCTTCAAAACATCAAAGGACAGGCTGACTCTCTTGTTAGGGGCTAATGCTGCTGGTGACCTCAAGTGGAAGCCAGTGCTCATTGGTCATTCCGAAAATCACAGGGTCCTAAGAATTATGCTAAATCTACTCTGCCCATGCTCTGTAAATGGAACAGAGCCTGGATGACAGCACAGTTTGCTAGATATGTTAAGCCCACTCTTGAGTCCTACTGCTCTCAGTGAAAGATTCCTTTCAAAATATTACTGCTCACTGACAATGCACCTGGTAACCCAAGAACTCTGATGGAGATGTACAAGGAGATTCCTATTTTTTCATGCTTGATAAACATAATAACATCTATTGTGTAGCCCGTGGATCAAGGAGTCATTTCTACTTTCAAGTTTTATTATTTAAAAAATATATTTCTTAAGGCTGTAGCTGCCGCAGTGATTCCTGTGATGAATCTGGGCAAAGTAAACCAAAAACCTTCTGGGAAGGATTCACCATTCTAAGTACCATTGAGAACATTCGTGATTTATGGGAGGGGGTCAAAATATCAGCATTAATAAGAGTTGGGAAGAAATTGATTCTACCCCCATGGGCAACTTTGAAGGGCTCAAGACTACAGTGGAGGAAGTCACTGCAGTTGTGGTAGAAATAGCAAGAGAAGTAGAAGTAGAACTTGACACAGCGTGACAATTGCTGAAATCTCAAGATAAAATTTGAATGGCTGAGGTGTTGCTTTTTATTGATGAGCAAAGAAAGCTGTTTCTTGAGATGGAACCTACTCCTAGTGAAGAGGCTTTGAAAATTGTTGAAATATCAACAAAGGACTTAGAATATTACATAAAATTAGTTGACAAATTGATAAAGCAGCGGTGGTTTGGGAGGATTGCCTCCAATCTTGAAAGAAGATCTACAGTTAGGTAAAATGCTGTCACATAGCCTAGTGTCTTTCATGAAAGGAAGAGTCAATTGATGTGGCTAACTTTATTGTTGTCTTATTTTAAGAAATTGCCACAGCCATACTGATTAGTCAGCAGCCATCAATATCAAGATAAGACCCCCCACCGGCAAAAAAATTGGACTCACTGAAGTCTCAGTTGATCATTAGCATTTTTTTAAGCAGTATAGTCCTTTTAAATTAAGGTATGTACATTTTTTTTACACATAATGCTATTACACACTTAATAGTAGTGTAAATATAACTTTTATTGCACTGGGAAACCAAAACATTTTTTGTGACCTGCTGTATTGCAATATTACCTTTATTGCAGTGGTCTGGAATTGAACCTGCAGTTTTCTGAGGTGTAAGTATTGGTGAAATCATTAACCTCCTCCTCTGTGTGTGTGGTTTCTTCAACTCACAAAGGATAGCAGCCCCAGTGAAAGTCGTTACAGAAGGCAGATAAACTCCATTTTTTTTAAGACTTTGCCACTCTGTGTGTGTGTGTGTGTGTGTGTGTGTGTGTGTGTGTGTGTGTTTACCTTATCCTAGTGGGCCTTACCACACATTTCTATTATGTGAGATCCAAAAGTGATGTGGTATACACAAGAGTAATTTTCACCCCATTCTTAAAACTGAAAATGATGTTTAAATCACTTTTTCTTGGGGGAAAATTCAACCCCGTGGTAATTAAGCTTCACTTTTCCTGAAATTAATCTTTTTATAAATTTTATAAACTTATAAGAAATGTAATACATTTTGCTTAAGTAACTAGCATAAGCCAAAATGGCACTTCATTTTTCTTAGGCTCAGCAGATTTAATTTAATAAAGATTATAAATTGATTTTAATTAATGATGTTTACGAAATGAAAATTAATTGACAGTGTTGAATAGTAAAGCTGCTAAAACCATAAGCCAAAGCAATATGAATAAAAGTATAATTTAGACACAATTTTAAACCAGATTTTGAAAAACTTTACTCGGTGATATGGTCAGGCTCAATTGTATGCCTGCTAGTTAGATTACTTCTTGTATAGGCTGATATATGCATAAAATTATTATTTTTGAATTTTAAATAAAATTATATTTATCTCTTTAATGTGAATTTACCTCTTTAATGTAAAAATTATATTTGTTTTTTGTCCTTGTTTCTTACTGCACATATCAATTCCAGGTCAAGCATGAGATAAGCAAATCATGTTAATTTCATTTTCAACTGAAATAAGACTATTTCTGAGCTTATTCTTGTTTGCTGAATAAAAAAAGATTGTTCATATGTGCGAGAAATTGCTGCAGCATAATGTTCACTGTTTTTCTGTGAGTAGCAGGATAATCTTTTCTTCATAGAAATCTACATCTTGTCTGGGAAAGATTAGTAAAACTCATCTTTAATGTATGATAAAACTGCAGATCTTTTTCCTTTTTTCTCAAGTCAAATTTTCACAGTCAGAACATTCAGAAACAGGATCCCTTTTCCAGTTCTACACTTGTGTTCAAGTGAAGGAAAATCTGTTCAGTTTTTTTTCTGCAGCTCCTCCAGGTGATTTCCAGTAAGACTTGAGACTTGCTGATATCCTTCCTCACTCTCAAGCCCAAACAGCAATAGAAACATTTCAAGATTTTCTTTTGTAACATGTTTTTCAAAAGCTCATTTTCCTTTTACATCCAAGAATGTTGTCCTTTGAAATAAAGAAAACCCAACCATTTTCTTCACACCTTACAGAGACTGAAAAATAAGTACTACGTAGGCTAGTTTCTACAGCCATTAATGTTTAAGTATTCAACAGACTGTAGCCTACTGTTTTCTTTAAAGGACCCATTTCAGTTCAAATACCCTATTGAGAAGTTTTCCACTGCTAAGTGGATTTTGTGTGTGTGTGTGTGTGTGTGTGTGTGTGTGTGTGGTAAGAGCTGTTCTTTAAATGAGTGAAATGACCTTTGTTTAATGAAGTTAACCATTTTATAACATCTTTCAGATGTTAAAACATTTTGCCCCAAGAGCTTTTGATATCAGTACTCTTAACACAGATGTTTTTTGTGTTAGTTTGGGTCTTCTGAGACACAGATGTCAAGACAAGATTTGATGCGCAGGGAATCTCCCACCCCACCCTACTACCCTCCTATTGTCCTTTGGAGCAATCCCCATTCTAGTACTTCTGCCCTGCTTGGTAGCTTGCTGGGAGAAGCCCAGAGGCAGCAAGGCCAGGGGTGGTTGCCATGGATTCCAAGGTGCGATAGATGGAGGCTGTCAAGCAGTTCTGTTCCTCATAGCAGGTTAGGTTGAGGGGATATCTGAGTAGGGTACCACTGTGGCCACTGCACCCTCCTCTTCAGCCTTTGACATCTTTCCCTCATGTGGACACTCTTTACTGTGTTACGCACCCACAGGGATGTTGTCACTGTGTTCTGCCTTTGACCTACGGGGGCTTCTTTACTATATGGATTATTCCTCATGCTTCTTAGAGTCAAGCTTTGCCACCTTGCCCCCTTGTTGGTCTGCCTCTGTTCCTCCCCGCCGCCATCCCTCACTACAGAAAGGCTCTTTTCATTCTGCTTTGACTCCCAAATTTTGGACTACCTGCCTGCCACATACATACCTAACTTGCTTGGCTCCATCTAATAGCTTTTTGACTAAATTTTTGAGGAAAAGAAGGAAGAAGAGCCATCTGGGTTTCTTACATCTGCAACTAGCTAGAATATGATTCCATTCACTGAAATAGAGAAAATAATAGGAGGCTCTAAGAACAAATTTGGGCCTTACGTATGTGTGCATGTTGTGGGGAAATAGAAGTTTGGATGTTAAAATAATGAATTTGGTGTGACTTTGGGACACCTTCTTGAAATTAATAGGCTCAGTAGAGGAGTCTGACTGGAGATAATAGTATGGGGAGTCATTAGCTTCTGTGTGATAGTTGGAACCCTGACTTTCAACGAAACAACAAAGGAGGGAGGAGCTAGCGATGGAGCACAGTAACAGTGCTGCCTGAGGGATGCACTGAGGAATGTACCAAGGAAAATTAAGGGACAGGAGAGAGTTGTAAAGAGAGCTAGTGACCAACAGAATATAAAGATACAAAAATGGCAAAAGAGTCTTTGAGATTTAACAACCAGTTTAAAATTTAGTTATTATGGAGTAAGCCCATATCACACAGGTGGTGGCGTATCACACAGGGATTAAATTTAGCCAAAACAAAATATGTATTATAATTCAAATAACAAAAAATATATATTGTCATGTGGACTGAGGAATAGTCTTTTGCATCCTTTCCAGTAAAGATATATATGATTGACTAGTGAAGTCTATTTAAATTATTCAGTGTACATCCATAAAACTTTATCAATTACTTTCTGTGTATATGATGACACTTGCCAGTATTGCCCATTTTGTGCTGATTTTGTTAGTGTACATTACTAAGGAGCTTTTCATCAAATTTTGCAGTCCCTGAAAGATTTTCATCTTTAAAGTTACAAATGTGATTTCTCAGCTGCAGTATAGAATATATGGAACCAGAAATACTCAAAAAATAATTGTTTTCGAAGTATTAATCTTTTTAGTCACAGTTGTTTTTTTACATCCTGTGCTGAAAATAACAAGAAATTTGATACAGAGGGAAAAATGATTTATTATGACTTAGTAGACAATTTACAAATGTGTGTTAAGATATTAGGATATATGTCCTACCAGTTTCAAAAGTACTACAAGTGACTTGTTCAATACAGAGTACAACTTTAAAAAATGTATTTAAAGTAATTGACGTTGTGTTTGTGACCTGGCTCGAAGTTCTTTTTTGGTGAAGAGCATGCTTAGTACATGATTGTCTTTAAAAAGATCTGATAATTATTTACTCAGTAAATGTTTTGAGTGCCTTATGAGTCAGGCATTTTTGTGGGTGCTGGAGATAATAGTGATGAAAAACAAAAGTCCCTTTTCCTTATAGAACTTAAATTCTAGTGTGGGAAGGCAGATAGTACAGAAATAAATTGATGGATGGATAGATGGATAGGTAGGTATTTGCTATATAGCAGGTACTATTTTTGCTTTTATATAGTGCTGTGGAAATGAGTAAAGTCAGGACAAAGGAAAAGAGAAGGTGATGCTGGGGGGTATTATTTTAAGTTGGATGGTTAGGGAAAGTATCATTGAATAGGGGACATTTGAACAGAGTCCTCTATGAAGGAAGTAAAAGAAATAAAAAGAGGAATAGCTAGCACAAAGACTCTGAGGTTGCAGCACACTTTACCCCTCAAGAAAGAACGGTGACAGAAAGGGTGGAACAAAGTGAGAGAGTAGTAAAATATGAGTTCACAGTGGTGGGGATGTATGTAGATGATAGAAGGACCCAACAGGCAACCATAAAAGACATTGGCTTTTACTCTGAGTGAAATGGGAAGCTCTTAGTGGGTGTTGAGCAGTGGAGTAATAAGATAAAACTTATTTCATCATGCATTTCAGGTACTTACTCCTAATCATAGTAATTAATAAATTATTAATTTGGGGTATAGAAAGTTCATATATGAAGTGGAGGGTGTTGGCTCTTTTAAGAATTCAGTGAAAATCCTAAACTTCTTGCAGAAAGTGATTCCAAGCTTTGAGTTATTCTTCCTGATGATCAGTACAGTTGGTTTACTTTCTTGTTATCTTTGTCCTAAAGCTTCTTAAATCACTTTGTAGCTCAAGCCTAATGGATTATACCTGCCCATGTAAATTCTGAAAATGTTAATGTTGCCTAGTGATTCAGAGGCTTTAGTAATTTACTTAAACTACTTCTTGTTTTATTGGTATAAACTGTATTCCTCAGTGTCTACTATGATTTCAAAGTTAGTATTTGCCTTGGAATTTTTCTTTGAAGCTGGCAACTCTAGTTCAATATAAGACAGGCTCTCAGAGCTCCACTTATTTAACAACTGTATCTATGCCCACTTTTATTCCTCTAAGCATTCCTAGAATAAGCATTTCAAATGGTTTTGAATTATCAAAGGTCTTTTTGAAAAACAAGGTTATTGAGAAAATGTTTAAAAAGTTCATGAGAAAGTTGTCTAAAATACACCCCCCTCCCCCAAGGTAGGCCTGAAATGCCACTAAATCAACAAAGGATAGTCACTAAAAGTTACCCTGTATTTTCTAGGACTTGGGGAAAGTCATGGAGTAGCTGTGCTTTCTCTAAGTAACCTATTTTAAATTTTTTTGAAGAGCAAAATTATTATACCTCTTTTTCATCCAGAATGGAGCTGACTGTAGGCATCTTTTTAAAGTACCCATAGGTCAGGACCTCTCTGGACTTTCCACTACCTTGAAAGACACTGCCAGAAGAATGTTGTTCCCCACACTTAAAAAAGGAAAAGTAATGTTCTTTTCTCCAGCCATTATTTTATGCAAAGTCCAACTTTATTTTATCTGAGCTATCTGAACTTTCAATTTATTTGAAACATTTATTGATTAATATCTATAATGGAGCTTTTAATTTCTCTGATCATTTATCCTTTGTTAGGTTAGCAGAACTGTAACAACACAGTCACTTTCACAGCCACGAATGATACTTTTATAGTCATTTGTGGACATATACTGTGCAGAGTATCACAAAGTTTGAGCCACCTGACAAACTTATTTCCAGTTGAGATCTGCAGGGTGATGCTCTGCCTTCTTGTTGCAGCTCTCATACCATGAACAAGTGTCATTTTCATGGTCCATGAGGAAAAAGCATTTTCCTCATTTTGGTGCTTTTTGTTAGTGATTGTGCAGTTTAGAATGGCCCCCAAACATAGCCTGAAGTTCTGTTTAATGTTCCGAAGTGCAGGAAGGCTGTAATTTGCCTTAAAGATAAACTAATGTGTGTTAAAGAAACTTAATTCAGGCATTAGTTATAATGCTGTTGACCATGAGTTCGATGCTAATGAATCAATGTATATTAAAGATATATTTAGGCAGAAACACGCATAAAAAAGGTTATGCATTGATCAGTTGGCAACAGTGTTGTGACCAGAGGCTTGTGAGAACTGTATTTCCCCTAGGAGCAATGGCTCAGTATTTGTTAATTCAGTGGTTGCAGCAATTTTATAGAACACAATTACTGTGAATGGGAATCAACTGTATTTGATTAACGGTGGTGATTTATAGGGACTTTAGATACCAGAAATGTTTCATAATTCCCTTTCTCTGAAATCACTGTTTTAATATGTTTAAATGCATGCATGCAGAGTTGTGATGTTAAACATAATTTTACTGTGGGTTCTGGTCAAAAAAGATGAAATGTCATTGGTTAACTTGAAAGAGACATTATTCTAAACATTATCCTCCAGAAAATTGACATGTACAGGAAGCATATTGAATGCTCAGCAAATAATTTGTTTTAGAGTAATAATCTTTGAGTATTGTAGTGATTCGAGTTTTGGAAAAGAAGGCAGTATCAGTGTTAGAGAATAATATTCTTTCAGGATTTTATGTAGTTACTTTAAGGTGCATGAAAGGAGACTCAGTTGGGTGTTAAATTCTTGTCCCTGCTTTACTTGAAACTAGTAATCTTGAGAAATTTACTAAATCATTTTGAGCCTTGATTACCTTGCCTGCAAAGTGAGGAACATTTTCAATTTAAAATTCTATTTCTTTTATTAGTATTCTTCCTGACCTTGAATCATTTCTATTCCCATCATGTCCAGTTGCCAAGAAAACCATGCAACTTAATGTTGTTTGTTAGCCATCAGATTTTATTTTACTGAACTCAAGTTCAGTCACATCAGTTACCGATAAAATAATAAGTTCTATATTAATATTTGATATATCTTGACATTTTGTATTATGGTAGGAAGAAATAAAAGACCTTCCTCAAATTTTAGGATATGGGCTTCTGTTTGTTGATGTTTGTGTTTTATGATACACTGTTGTAAATCATACTAAAGGTTTTCTCTGAAAAAGACTAGAATTGACAATACTTCATTTGTTAGCAGTTTCAAGTTTTAGATCACGGGTGCATAATTTCTTGTGTGTGCACAACATGTTGGCATTTTATCTGACTTCAAAGATGTCCATATAGATACCAGCAAAGGATAAAATGTAAGAATGAATATCATGAAAAGATGCTGTATCAGATAAAATTCTAGAGCCTAGGTTAAAAAACATAAAGGCAAACATGCTTGATATATAAAAATTGAGAAATATGATAAAAAGAAGTAAGTTTAAAGCATCAGTAATACCACTGCCTAAGATGCAGTTTATTTTGAAATGTTGTCTTCTAGTCTTCATACAGTTTAAAAATCATACTATAATCACAATTTCCAGCATTTTCCCCTTAGCATAATATATTATAACATCCATGTTTTTAAAAATATTTTATGAACGTCATGTTTAGGGATTACACCATATATATCCCATCTCATAGATTCCTTTATATTGAACATTTGGATTTTTATTTACATTTTTATTTACATTTATTTTTATCTTTATTTTTTGCTTTCGTGGATAAACTGCAGTGAGCATCCTCTGTATAAATTTTTTTTTTCTGTTTTAGGATTACTTCCTTAGGATAGATTGCCAGAAGTGGAGTTACTGGGTCAGAGGGTATGAACTTATGAACTTTTTTTTTAAATAAATTTTTTGTTCATTTTCTGTCCAGTCATTTGTAAAAAAATTAAAATAATAATGATTATAATTGTTACCTGCTAGAAAACTGTGTCTGAAGGCAAGATTCTGTGATCAGAAAAGTTTGGGAAATACCCAGGGTAAAAAGCCTTTTAATCTGATTTACCTCAGCATTTCCCAAATTAACTGAACACTGAAAATTTTTTTTGATACACTTCTTAAAATTTTGTGGAAGTTTTATATAGGATATAGTCTATGAACTACTGATGTAAAATTAAAATTGTTTTATTTGCTTGAAATATTATGTTTTATTGGTCAAAGGAATTAAACTATAAATCTTCATGCTAAAAATTATTAAAAGGGATTAGTGTTGTTTACTATGGTTTTTGTGCATGTCTTTATAAAGTCTTATAACTTTTAAAATTGAAATGTTCTATATTGTTTACTAAAGAACATTTTAATGCCTTGGTGGCATCAATACTTTTTTGCAATCATTAATGATATTTAGAAAGTAGACATATAACATGAAAGTAGAACATAATATAGATTGTACAAATCTTGTTTTTTACCCTATTTTCCCCTGCAGAATGTGAAAACCTTTGCATCTTCTGATAGTCTAGCCAAGGTCCAAGAAGTAGCAAGCTGGCTTTTGGAAATGAATCAGGAACTGCTCTCTGTGGGCAGCAAAAGACGACGAACTGGAGGCTCTCTGAGAGGTAACCCTTCCTCAAGCCAGGTAGATGAAGAACAGATGAATCGTGTGGTAGAGGAGGAACAGCAACAGCAACTCAGACAACAAGAGGAGGAGCACACTGCAAGGAATGGTGAAGTTGTTGGAGTAGAACCTAGACCTGGAGGCCAAAATGATTCCCAGCAAGGACAGTTGGAAGAAAACAATAATAGATTTATTTCGGTAGATGAGGACTCCTCAGGAAACCAAGAAGAACAAGAGGAAGATGAAGAACATGCTGGTGAACAAGATGAGGAGGATGAGGAGGAGGAGGAGATGGACCAGGAGAGTGACGATTTTGATCAGTCTGATGATAGTAGCAGAGAAGATGAACATACACATACTAACAGTGTCACGAACTCCAGTAGTATTGTGGACCTGCCCGTTCACCAACTCTCCTCCCCATTCTATACAAAAACAACAAAAGTGAGTATATTCAATATATTGTTAACCTGAGAAACTTTACATATCTATTTTAATTGTAATGAAACTTTCCTCACAGTCTTTGTATTACTAAAAATTAATCTTAAGATGTGTAATAATAAAATGAACTAGTTTTTTGTCTTACAGAAGGTAATGGAAAGTATTACAAGTAGAAATACTGATAATGGGACAATCTGAGTACAAATGGAGGGAAAGTAATTGAGCCTATTACTATGAAAAATTATTAACATCAAATTTTCGTCTAAACCTTGCGTCCCGGGCAGGGATTAGTAGCTTGTGTGGGGTGTAGAGGTTTCGGGTGAAACATGATTTGTGTAAATCAAGTAATGAAGAAACTTTTTATTTACAAAATGCAGCTGCTAGAGTGGGCTATTCACAAGTGTCACTCTAAGGCATAAATTACTCAGAAGTTGCCTCAAATTAGTTCTAGTTATTTATCATTTGAGAATTAGAAATAATGAATATTCATGTAGAGTAGACTTACAAGTTAAACTATGTTTTGGAAAGGAACATTTTAACTTGAATATACTTGTTTTATAGACATTAACATAATGTCTGTGGTAGTTCATCCTCTTACTCCTACTTGCTTATTTCTTACATTTTACAGTGATTTTAGGCCATAAACAATATACAAACTGATTTAACATCGTATCGTTTAACCTAACTTGACTTGGAATGAAGTATCTTACACACTTGGATTAATAATAATTGAAATGCTAAATCATGTTTTACATCTGCTTGTAAAACCTTACTTTCTAAAATGTGTTTGGCCCTAATTTACCTAGCCTATCTGCAAGTCAGATTTTATTTAGCTGGCATGATCTAAGAAGGACGTGACATCAAGTAGTGATTTTTCATCCATTGTACCATCCCTGTCTCAAGATGTTGAAGCAGTAGCTTTGGATCTCAGCCAGATGGCTCTACCACTAACAACTATAGCACCACTTTGTTAAGGCTCAGACCTTTTATAGTGTCATTCCTCCCTTTTGCCCCCCTAGTCTTGATCATCTTCTTCAAGGTTGCTATATCAAAAGGGAGTTTTAACATCTCTTTTTTTCCTGAGGGTTCAGTTAGAGGAATAGGGGTTTAATACTTAAGGTCCAATTGCACTAACTTATTTCAGAAAGAGGTTCAATCAAAACTAAGCCTTGCGGAACAATGCAGAGTTATTGCTGATTTCTGCTACACTTTAAATTAAAAGCAAAAAAAGCTAGTTAGACAAAACATTATCTTTTTCCAAAAGGAAAAGTCATCCTTATATTCTGTAGGAAACCTTCCAGTTCACAAGTTTGACAGGTGCTTTATCTTTTCTTTACCTTCAAGATGTAAAATTTTGTGTATGATGATTACCTTTTTAAAAACGAAGTATACTGAATTTGTTAGTTTTTTTCTAGTGATTCTGAATCATGAATAACAATTATTGTCCTGTACATATAACAAGAATGGACTGGGCTCTAACCATAGAAGGAATACATGTGTGTATGCATTTATGTATATACACATGTACAGTATAGATGTGTGTATGCATTTATGTATATACACATGTACAGTATAGATGTGTGTATGCATTTATTATATAAGTGTGTATGTATAGTTTTTGATATATTGTTGATCATGAGATGATCTGCCTTCGTAAGTATGGCATGAAGAATACAAAGCTATTTGATTGCCAGGACAGTGATACCCTTCTACAAGTAAGATTTCAGTCTGAAATTTTTCTAAATGTTTTCCTTTTTGTCCATTCCTGAAACCCTTCTGCCAGAGTATTCCCAGAGCACTTTCAACAGCATTAAAAAAAGTCACTGAGTACTGCTTCACCTAAAAAGAAAATGTCAGTATTCTCCGTGTATACATGTTTTAATACAATAAATAGAAGCTCTCACTAGTTGAAGTACTTTATTTTGGAAGAGCTTTAAATTCTTGATCATTATAAAGTTAAGACACTTCTACAGATGTTACCCTAGACCATAGTTTCATTCAAGTCTTCTTTGACTTTTGAGAGTAGAGGCATAAGAAATGAAATCCCATTTTAAATGTTAACATAGGATTAGCTTTCTACAAATTTTACTCAGGATACCTTTCAAGTTTTATTTTTTGGCATTCTCATAAACAAACCCTGTGGACAGCTAGACTGAATTTTACCCATCATCCCTAAATATGCTGCATAAGCAAATATATTAATGAGAAAAAAAGATTTTTAATTCTTCCTTGCATTGCTTTATTCTTTGAAAGCATTCTGAAAACTGTCAACACTCTGAGGACAGTTTTTCCCCCCTTGTCACTAAAGGTTTGTTCTTTTGGGAGCCTTATGGCAAGCAATATATGTTAAAAATTCCATGTTGTCTTAATGTTAAAAGTCAAGGGAAGTGGTAGTCAAGAATTGCTATTTATTAAGCTCACACTGTTTGAAAGATCCTACTACAGATACATAAACAAAAGTTACAGAGAGGCCGAATGATCCACCCCAGATTACACTACGTGATGAGAGATTTTAATCCTGATTTGCCTAATAGCAAAAAACCCCTTTCTCTTTCCACATGCTATGCTGCCCCCTATGGTTGAATTTGACAAACATCACTGAACAAGATTTCCAACATAGTCAGAGACTCTGCCATGTGATGATTTTCTGATACTATGTCCCATTTGAAGTGATAAGAGCTACCCTATAGAAAGGACAGAGGGCTCAGTTAACTACTTTTCTTTGTGGCACTTAACAAAACATTATTGAAGATTTTACAGCTCAAGGCTAAAGTAATCAGGAACAAATGACGCTGTTAAAAAATTTTATAGAGGTCATACTCTCTTGAATCCATAAAACATGCTTTTAAAGCAGAGGTTGTGTGCTGGCTATTCCTCTAAATCTTGCTTCTCCAGATACAAATGTCTGTCTCTTCAGTTTTAACTCTCATTCTCAACATCCTTATCATATTTTTTTAAAAAAAGTTGTTTTCTGAAGATATGCCCAGCTCATATTGAAGAATCTTTGACATATTTTATGCAGAATATCAACTAATTTTCTACTAACATGAAAAACAAATGAGATGATTATTAGGCCAGATCTGGTATCCTGATCTTTTGATGAAGAGAAGTGTGTTTGAGCATTAATTTCTGATGCTTCCATATCTATCTTAGTGGCTTCCACCTGTTCTCTTCTCACATAACTTCCTTACCTCAAATTAGTCTATTTTTTTCCCATCTTGATTGTTAGATTCTTCCTAGTAATTAAATCGTTTTTATCCATTTGCCTCAAATAAGAAATAAATGTTTATCAAAAAATAAATATATATAAAAGATAGCCAGGTGTGGTGGCTCACACCTGTGATCCCAGCACTTTGAGAGGCTGAGGTGGGCAGATTGCTTGAGACCAGCCTGGGCAACATGGCAAAACCCTGTCTCTACAAAAAATACAAAAATTAGCTGAGTGTGATGGCATGCGCCTGTGGTTCCAGCTACTTTGGGGGCTGAGGTTGGAGGATCATTTGGGCCCAGGAGGTTGAGGCTGCAGTGATCTGGGCCACAGAGCAAGACCCTGTTTCAGAATAAATAAATAGAGGGTGGGGGGAGGTGTGGAGAAGCATCTAGTGTATTGGAGTTTAGAGGCGTAAGACCCTTTCTTGTCTATAAATTCTGAACAATAGAGGAATCAGGTAATAGGATCATTAACCAATCAGGGTATCTGGTCCGCCATTCTCCAACCACCTCCTAGGACCAGAGCTGCTGAGCAGCTTTGTAGGATAATGTGGCTAACATTGGAAATATAACAGGGCTCTAAGTTACACTCTGTTGTAGAGTTCTAGAGAATGATAGCTTCTTCAGAAAGTCCCTGGCCTAGTCTACCTGCAAGACAAGCAACTTAAGTTCAAAGTCTGTTTGGTATATACATGTCCAGAGAGCAAAAAATGCTATTTAAGGCAGTCATCTTGAATAACATCCACTAGTAAACATGGCCCAATGAATAGCCATGTCCCCTACCTTTGTGAAGGAGGAAAAATGAAACATTGACTCAGCCTAATTTAGCCCAATTTTAAACATGTGGGGAGGATAATGGAAATGGGAGAAATGGGGACAATGGGTGAGATGGGTTTTCCCCTAACATATTAGAGTGATAAGAACTTTTCACATCTGAGTTTGAATTCTGATTATACCACTTACTGTATAACCATGAGTATATAATCTCAGTGAACCTATTACTTTATCTGTAAAATAAAGACTCATGCCTACCTCTCAAGGTTTTTGTAAGGATTAAGTGAAATAATTTATGTAAAACAAGTAGCATAGTGCCTGGGACACTCAGATATTTTGCAGATATCGGCCTTGTGACCTCATTTTTTCCGTCTCCTGTGCCTTACCCCAAATCCCACAAAATAAACTTCATTCCCCGCAGCGGTTGTCAATCTCTATATATATGTTTTACAACCTTCAGCATTCAGTCATCATATCACCCTCTAGTGTAAAAAGTAGAGAAATAAATTCTTTTAAAAAGGTACATAGGAGGATTAGAAGAGTACTGTAATAAGCTAGGCCCATCTTCAATAAAAATAGACATAAATTTTGAAGTCGATGCTACCCACAGATCTCCCTAGTTGATAAAATATGTACCCTTTCCTTTCATTAGAATTTAAGTCAATTTCTCTAGACTTTCTTCTAATCTTTAACTAAAGCTTCTGTATATTTAAATGCTTTAATGAATCTTCCATATGGATGCCAAAATGAATTTTAGCTCATGGTTAATTTCTAATTAATGCCTGTTAATATAGTTTTAAATGTATTTGTTAATATTATTTTAAACAATAATAGCTCTAAATGTTGGTGATAAACTGTATCTCATTCACTGCAGGTAATGACAGTTACTATTATTAATTATTTAAGAGACGGGGCCTTGCTGTGTTTCCCAGGCTGTCCTTGAACCCCTGGGCATAAGAGATCCTCCTGTGTAGCTGGGACTACAGGCGTGGACCACCGTGCCCAGCTCAAAAAGTATTTTAATTATGAGGTTTCATTGTAGACTAAAGAATAATCTTCACACCAAATGGACCATTTTAAAATTGTTTTATAGCATTCCATTGATTAGTTCTTTATACAGATGATAAACTTCACTGAAGTATACACAAATATCACAAATAGTTATCTTCAAAATGCTTCCAAAGAAAATTGTTTCATATGTGTATTATAATGATCTGATCCATTTTTAATGTTGTTTTTGTTGGTGGTAGGGAAGACAGTATGAAGAAAAAGGACATAGGAATAGATCATGATGAATATTGTTTTCACTTTGGTAGTTAACTCCAAAATTATTTCTCAAGCTCCGATCATTCACCTTAGCCATAGTTTTGCATTTCTAGCTGTCTGTTGGGCATCATCATCTGAGTGGTCCACTGAAAACTAAAAGTACTGTTTCTTTCTCCAAACCAAGTTTTTATTTGCCTCCCCAGGTTATCTTTTCCCTCTCAATAGGTCCCATCTTCTGGTCAGTGGATAGAAAAGTGGCTTGACTTTTTCTTATCATCTGAGTCTGGGCCTGCTGAATAATTTAACAGACTTGATCACTTAGTCTCTCTTTTTCTTACCCGCCAGGCAATTGTAAGATAAAAATTGGAGGGTCAGTGTTTAAAAACGTTAAGAGCATTTTTGCTTGGGCTTCTGTTTGCATCAGGCTATAACGCCACGTCCTTGACAATGAGTTGGCAGTATGAATAATTGGATGAGTTTTTTAAAATGAATTTTTAGCTCTGTATAGATAATAACCTCAATACAGATATCTGGTGCCCCATTTCCCACTGATAAAGCCAAACCTAAATGAGAATGTTTGAAGTCTTCCAATATCTTACCATAGTTTTTACCTGGTTTCATCTCCTCTCCTCTCTACTTGTTTTGAATCATACTCCTTCCCACCAGCCATATCCTTCAAATCGAAGTCCAAATCCCCTATCTTAATACCTTCCTAGATTTAGAAAATCGAATTCCTTTCAACCTGTTCTTGCTTCTCTTCATGGTGCAGTTCATTTGGTATTACCTGGTGACATTTTTGGTAAGCTTTGTCTTAAGTTGACATATAATTCTTCACTTTTTTGAGCAGTAGAAATTTGGTAAATTTGTTTTCAGTCCTAATTCAGTTTGAGAATTGAAGACTGGCAAACTGTAATGTGAACAGTTGTCATTTCACCTCTTTTTTTTTTTTTTTTTTTTTTTAAGACAAGGTCTTGCTTTGTTGCCCAGGCTGGATGGAGTGCAGTGGCATAATCATGGCTCACTGCAGCCTCCACCTCCCAGGCTTAAGCAATTCTCCCACCTCAGCCTCCCGAGTAACTGGGACCACTCGTGGCACCACCACGCTTGGCTAATTTTTGAATTATCTGTAAAGACAAGGTCTTACTATGTTGCCCACCCTGGTCTCAAACTCCTGAGCTCTGGTGATCTTCCTGCCTGGGCCTCCCAAAGTGCTGGGATTACAGGTATGAGCCACCATGCCCCAGCCTCATTTCACCTCTTAAGATGTACCTAAGCTAGACTAGAAATTGTAAATGGGCACGTCATTAAAATTGAGTTTAAGACTCAGGTATTCAGTATATGTACAGATCGTTAAATTGAGACTGCCCTGAGGAGAAGTTAAAAATCCCACTTTAGGAATCATTTTGCTAACATGCAGAAATCAGTTGAAGGCAATTCATACAGCCATTAAACATCACATTTGAAAGAATATTTAATAACAGGAAATGCTTAAAAATATTTTATTTAAAATATAGGATTCAAAACTCTATACAGTGTGATCTTAATTATGAAGCAAACATACATTTTTATATATGTGTGTGTGTATGTATCTACATATATACATATGCAAAGAAAAAGATCAGAAGAAGTTGTACCAAATGTTAGGAATTATCTCTGAATGTGGTTGAATAAAAGGTTATTTTTTCTTAAATACATTTTATAATTTCTCCATTTTGTTATAACAAGCATATATGCCTCTTTATTTGAAAAATAACTCTCTGCTGGAAACCAATTATTATTC
The DNA here is from genome assembly GCF_000001405.40 of Homo sapiens. Lineage (NCBI taxonomy): Eukaryota > Metazoa > Chordata > Mammalia > Primates > Hominidae > Homo > Homo sapiens. The sequence goes on along the minus strand of NC_000004.12, from coordinate 152,404,275 downwards.
TATGTGGTCTTTTTTGATGACTTTACATGGTGTATAATGCTCCTAATGGAGGATTGGATAAAAAGATGTTCCTCACAGGAAATGTCATTATATCATGATCTCTGCATGAGAATGCAGCTGAATATAGTGGAAACCTTCCCCTATTCCCAACCCCCCATTTCATAGTGGAAAGAGCACAGAACTCTTTAAGTCCTAGTGTAACTGATTCTTCACATCTCTAGGGCTCAGGTGTTACCCTGGCAATTTTCTAAGATCAACTTAACACGTTATTAGAAGAGTAATAGCATAGTAGTATCCGTTCTTGTTTTGAAGATATTTATTGTTTTCTTTGAAGAGTTCTTTAGCCTTGATAGCACTTTTGGCTCTCTCTAAACATGAATATTTTTCATATAAAAACCGTTCTCCGAGCAATTTCAGAGTCTGTTTTTGAAAATGGGTGTCCCCAACCCCCAGGCCATGGACCAGTCTGTGGCCTGTTAGGAACTGGGCCTCACAGCAGGAGGCGGGCGGTAGGTGAGTGAGCATTACCGCCTGTGCTCCGCCTCCTGTCAGATCAGCTGTGGCATTAGATTCTAATAGGAGCACGAACCCTATTGTGAACTGTGCTTGCGAGAGATCTAGGTTGTATGCTCCTTCCGAGAGTCTAATGCGTGGTGAGCTGAGGTGGAACAGTTTCATCCCAAACCATCCCCCCACTTCCCCTGTCCATGGAAAAATTGTCTTTCATGAAACCTGTCTCTGGTGCCAAAAAGGTTGGTGACTACCGTTTTAAAACACAATTCTTTTTTTTTTTTTTTTGAGATGAAGTCTGGCTCTGTTGCCCAGGCTGGAGTGCAGTGGTGCAATCTCAGCTCACTGCAGCCTCCACCTCCCAGGTTCAAGCGATTATCCTGCCTCAGCCTCCTGAGTAGCTGGGATTACAGGTGTTTGCCACCACGTCCAGCTAATTTTTGTATTTTTAGTAGAGACAGGGTTTCACCATGTTGGCCAGGCTGGCCTCGAACTCCTGACCTCAAGTGATCCACCTGCCTTGGCCTCTCAAAGTGCTGGGATTACAGGCATGAGCCATCGTGCCCAGCCTTAAAACATAATTCTAAAGTGGCCACTGCTTTATGAGGAAATCATCAGTGCTTTCCCTTCCCTCCCTTCCCGTATTCCCAACTCCCCATTTCATCAAACTAATGATATATTTAACATGTTAAGGGTTTTTAGTCCTGATTTTAAGTCTCCTAAGACAGACCCCAAATTGGAGTGGACCTTTGAGATCACCAAGGCCAAACCTGTGCCCAGTGGCTTTACCAACAGACTTGAACTTACAAATGAGGTCATTACAAAGGAATACTGCAATGTGAAGTATCTTCATAGTTTTAGACGTTATTTATGTTAGGGTTCTTTATTTTGTGTTGACATCTCTGACTTTGCTTTGGTCCTTGTTCTTCTACCTAGAGCAGTGACAGCTCTTTTCATAGGAGAAGATTGCTGCCATATTCATCTGTGATCTTCTCCAGACTGAATGCCTTCAATGTGTTCCCAGAATGTGTATATATACTTATATTTTTTCTCATTTATCTTAACAGTCCTAATATGTCATTTCTAATCTTTAACCCCATAATGGAGATGAGAAATATGTGAAGAGAGGTTAAGTAATTAATCTTGTATCAGTCAGCTGGTAAATAGTGGAGTTGGGATTGGAACTCAGATCTTATGCTGGGTCCCGGTTGTACTTTTGTTAACGTTTGGAAATTCAGTTAAACAATATTAGTAATTTTGGGATGAGTGGGCTGTGATGAAATAACCTATAAAGCTACCGCCCTAACATTTATTTTCATGTCCCCAAATGTTGCCTCAACTAAATCTCTGTTACTGTGGTATATTTATTGTGACTCATCGTATTAAGTTTGTTTTTCTCCCTCTCTCTTAAGCCCTTTGATTTCTTATTTTATTGCCTAATAATATTTATTGTGTTATCAGGTACCCTGATAACCTAATTATTAGTCAACAAAGAATTAGTGTATAAATTTTTACATAATACTTGTCAGTCATTGACCACATGGATATGTATTTTGTGTAGCTGGAGTCAGTGTGTATACTTCTTTTATATTCCTGATTCTTTCAGTTATTATGATAATAATAGTCTTATTATTATTTGGTAACCTGTTTGAACAGTTGACTTGTTCAGCCCCTCAAAGGGAATTTCCCCCACTCCCCTCTGCTTCACTGAAACATGACCCATTAACATGAATTATTTCTACATTCCTTCACCTAGTATTTCATATGTATCTTTTTTCTTCTATCCCTCCAATCTGGTAAGAAGAAATACACTTGTCCTTTACAAGGAAACCTTGTCTTTGAATTATTGATCCTTGAGGTCTGCGAAATGTTTTTTGGAGACTTCCTGCATTAGCCATTCTGTCTTTTTAAATTAACAAGCTTTAATTTTTAGATTAGTTTTAGATTCACAGCAAAGTTGAATGAGAGGCCTAGAGAGTTCCCATATGCCCCCTGGTGCACACATGTACAGCTTCACCCTTACCAGAGTAGTACATTTGTTATAGTCAGTGAATCTACCTTTGTCATATCATTATCCAGAATCCATAGTTTCCACCAAGGTCTCACTCTTGGTGTTGTGCACTCTGTGGGTGTGGGCAAATGTGTATTGACACGCATCTACCAATGTAGTACCATAGAGAATGGTTTCACTACCTTAAAAGTCCTGTGTTCTGCCTATTCATCCCTTTCTTCCCCAGCCTCTCATCGCCACTGATCCTTTCACCGTCTCCATAGTTTTGCTTTTTCCAGAATGTCATATAGTTGGAATTATACAGTATGTAGCCTTTCAGATTGGCTTCTTTCACTTACGTAATATGCATTGACTTTTCCTTCATGTATATTTATAGCTTGATAGCTCATTTCCTTCTAGCACTGAATAATATTCCATTGTTTGGATATACCACAGTTTATCCACTTCCCTAGTGAAAGACATCTTGGTTGCTTCCACATAATTGGCAATTATGAATATAGCTGCTTGTGAAAATCTGTGTGCAGGATTTTGCATGGACTAAGTTTTTAACTCCTTTGCGTAAATGCCAAGGAGTGTGATTCCAGGATTGCAAGTTAACAGTATGATTAATTTTGTAAGAAACTGCCAAATGGCTTCCAAAGTGTCTATATACTTTTGCATTCCCACCAACAGTGAATGAGAGTTCCTGTGGCTCCACATCTTCAGTGGCATATAGTGTTGTCAGTGTTCTGGATTTTGACCATTCTGATAGGTGTGTATGGTATCTCTTTGTTACCATTTGAAGTTCCCTAGTGATATATGATGTTGACCATCTTTTCCTGTGCTTACTTCCCATCTGTAAATCTCCTTTGGTGAGGTGTCTGTCCAGATCTTTTGTCCATGTTTTAGTCAGGTTGTTCTGTTACTGTTGTATATTTTGGATAACAATCGTTTATCCCATGTGCATTTTGCAAATACTTTCTTCCAGTCTGTGGCTTATGTTCTTATTTTCCTGACAGTGTCTTTCAGAGAGCTGACATTCCTATTTTAGTAGAGTCCAGCTTATGAATTATTTCTTTCATGTATCATGCTGTTAGTATTGTATTGTTGTATCTAAAATGTCATTTCCGGCTGGGTGCCATGGCTCACACCTATAATCCCAGCACTTTGGCAGGCTGAGGTGGGAGGATCGCTTGAGCCCAGGAGTTTGAGACCAGCCTGGGCAACATACTGAGACCTCCTCCTTAAAAAAAAAAAATGCACAAAATTAGCCAGGCATGGTGGTGCGTTCCTGTGATCTTAGCAACCCGAGAGGCTGAGGTTGGAGGATTGCTTGAGCCTGGGACATCAAGGATGTGGTGAGCCAAGATCATACCACTCTACCCCAGCAAAAAGTCATGTCTATACCCAAGGCCATTTAGGTTTTCTCTTATGTTATCTTCTAAGAGTTTTATAGTTCTGCACTTTACATTTATGTCTATGATCCATTTTGAGTTAATTTTGTGAAGGTTGTAAGGCCTTTGTTTAGATTCATTTATTTGCATGTGGATGTTCGGTGGTTCAGCACCATTTGCGGAAAAGACTAGCTTTTCTACATTGTACTGCCTTTGTTCCATTGTCAAAGATCACTGTACCATATTCTGGTCTCTCTATTCTGTTCCATTCATCTACTTTTAATTCTTTCACCAATACCACACTGTCTTGGTTACTGTAGCTTTATAGTAAGCCTTGAAGTTGGAGAGTGTCTATCTCCCAGCTTCATTCCTCTCCTTCAGTATCGTTTTGGCTATTCTGGGTCTTTTGCCTCTCCATATAAGTTTTAGAATCAGTTCGTTGATATCTGTTACTTGCTGGGATTTTGATTGGTATTGCTTTGAAACTATAGATGAGATTGGCAAGGACTGACATCTTGACAGTATTGAGTCTTCCTGTGCAAGAACATGGAATATATCTCCATTTATTTAGTTCTTCTTTGATTTTTTATCAGAGTTTTATAGTTTTCATTATGTAGATCTTATACATATTTTATTAGATTCATCCCTAAATATTTTATTTCAGGGGGCTGCTAATGTAAATGATACTGTATTTGTCATTTCAGATTTCACTTTTTCATTGCTGGTGTGTAGGAAAATAATTGACTTATTATATATTAATCTTATATCTTGCAACCTTGCTATAATTGCTTTTTTTTGGTCAATTTTTTAGGATTTTCTATGTAGAGGGTCATGTCATGTGCCAAAAAAGACAGTGTTATTTCCTCTTTCTTAATCTCTTTATCTTTTACTTCCTTTTCTTGTCTTTGTGCTTTAACTAGGACTTCCCCTATGATGTTGAAAAGCAGTGGTTAAAGAGGACATTCTTGCCTTGTGTCTGATCTTAGTAGGACAGCTTTGAGTTTCCATCCTTAAGTGTGATGTTAGCTGTAGGCTTTTTATAGGTAGTCTTTATCAAGTTGAGAAAGTTCCTCCCCTCTATTCCTAGTTTGCTAAGAGTCCTTCTATCCTATTTCTTAATGGTTTAGTAGATGACTCTGTGGTACTTTGAAGGTTGTTTGCAGAATTTCCATGCCATAGGCAATTTACCTTTCCTTGACATTTGAAGGATTGATGTTGGTGCCAAGTATAGAATCTTCACAGAGTCCTCCTGTAGCTTCTAAAGGTTTAGCTTGAAAATGTTAATTGCTTAACGCTAGTAAGTGAGTGAAAAAGCTGGGGATAAATTTTGTATCTTGCTTATATTTCAGTTCCCACCTCTGTCCTGACAAAACCCCAATATATAAACAGTAAATGTAAGATATATATATTTTAAACATAATAACAAATGTAAGTTCCTTTTGAAATTATTATTTCACCAACTTTAAACAGTATTATCAATTTTTCAAACATTTGGCCAGTGGTTACAATTTTATCAATCTTATTAGTGAGATTCTTTTCTGCTTGTGGGTCTACTTTTACTTTGACTCTTGTCCTGAAATCTCAATTCTATCTTTGGCCTCTCTTCTGAGAGACATAATTTTGTGTATTTAATTAATCTCTATTTTCTATAAATTAATATGATAAAAAGAATCAAGTTGGATGGATCAGAAGTAGAATACAGAGAAAAGAAAATATGGTTAGGGAATTGTGATTAGGTATGTTTAAATACTTAGTTCGTAGACACGACCCCATTCTTTTGTTTTTTCTTTGAAATTTGCCTTAGATTCAGTATTGTCTAGTTCTTAAAATGCTATTTTTTTTCATTTAGCATTACAATTATTTGTGGGAAAAATTTTAAGAACATTTCAGAATTCTTTCACTGGATATTCTAATATGGATAGTAATTCAAAAGAAAGCACAAAGATGTAAAATCACAAAAGATATAAAATATTTAGGTTTTTGTAAAAATCATATATTAGTATGTTTAGCATACATAGAAAATTTTATAAAGTATTATTTTTTTTTTTACTGTGAAACATCATATCAAAAGCACACAATTCCTTAAGAATTTATCTGTTTCTTCACTGAACACTAGAGGGCCATATAGCACCTTATAGATAGAGCGGCTTTCCATATATTTAAATATATTTAATATGTGCTTGTCTTTCTCTCCTACTTTGTGTTTTAGTATAGTATGTCTTGCTCAGAATTTGGAGTATACACTCAACAGTAATTATGTGCACTGTCAGATAATATGTGGGATACCTAGGGTTTTTGTTTTTGCTTTTTTTTTAACAAGCAGCTAGCATTTTGCTACTTAGTAACAACAAAAAGAGATAAAGAGTGTATCTTGGGATAAATGTATGTGCAGACTTACTATGCTTTGGAAGTATAAGTATGCTTTTAGAAAATTTCTCAAGTATCTGAACATATACGTGTAAAAAGAATAGGCCTCTCATTGTTATTTGCTCTGGTACTTCTTGGCATGTATGTGAGAAAAGAATTATCTCTCCAAAGAAGCTACTTCCCTTGTCTAAATGTCATCTTGTATTAGCACAGACAGTAATATTGTGGGGTATAACCACCTAATCATCGTGGAGTAAAGAATATTTAAACAACTGATTTAATCTTCCTCAATTTTTTTTTTTTTTTTTTTTTTTTTTTTGGCTTCTTAGGGTAAAGAAATGAGAAATACAACTTACAGGAACTTAAATAGGTAATGTCAATGTGTGAAGAGAGTCATGAACAGCCAGTAAGACTGTTCAGGCTCTTATGAACTACGTAAGATATGCCTTCCCCAAAAGGTGTTAATGTTCAGTTAAAAGAATAAAAATATGAGGCAAGAGGATGGTTTGAGCCCAGGAGTTTGAGGCTGCAGTGATAGTACTACAGTACTCTAGCCTCGGTGACAGAGTGAGACTCTGTCTTTAGAAATATCAAGAAAAGAAAAAGAAAAACATTGTGCTGGCTCCAAAAAACTGACTTTGAGCTACATATGACCTATGGGCTGTATACTGTTGGATCTTTAATAGCTTCTAGAGAAGAAGTTCAAGATCTAAGTAGGGCCTTGGCTAAATTTTAATTTCTTCCTTAGATATACTTTAGACAGCACTTTTCATTATTAATTTCTGTGTTATGTTTCAGGGGGCAGAAATAAGGACATTTCTCGTTAACTACTGTTTACACTGTCTTTTGGTGAAGGAAGATTAGTATGATGAACTTAGAGGAAACACACTGTTTACACCTAGAGGAGAAAATAAAAGAGGGTCATGTGAAAGAGAAAGAAGGAACAATAATTCACTCTTAAAGACTTAAAAGAATCTCATCTTTTAAGTCTCTCCTCCTTTGATTTGCCAATTTTAATACCTTAAATTATTTCTTCAAATTAGTTACTATAATGGAGTGACAAAACTTTGATCTTTAGTTCTAAATTTTACCGAGATGTTAGTCCTCTTGAATATTGATGAACTTACAATTATTTTAAAGTCACTGCTATGATAAACAGTATTCTCTAACTGATAATATTTTTTATGCCTTAGTGGTGTGTTTGCTAGTTTTCTGTATCACTGCCATTTTCTGAAAACCACATTTATTGGCAGATTGACATGAGCTTAGGTAATTGAAGGCTGAGCTTGAATTCTGATCCTTTTGCACAGGTAATGAAATGAGTTATTGTTAGCATAATATAGCTGGTGCATGTTGAACTCTTAAATGGTCAAGAAGGTAAATCAAATAAAAAGATCAGTATTTGGATATGTTGAAAAACACATGGACTCCTTCTTTGAGTGGCAGAGATAATAGATGCTATTGATGGATTGAAGACATCCATTATTGTGTCTTTAACACGTGTCTGGAGAAAACACTGGCTTGCTAGTTAAAACTTGATTCATTTAACAGTATTGCTGAGCACTCAAAGAATTGCCATTATTTTTCTAAGATATGCCACAATTTAATAGTAGCTCTTGTAGGGAGGGGTTGGGGAAGGACGATGTTGGGAGTAGATTACTATGCTAAATGCATATATTCATTGTTAGTTGCATTACATTTTAAAAGGGTTAATGGGAGGGGGCAAGTGCAGAATTGAGGATATGTATTATTTTATAAAGGGTAAGAGATCACTTTTATCCACCCAGAAGTCAGAGGTTTGGAAAAAGCAGGTTAGTATGAATATGAATACTAGAGATGTTTCTAGAATATCATACACCTGTATTGTAACTAATTTCCATCAATGATTTATTTACTAACCTGGAATGATTTTCAAGCAGAAAACCCTCTGGACCATAGGGTCCAGAAAGTTAATTGATATGAATGAAATGGACTAAATATAAGAGCCAGGGAGCTAAAACTTCTCTAAAAAGAGGGTCTTGATATTGCCATGTTTTTGAATTTTTCAAAATTCATTGGAATTTCAGATTTTCAGATGATATTTCTTAATCTTTAAAATATATTGGTGTCCAGATTTTGCAAAAGCACTTCCGTGGGTTGGTTTGACCCATAGACCACCTATTTTTCACTAGACATCATGTAGGGAAGAAGAATGGACTATTATTCTTGAACTGAATAACTGAAACTGAAATAAATGCAAGGGAAGATGTTCTTTGGCACTTCTGTAGAAATGTTTATCACCCATTGCAAAATTACGATAGTTTGCCTCCAGTGCTGATCCATTAATGGGAATTGGGTTGTTTGGAGTGGAAGTGCGGCATATGCATAGCACTTTAAGTGCTTTAGCCAGTGACCTACGGACTTTTCCTTATGAGTTTGGTGTACTGATTTTAGTTATTAAACTGCCAAATGAATTGACCTCATTTTAAAGAAATGAGTATCCAACTTCCACAAGGAATTTGAGATTTGAAGTGGTCTATATGTAGGAAAAATACATATAATAAAGTGACAAAGTGTACATGAAAATCAGAACCAGGGACAATACTGGAGTAGAATATGAGGGCAAGGTCATGAGAAGAGGTAAGGATTGAGTTATGATGAGTTGGAGAAAGCTAGTAATAGGATATAGGTTGTCCACTCTTAAGTGTCTGCACCAGTATTTTTCAAAGTGTTACCTTGGACCAGCTGCATCAGAAGCATCTGGAGTGCTTTTTAAAAATAACAGATTTCTGGGTTACTCTCAAGAGCTACTTAACTAAACTCCAGGGTCGGGATGTGCATTTTTAATAAGTTCTCAACTGATTTTCATGTAAACTGAAGTTTGCAAAACACTGGTGTGTAGTTTGTTGTCTCTGCTGCCCTGTGATAAAATTGACGATGTACTGAGTCCTCAGGGGAAGAGAAAATATGTCACACACACACACTTATGCACACCCATGCATCTTTCCTAATATTACATAAAAGGAATTTCCCACATAGGACTTCCTGAGTGACTCAGTAGATCATGTCCTCAACAGTATAGCTATAACAAATGCATTAATTCTCATGAATAGTGGTACAGTGTGATCTCTAAGGTCAAACTACGGGGGGATTTTCAAATGCTAGCTCTGTCACTTCATGGCAGTTTGACCTTGCACAAACCGTTAACCTTGTAGAGTTTCTTAGGGACGGTAGTAGCATCTACCACATAGTGTTATTGAGAGGATTCAGTGAGGTAATGTATGCAAAGTACTCAGGACAATGACTGGCATATAGCAAATCCTTAATGAGCATTTGCTATGGTATATTATAAGGTTAATTATTGTAATGTTACAAGTCTATGCTATAACTAACTCACTAGTTCAGGCTGGGAGGAATGCTATGCGAAATATTTTTAGTTCCAAAGATGCTCTTTTGGGTAGGTTGAAACAATTCCATTGACTTTTGCCTACATTATTAATGGCTTTTAGCATATAGTTCAGCTGTTTGATATTGCACATTTTGTTACTGCTAACTATGAAGCACTCTTGATCCCCGACAGATATTTTTTCCCTAATTGGTTGTTAATGCTGAACTTAGAAGGAATTTGTAAAAGAACCTACAAGTCAATTTTGGTAATCTTAGAGCTTTGAGTACTCATATGAAAATGTTCAGAAGAGAGGAAAAGGCAAGTTTTATTCTTTAATGATACTTGGGTGTTCTTGAACTGAATAGCTGAAACTGGAATAAATGCAAGGGAAGATGTTCTTTGGCACTTCTGTAGAAATTCTAGAATTACTGCTTGATACTACAGAAAATATCTAAGTTTTTCACAGTGAAGAGATGATTATAAACAAATGAAGCAATCACTATGAATGGAACAATAGTTTTGGGTAGGTTAAAATTATCTTTAGGATACATTTTAGAGAACACTTCGTAAATTATTAGGGTAACTTCTAGCTGTATCTGACATAGGATATTAACTTCATTCCTTGTAATAAGTATTGTCAGGGTAGCATCTTGCATATAAACTTTAACCTCTAATTATATGAAATGCAGGAAGAATGATGATTGTTTTCATAGATCAGGTTTAAAAATGATGTTTAAAATTTTTTTGTATCTTTCCCCCTCCCCAGAAAAGGGTCTGTTTTATTCAAACGTACCTTGTCCTTCTGTCAGTTGGTTTTTGCTGATGCAAAAGGTAGTTTCTCTGCTTTAGAAATAGCAGTTGCTTTTAGGAGATGCATTACTTGGTTGGTTTCCATGGCAGTTTTTGGTTATTGAAATCAGATGCAAATGAGGAATGGAAGTATGAAGAAGGTACTGGTGAATTTGAGGAGTAAGTGCCAACAGTTATTCATTTGCTTAGCTACAGATGTTGGTTCTATTAATATAAGACTACATTATAAGTTTAATTTTCTAGAATGAATTGTTTGTACTTTACCGATATGCTGCCATCTGTCTTAGGGTTTAATGAGTGAAAAACTTAAATATACTGAGGTACCTCTGTAGTGTTTATCACGTGTTTCAGTTTTGGGGTTTATTCATCATTATCATTTTACTCTGTTACTTGGTATAGAAAAGAAAATTAAAACTTTAAGACAGAATCATTATTCTCTATCAGTTAGATTATCACTAATCTTACATTTTATTTTAATTATATTTTTGTGCTTCTTTACTCAGAAGGGAACAGAATAGAGATTACAAAATGGTGCCTTGTAGGTATTTAAATCTTTTTCTTTTCATCATGACAGCTTACCATTGAATGTATTTTTAAAACACATTTAAATTTGTTGCCAACATTGGAAAATCTTGAGAGTTCACATAAAAATATTGATTTTTTTCACCTTCTTTTGAAAATATGGAACAAATGGCTTTGCTGGGCACATGTACTTACATGGCAACATCAACTGCACCTTCTAAAAGGGCTTTTCAGATCTTAAACCTAATTTGTTTTTCTCCTTTATTATACTTGCCTTATTTGTCATCTGAATTTGCTTGGAATATAGACAAAAGCATGATTTTAGGAAATCCAAAAGTGAGTTTGATTTTTCCTTTCTTGGTCATAACATCAAATGACTTTAGATGTAAATTCAAGCCAAAGTAACTCTTTAAAAAGTTTTATTATGAAAATAGAAACTTGCTAAGGCCTCATTTCCATTGAGTGTCAAGGTGGGAAATTGTCACCCAAAATTTTGCCATCCTCAAGATGATCACTTAACGTTTTCATTTTGAATCACCTGTTGTCCTTTCCATTCCTGTTACATTGTAAAATTAACACTCCACTAGGATGACTATAAACCAACTTAGAGCTCCTTGTTTTATAAGATGTCTCGGTTATCCATTGTCACCTGACCAATCACCGTCAAAGCTTTGTGGATTATAACAAACGAGAATTTTATTATTTCTCATTGTTCTTATAGGTTTGTAATTTGAGGAGGGCTGATCTGGCCATTGTTAACTCTGGGTGGCAGTCAGATCATGGCTGGAGGTGCAAAAGTGGGGGTCTAGAACAGCTGAGGGCTGACCCAGAAATTCTTTTTCCGTATCATCTCCTAACATCTCTATATAATACGGTCTTTTTACCTGGGCTAGTTTGGGCTTCTTCAGAGCATGGTGGCCTGAAGGTACTACTTAGCCAGCACATCAGGACTACCAAGTGAGTGTTCCAGCAAGCAAGGTGGAAGCTGAATCTCCTTTTTATGACTCAGCCTGTGAAGTCACATGATACCATTTTTACTATCTCTAATGGTCCAAACAGTCACAAAGGTCTGGCCTGTTATTAAGGCAAGAGGACATGGCCTCTCCCTCTTAGTGAAAGGAGTCTCAGAGTCACCTTGCAAGAAGAGCATGCAAGATGGGGGACAGCGTTGTGACTACCTTTGAGAATACAATTTGCTATAAGAGTTCATAATATCTTTGATGTTATTCCTGTTTCTTTTTTTAAATTTGGGCTTCATAAAAATCAGGCACATTAAAACATTCCATATTTAATATGTAAATGTCTTATACAATACTTTATTTCAGTTATCTAGAACTCATTTATATCTGACAAACTTACATATCTGAAACACTGACAAAGAAGTGTCTCCGAACAACTAATTTAGGAAGTAACACAACTAAGTTAGGATGTAACATTCTGTGGAATTGGATAGATGTTCTGTTACAAAGCACAGGTTTAGGAATTAGACATACCAGGGTTAAAATCTCAACTCTACTACCTGGCAGCTGTGTTACCTTGGGCAAATTTGTAAGCCTTTCTGAGCCTTAGTTTTGTCTGTAACAAGTAGACAAGGATAATGATACCTCAGGGTTTCGGCGTGGTGATTAAGTGATACAAAGCATGATCTAGTAGAAACTCTTGTCAGTGTTTAATCTCTTCCCCTTATCATTGTTCCAGTCTGAAACAATGCGTACGTATTTTCTAAGCCCTATAGCTGCAGACTTCCTTTATATCTCTTACTGATCTCTGATAGTCTCCTTAGACTTATTTATCTTTCTATCCCAAGATCTTTGTATTACAGGCATACTAAAGAATAGTAGGAATTGAATTTTATTTCTTTGTTTCTAATTTTTCTTGATAGCCAGTTAGTGTTTTACTTACTGTAAAGAATGAAAACTTAGGCTCTCAGCTTAATTTAAACCTCAGCTACAAAAAATAACATTGATATTTTTCAGAAAAATTATTTTTTTGAGTATGTAATATTGACAGCGTAAAAGGCCAGTGGTATCAACTGTCAGCCCGTCCAAGAATTAAGTTCTAAATATGTATTTTCTATTGCTTAATCTTATACTTGTTTTCTGTACTTTAATTCTATACTTAAATTCTGTGCTGAAGTACTTTCAGTTAATATTAATAAATCTCACATACTTGCATAGCACATTACTGAAAATTATATAAATGAAGTATGGTACTATGTTTATCTTTCTCAAAATATATTGATTTTTATTTATAATTGCATCAGAAACTCAACAGTATAGGAAATAATGTCCCCCTCCTATTTTACCTATTTAAAGCACCAGCACTCCTTCAGATTTTTTATGTTTCCATAAGTGTAGCTTTTTATTTTTCATAAGATAAATTTTTATAATTTGTCAAACTGTCAATTTGGTTGAGCCTTCTGCATTATAGCTTAATTTTTTAAAGCTGTGTAGCAAAAAAACACACAATTACTTACTGTATTTTAAAAGAATATTAGTATTATTTCCTTAGTCCTAATTATTAGTATAATTAGTATTATGACTCCCTGGCCTGCAATACTCTTAAGAATTTTTATAAGAGAAAGATATTATTGGTAAGTAATGTTTAATTTATTTTAACTGAAAGTTTAAACTGTTATGTTTAAACTGTTTATGGACTTAAGTACTGACATTAAAGAAGTTATTGTCTTTCTTAGACTTAAATTTTATTTTGAGAATTATGGAAAATTAGGTTACTTTAAATCACTTACTCTGTCATTACATGAGGCTTTTTGCATGACTGAAATACCTGTAATTACTGTGTCATTTTTGTCATAGTTGACTTAAAGGTGTAACTATAATAATCACGAACTAAATTCTTGGTGAGCAGCTGTGTAAGGCCATTTTAACAGCTGGGGTAACCCAGCTCAGCCTGTAAGAGTTAAGCTTAATCATGAGACAGGTTATGTTAAGTCATTGAAGACTTCATACTGGGCATTTCTGAAATACTTAGAAAATTCAGTGGGATAGTTGGATTTTTGTTTTATCTTAAGTACTTTTTAAAATGCTTAATGAAAGGATGAGGAAAAGTATTTTAACAACTAAAGTTCTTAGGCACAAATAATAGAAATAAAATCCAAAGTTTACTCATTAAAAAAAAAAAGTCAAATATACTCTATATGCTAGTGTTTAGACCACTACAGTAGGTAGGAGAGGAAAAAAATATATAAACACACACACATATTATTATAGTATAATATGGAATCAGAAAAATCCTGAGGTTATTTTTCTTGAATTTCATCTTTTAAAAATTTTTTTAAAAATCATTATGCCTGTAGCTTCTTTCCAATAAAAATGTTTTCTTATTACTATACAAAAACATTTAGAGCACAGGCATACATGCCTTTTGTAAAAGAAGGCAGACACAAAAGAATTGAAACAATGCATTTTATTTGGATATATTTTATAAACTAGCTATATTGTTCACTAAACTATAATAAAGGAAAGCTCACCAAATTGAACCTTCTTACAAGAAGGCCATATATGTAATATTATTAGAGCTGTAATATGCTTTTTTTTGGTATAAATTTAAGGGGTACTCTAGTTTTTTTTACATGGATATATTACATAGTGGTGAAATTTGGGCCTTTAGTGTACCTGTCACCCAAATAGTATACATTGTACCCGTTAAGTGATTTCTCATCTCTCAGCATCCTCCCTGCATGTCACCCTTCTGAGTCTCTTAATATCTATTACTACACACTCCATGTTCATGTGTACACTTTACTTAGCTTTCACTTGTAAGTGAAACGTGGTATTTGACTTTCTGTTTCTGTGTTGTTTCACTGAAGAATCACCTCCAATTCCATCCATGTTGCTGCAAAAGACATTTCATTCTTTTTTATAGCTGAATAGTATTCCATTTGTGTGTGTGTGTAAACATATATATATGTGGGTTAGTTATCATAGTTGACTTAAAGTTATAACTATTATAATCACCAACTAAATTCTTGGGCATCTTTAAAATAATGATTTCTTTTCTTTTGGGTAGATGCCCAGTAGTGGGATTGCTGGATCAAATGATAGTTCTATTATTAGTTCTCTGAGAAATCTCCATAATGTTTTCCATAGAGATTGTACTAATTTGCATTCCCACCAACACCGTATAAGCATTTCTTTTTCTCCACATCCTCGCCAACATCTATTATTTTTTGTCTTTTTAATAATAGCCATTCTGAATGGTGTGAGATGAGATCTCATTGTGGTTTTACTTTGCATTTCTTTGATAATGATGTTGAACATTTTTTCATGCTTGTAGGCATGAAAAAATATGTATGTCTTCTTTTGAGAAGTATTTATTCATGTTCTTTTCCCACTTTTTAATGAAGTTAATTTGGTTTTTGTTGTTGAGTTGCCTGTCAATTCTGCATATCAGCCCCCTGTTAGAAGCATAGTTTGCAAATATTTTCTCCCATTCTGTAGGTTGTCTTTTCATTCTGTTGATTTAGAGATGTAATGTACTCTTAAACCTGCAAGGGACTTAATCTCAATCATCTGAAGAGAAGTCAGATAGTCTATATCTATTAAATATTTAGCCTCCTCTTTGTAGAAATCTGAAGTATAAACTCCAGGTAATTGTACTGCAAGACATTAAATAGTTAAGGTTCCTGAATCTTGGAGTTTCTGGTGTACCATGGGATGGTTTTGTCATCTGTCAACTTATAATTTATTAGCACTTGTTTTGGTTGGTTTTCTGTGTTTTACTTTTTAATTTATAATGTATTTTCAGCAAAATTTTTGGAAATAACTGGAATATAAAACAGCTTAAATGTCTAACATTGAGATGTTGATTCCATAAATCAGAGCAGTTACAATACCTTATATAATCTAGTATTCTGGCATTTTTATTTTGAGAATGCTACCTATCTGTGCATATAGGCATGTACATGCAATGCTTTTATTTTGCAAATGTCCAATTATCAGGTCACATTTTTATAACACTTGTGTATGTTGTATGTGCTGCTTCAGAACCCAAGCATATTTCTCTTAGTTAGGGGCCGCCCTTGTTGCCCAAATGAAGAAAATTAGCAGGGAAGTGCAGTATGTTGTCCATTGAATGTTTACATACATGTAATGTCTCAAATACATTATAATTGGAAGTTGTAATCTGAGTGAGCACTTTGAGCATGTAAATAAATATCTTTTAGAACATTTTTAGTAATCATTTTAAATGTGATTTTAATCTTATAAAAACATTTTAATTTATTTGACATACCTTTTGTGAATACTAAAGCTTAAAAAAAAAATACTAAAACTTTAAAAGATATCCTGACCAGGCGCTGTGGCTCACGCCTGTAATCCCAGCACTTTGGGAGGCCGAGGTGGGCGGATCACAAGGTCAGGAGTTCGAGACCAGCCTGGCCAACATAGTAAAACCCTGTCTCTACTAAAAATAACAAAAATTAGCTGGGCGTGGTGGTGGGCACCTGTAATCCCAGCTGCTCAGGAGACTGAGGCAGGAGAATTGCTTGAACCTGGGAGGCGGAGGTTGCAGTGAGCCGACATTACACCACTGCACTCCAGCCTAGGCAACAGAGCAAGACTCAGTCTCAAAAAAAAAAAAAAAAAAGGTATGCCATGTTTTTTTTCTTTGATGCCCAATCTAATTGTATTTATGTTTCTGCATTTAAAGTAATATGTTGCTTGCTGGATGTTTTTTTTTTTTTTTTTACAGTTTTTGCTAATACAAGCTTGATAATTTATCATTAAGCAGAGGGTTTAATTTATTGATTTATGATTGTTTTCCTCTGTGTTTAAATTGTTCCGTCTTCAACCATGAATTGCGTTCATTTGTGAATTGCTTGGTAGGGAAATACTTTAATACTCTGATATCTATGATGTTAGGAAGACTAAAAACTGATTTGGTAGATAAAATAATCTGCTTTACTCTGTATCTGTGAAATAAGTGAGTATGCTTGATAATACCATATTATCTGATCAGAAGGATTTTGATTCTGATTTATTGCACTTCAGTAATGGTATACTTTTTAGCATGTGGGACTTTCTGTTTCTACAACAGAGTAAGTCACTTGTTGCCTGAATTCACAGAAGCAGTGAATAATACTGAATTCAAATAACATACGTTGATATTATTCCTGTGAAAGTTTTTGAGGTAAGACTTTGAAAACTCTTGGTATAAAGTCAATTTGAATTTGCAGGGAGATTTACATCTTCTGAGTGATTTGTTTTAGCTGATTCAGGAATAATTTATGAAAAATGGAAAATCTTTGTGCTGCTCATATGCTGTGGCTTTGGTCAGGAGCAGTTAAATTTCTAGCCTTTTGTATAATACTGAATGAAAGAAAAGATGGAAATCCAGAGTAAATTGCTGTGATGGTATTTTTATTGTTGTTACAAGAGAATTGGAGTGCTTGGACTTGTAATGCATTTTACAGATACCGTATTGGTGATATTTTATTACATGTCACATTTATATATAATTGTTTTTACGGATGCAAATTTTTAGAAGAAAGAAAATCAGGGAGTGATAAGTGGGCAAAATAAGTTACCTTATATAAAGACCTTTTCTTTACTACAAGTTCCCTAATGTTTAGCCCATCTTGGATGATCAGTGGTATCTGGAATCTTAAAATGCCAAGACACTATGGCTAAGATACTACAGCTTCATATTTTGGCAAAAATTTTGACAGAATTATAGAAGTCTTTCTGAAACTTACAAATAATATGTTTTAAAATATTCTTTTCCAAAGTTATTATAGATGGATTTTAGAATCTGCTTTATTTCCTGGTGATTTTAAAATTGGAAATGTAATCTACAAAGCTCTATGTGATTTTTGATTCCATTAATAGTAGTAGTAATCATAATGACAGTTTAATTAACACTATCGAACACTTACTAGATGTGAGGCGTTACTCTGTATACTTATATCAACTAATTTTTAATCCTCACAACAGTCCTATGAGTACTGCCTAGGTGAACTTGAGACACGAATTAAATTAAGGTCATACCTGGTAAAGCCAGGATTTGGACTAAGTTAGTTTGGTTCTGGAGTCCATGTTCCTACCTATCATATTGCACTGCCTTATTATTTGTGGTATCATCTTTAAAAGAGCTTGTCTGTTTTTAAGAGTCTCAATTTGGGTAGTAATTAAAGAGTATCTTTAATGTTTTTAAGAGTAGAATTGAGACTCAGACTTTATCTTTTCTTGAACACATGGAATTAGCTACATTTTGAAGTATTAACAGTTGGGGTTCTTATATACCTTGTCTATGATTTCCCTCATTTATTAGGGTTTTTGTCTATATTTGAAGGTTTGTTTTTTTAGTGTTTCGTGTTGATTGGGAATATCGCATTAGAAATACTGTTACTTGAATCCTCCCAAAAAAATGAAACTTGTAGTATATATATTTGGAAATTAGTACTCACTTTGCCCAATCATTGATAATGTCTTCTTTTTCCAAAAATATATTATGACAAACACAGGATTCTGTTACAGCGTTTGGTTTGCCACAGTTGCAATGCCCTGTATTATCCAGTTGAGGGCAGCTATTTACTGATTTAAAAAAATAATAATTGAATTAGAATGTTACCCCCTTGTGCTTACCAAAACTTGGTATCCACTAAAAAACTCCACATTTGAGGTACAAACAGCCTTAATTGTGTTCACTTATGTTTTGTTTCTGTTGTCATTGTAAATTATTTCATGAAAATGAAAAGCCTAGCTTTACTTCATAGTAACTTTTGGTCTCTTAGAAACTAGAAACTGTTGATTTTAGTTTTAATTTTCCCAATCCAAGTTCTTTTCAATTCTAAATCTTTTTTCCCCCCGTTAGGATCAGACTCATTGAGATCAGGGATTTTCTTATCTTTAAAATGTCTGCATGTAAATACATGTGACTTTAGAGTTCTTTGAGGGCTTTTAAATGTAAAAGTGAAAATTTATAATATTGAATACATTATCTTTATTAACCAGTGGAATAACCACTGATGGCTAACTAGGTCTTTGATTCATTTTTCTAAATGCCAAATGAACATGTTAAACTCGTAGAATATATTACCCTCTTCTAATTTTTCTGCATTGGAGTATCACATTGTTAAAATTGTATCTTCTATGTAGTTCAGGAAAAGAAATTCAGGGGGGTTAATTATCCAATTGATTTCAAAGGTATCACTGAGACAGAATTTTTTTGAAAATAATCTCAGACTGCAGAAAACTGTTGTAATATTAACAGGTAGTGTTAGTAACTGAGATAAGGATATTCCATGGGACCTACTTTAGCAAAAGGGATTGTCTAATGAGAGAAGGACAAAATATGACATATGTTTCACAAACAAAACAATTAGTCTTATGTTGGAAAATAAAGTGAACATCTGAGGAGATGCTAAGACTAGCATGAACCTAGTATTCATTCTGCAGGATAGTAAGTTGTCTCATAGGGCTGTAGACATGGTATCTTGGATATCATTCTCACTTTTTTTCTACTACCAGTTTATAGGTTTCCAACACTCTCATATTATCTCTTCTCTCTCCTAACCTTAGATCTCTCGAGGTTTTTTTGGTGATGATTATTCCATTTTCAATCATTTACTTTTTTGTTTAAAAACATTTAAAATTTATGGTTAAATATCCATAACATGAAATTTAATATTTTAACCATGTTTAAGTATACAATTCAGTGGCACTAAATATATTTACATTGTTATACAACCATTACCACTATCCATCTTCAGAATATTTTCATTTTCTCCTACTGAAACTCTGTGCCAACTAAACACTAACTCTCATTTCCCCCTCTCCCTGTCTCAGACAACCATGATTCTGTTTTCTATCTATGCAAATTTAAGTATTCCAAGTACCTTATATAAGTGGATCATACACTATCCTTTTTTGACTGACTTATTTTACTTAGTATAGTATCTTCAAGGTTCATGCATGTTGTAGCATATGTCAGAATTTCCTTCTTTTTCAGAGCTGAATAATGTTCCCTTGTTTGTATATGTCACATTTTGTTTATTCATTCATTCATTGAGACTTGAGTTGCTTCTACCTTTTGGCTATTGTTAATAAGGCTGCTATAAGCATGTGTATACAGGTATCTGTTCAAGTCTCTGCTTTTAATTATTTAAGGTATATACTCAGAAGTGGAAATGCTGGATCATGTGCTGATTTTATGTTTAAATTGTTGAGGAACTGCCATACTATTTTCTACAGCAGCTACATTCATTCATTTCACATTGCCGCCAAGGATGCACAAGGGTTCTGATTTCCCCACATCCTAGCCCATGCTTGTTGTTTACTGTTTTGTTTTGTTTTAAAACCATCCTAATGGATGTGAAGTGGTAGCGCATTGTGGCTTTGATTTGCATTTCCCTAATTAGTGATGTTGAGCATCTTTTCATGTGCCTATTGACCATTTACATATCTTTGGAGAAATCTGTTTTTGTGTAGCATTGCTGCCAGTGATTTTGCATTTTTAACTACATTTTAAATTGTGGTATAAGAGAAAGGTCTACTAATAGGAATGGGACTATTTCTTGTGCATAGATTGCCTTCCCAGCAGCCCACTTTAATATTTAGCAATGCTAATCTTTCCAAAGTCAAAAAGAAATCACCCATTTCTAACTTTCTCCTTTCAAATCCTTTCTTGTCTCCGTCAAAATTCCTGCTATAAAACTCCATAAAAGCTTGGAAGTTAAAAGTTGGAAGGAGAGATAAGTGGAGCTGACTGGCTGTTGGAAGAAGAAAATAGAATGGAAAGAGAGAATAGTTGATTGAGCACTGTGAATGGATAGTTCACAATCATTATCTACTATCTGTTAGGAATATGGATTATAGTATAAAGATTAATTAACACTTGCACAAATGGTTAATTTAGGGAAATATTTGAGATAATGCTGGAAAGTTTAGTTTGGGGCCACTTTGAAGAGAGTCTTCATCTCCAGACTTTATCTTAGGCCGTGGAGAACCATTGAAGGTTCTTGAGGAGTAAACGGCACACTGCATTCCCTCTCTGTGTTTTAGGAAGATTTATCTGACCATACTGTGAAGGAGAAATTAGGCACTAGGGATTTGCAATGGACTGGCTAGTTACTCTCCCATTTTACTATAATTACTTCCCATCATAGATTACTTTATAAATAAATACACTTTTTACATGTCTTTAATCAGTTGGGTGACTGTTATGCTTTCAAGTATAATCAATAAGTTTTTCAGAATTAAAGATTGACAATTGAAAACTCTGGTACAAAGATTAATCTGAAGTGTGTATTAATAGCTATTAGAGAACCAGAGTATACAGTATTTAATGTCTAGTGAGTATGAGATAAAGAATGGTGTGTATGGAAAAGGGAAAGAGAGCACACACTTGAAAATAGTGCTCATTATAATATATCTAAGGTAGAACAAACATACATATGTGTGTGTGTTTTTTTTAAACCATACGTAAACACAGTTCAAAAAATTCAAAACAAAATTTGTAACAGAATTCAAAACATTCCTAAAATATTAATGCTGACATTTGGATAAGGAAGACTTAATAGATACTCAAGATACAATGTTTGTTTTTTTTATTTTATTTTTGTAAGTAAAAATTTACTTTCACTTTCTAGGAAACACTCTTAGATTAGTTAGTTGGAGAAATATTAAAAGGGACCTTACAGCACAGCCCTGCTTTGGTTGTGTTCACATTACTGACTTTGTATGAGAGGTTCACCAGCTGTTTGACTGGCAGGAGCAGGAGCTTTCACTTCAGTAGTTTATAATTCCTGGCTATTCTAGGATAGTTTGCACTTCACCAAGCCTCAGACAGGTCAGGACATTTGGTAGGGGAAGGTTGAAAGACAAAAGCAGCAGGCCTTGGGTTCTCAGCCTTTTAAAAACTATTATTAAATATATATTTTTAAAATTTAGTGGTTAGAGCTTTTAGTAATGTGCCTGTATTACATGTAGAGAGTATTCGTCAACCAAGAGGAGTTTTAAAATGTCAAAACCGGGAAAACCTACTCTAAACCATGGCTTGGTTCCTGTTGATCTTAAAAGTGCAAAAGAGCCTCTACCACATCAAACTGTGATGAAGATATTTAGCATTAGCATCATTGCCCAAGGCCTCCCTTTTTGTCGAAGACGGGTAAGTCTCACACATTTGAAAAATATGAATGTTTATTTAAGTGAAGTACCTTGGCCTCTTTTAGTGAAAAGATGCCTCAAATTTCAGTTTTTATTTAAAATTAAAACTATCAATGCATTGTGTAGCCAGTAAACACTTATATAAGTGATAGTTTTATAATATGATATAGAGCCTAGAAGATAGGGTTACCCAGTTCACCTTTTTCTCTCATTTATTTTTCATGAAATTAGAATCCTGCAGATTTATCTAAAATTAGTAAATGTAAAAAGGTATGTTTTGAAATACGTTGACAAATATTAGCACTGTAAATTTGTAGTTTTTGCATGAAAGGCAAAAAGTTGATGGTATTCTCCTTATACATGGGAAATACAGCATTTCATTCGTTAAAAAGTGTTCCAAATCCTTAGGCTTCTTTGGCCTCTTAAGCTGTATTATTTTTTTAAATTGCTATTCCTTACATTCAAACTTAATAGGAACACTACTTTTTGCTGTTATATAAAATAAAAATAGCATGCTATTGTGTGGCAGTTACGATATGGTTTATATATAGACAATCCTGAACTAACAAACATTTTGTAGAACTTGTATGATCTATTGGATGTTTCTCAGGATTACGTACTCCTCTCCCTGGTCAACAAGTTTTAACCCTGTTAACATGAGCAATTTTTTGTATTTCCTGAGTTAATTTAAATTGCCAGTTTCAAATTATTTATTAGAGTGATATATTTTTAGATCTAACATAGGTTTATGAGCCTGAAACAAACAAACAAACCACTGCTTGGGATTAAATGAGTGTATTTGTGTATATCAACACTGTTAGGGTTCTATCTTTTTGTGCGTTTCTTAAAGTTTTATTTTGTTTTTAATTGACACATAATTGTATTGTACTTTTTCTTTTAGCTAAAGGGGAAATATTCTATTAAATAGAATAATCCATAACACTGGAAGAATATTTTTCCTCCTTAATAAAGAGAATCTTCTATTTGCTGGAACTTAACCTTCATAAAAACATATTTTCTAGTTAGCTTAGTTCTTTTTGAGTAGTTTCCACTTCTACGCCAAACAAGTGGCAGCCATGTTGGAAAACTTTTACATGAGGTTAAAATGTAATACAGTTTAAACATCGAAAACAGAATACAAATATCCCCAGCACCCTCTTGTTACTTTTGTACTTTACTGTTTTAAGAAAGTGTTTGTTTTATTTTGTCTGCTTTCACCTTGTCATTTTAGTAGCTTCTTCTGAATGAGGTCACTGCTCTGATTTGAGTATTTTATAGAGGCCTCTAATAGCTTTAAAGTCACTAATAAACTAATTTATTATCTTATACCCCTGTAAAAGAAAATACCAATACAAATAAAATTAAAAATTGAGAAAAAGAAGTGTAGGGCTTTTTAAAATTAAAGGGTTAAGATGTTAATAATCAAGTTAATTTTTTTATTGAATATTTTTAATAAACAAGTACATATGGGAGATTGCCTCATTATGTTACAGTATATATTTCCTGTCTTTGTCTTCTAACATGGACATTAAGTTTAAAAGACATAGGAGAAGATTCTGTAAGATAAATTAATAGAGAACTGTAAGGCTTTCCTGAGGGCTTTCTGGGGTCACTATTTAATTTGACTTTTCTAGGTTACTGTGTTATGTTAAATTATAGCCTTGCAGTTGTAATAGCAGAATAAAACTAAATATTAAAAATGAAATTCATATTAAAATTTTTAGAAGATATTTAAAAAACAAAATGAACACATTCAATTTTAGCCTGCCGGCCAATAATTTACTATTGCATAACTCATTGACTCTGACTACTAGAAATATTAGAGGGATTGTGAAATTATATCCTTTCTTTCCTTTTGCAAATGGTTAGTTGATTTACATTTTCTGTGTTATTTATTAACTTTCCCATTTTTCTTTATTAGAAATTTTAAAGATATTTTTAATATGTTATAATTAATAATATTTTGTACCTGACGTATTGTATGGCTTTTACATCGGGTATTTTTACTTTCTTTCAAGCAGATTGCTATACACCTTGACAACAAAGCACACAAAGCAAACATTCTTCTGTATTTTACAGACCACTTTTTTCCTTCTAAGTCATGAGCTGAATGTAATGTATAGTTATTGCTTATGAGACTATATGCAGTCTTGATCTATTAAAATTTGAAAGCATGGTATTTTCCTTCCAGTCATCATAGATACTGAGTCAAGTTAATGTTTGCACAGTTAATATTTTGGACAGAATAAAAAAAGTTTGAAAATAGTGGAAAAAATTTTAAGGTAGCAGTAATAACTATAACTTCAATTTATATCTCTTCAAATATTTTCAGGAAATTAATTTACCTTACTATTAAGTGTAATATTAGTACTGGTAGTTAATGTATTATATAAATTATTCTAGCTGCTCATCTGAGATAATTTATAAGCATTGGATTTAATACTAACAACAGTAAATAAATAGCAACCTAGCTATTAATCATTTACCTTCAAATGAAAATGTTTTTAGGCCAGGCATGGTGGGTCACGCCTGTAATCCCAACACTTTGGGGGCCAAGGTAGGAGGATTTCTTGAACCCAGGAGTTAGAGGTTGCAGTGAGCTGTGATGGCACCACTGCACTCCAGCTTGGGTGACAGAGTGAGACCTTGCCTCTGAAAAAAAACTAAAATTAGAAGAGAGAAAGAAAAAAATGTTTTTAGTCTTGCAGTCCTCATAATTTGTTTGTGTTTTCTCAGATTTTCCTGGTCATAAATATCAGCTGGAATACTTACTAAAAATAAGTTCTGCAGGTATTTCTTAGTATCAGAAAAATTTGGGAATACAATTTTTAACTAAAAAAAGCCTTGGTTGTCTTTTAAGGGAAGATAAATTTTACAGGAAAAAATTATTTAACCTATAAAATAATTAGGTAAAGATATTTAAAATAACCAGTTATTTTGTAGGTTATAGAAAAATAACTATTTTTTATTTGAAATTGGAATGCCTAATTATGGTAATGTTATATTTCTTAAATCCTAAGATGCATTATTTTTTCACATTATAAGCATATATGAAATAAGGATACATCTTGATGGCACTAGATAGCTTACCTAGCAACATTTTTTTCTTTCTAGTAATAAGAGAAATTATATTAAGATGCAGCTTACAACTAATAATTGCATGGTTTTTTGTTTTGCTTTTTTTGGGACAGTGTCTCACTCTGTCTCCCAGGCTGGAGTGTAGTGGCGCCATCTTGGCTTACTGCAGCCTTCATCTCCTGGGTGCAAGAGATCCTCCCACCTCAGCCTCCCAAGTAGCTGGGACTACAGGTGCATGCCACCGCATCTGGCTAATTTTTGTATTTTTGTAGAGATGGGGTTTCACCATGTTGCCCAGGCTGGTCTTGAACTCCTGGACTCAAATGTTTTATCTGCTCGCCTCAGCCTCCAAAAGTGCTGGGACTACAGGCATGAACCACCATGCCCGGCATAATAAGTGTATGTTGAAAGAAAATGGACTTTTAATGCATAAATTTCATCTCTTGACTCATTTTGTTTTTGTTTGGAGCACTTTTAAGCATTTAGAATATTCTCTTAAAATTATTCTTCAGTGTTACTATTTTAGTAGAAATTTCCAAATGACATGCAATTGTTGGTTTATTTGGGACTTAAATATATCTGGTTTGACTGCTGGTTTATAGACAAATATTGTATTTAGAGTGCCTCCTATATTCTTGAGTTTGTGTAGCATAGGCATCAGCAACACAGGAGAGAATGGAGTAGAGCTTTGGTGGAAAGGATGGAGCACAGATAAGGGACAAGGATTTATGCATCTGAGACCCAGGAACTCAGGAAATAGTGAAATATACAACTGACGTTTCCAGTAGTTGAAAATAATTTCATAGTGATTATATTCTATATCAAATTCTATTCCAAATACTGTACTTAAAATTATTTTTCTTTAAAATAAAAATAGAAATAAAAGTAGAATATTTGTGTGTCATTTGAAAAGGTGTTACTGTCACATCTTATGTATCGTCATCTTAAATCAGGAGTCCACATGCTTTTTCTGCAAAGGGCCAGTAAATATTTTAGGCTTTGTGGACCGTGTAGTTGGCCTCTGTTGCACTCAGCTCTCTCTGCCTTTCTATCATGAAAGCAGCCACAGACAGTACTTAAACAAATAGGCATGACTGTGTTTTAATAAAATGTTATTTATAAAAACAGTGAAAAACAGGTTTTTACTGTTACAACAGTACTGTAGTAAATTTTCTTTTGCATATAGCTTTTTGCTTGTGTAAGTTTCATTTTATGGTGAGTTTTTAGAATGGGGTTCTGGAGCTTTAAGCCATTACTTTCCTTTATAAGACTCATTTTCTCTAGTTCCTTTGTGTTTGTGGGAGGAAGAATTTTATTTTTGCGTATCTAATCACTCTGATTTTTTTTTTTTTTTTTTGAGACAGACTCTTCCTCTGTCACCTAGGCTGGTGCGATCTTAGCTTACTGCAACCTTCTCCTTCCAGGTTCAAGCGATTATCCTGCCGCAGCCTCCTGAGTAGCTGGGACTATAGGTGCCCACCACCATGCCCAGCTAACTTTTTTTTTTTTTTTTGATATTTTTAGTAGAGACAGGGCTCCACCATGTTGGCCAGGCTGGTCTCGAACTCCTGACCGCAGTTGATCCACCTGCCTCGGTCTCCCAGAGGGCTGGGATTACAGGCAGAGCCACCGTGCCTGGCCTAATCACTAGAATTTTAACATACTGCTTTTTATTATTTATCTTCTAAATGTATAATAATGGTATTGATGATTTCTATCATTTTAAAAGAGCCAACTATGTATTCTAGGTACTCCTCAGCTACTTTTTATATTTTAATCCATTTAATCCTTAAATAGTTTAAATGTTAATGAAACAATGTAAGTTTTATCTCCATTCAGTAGATGAGAAAACTGAGGCTCAGACAAGTGAATAACTCTCCCAGTTTTCCAGGTAGTTCGGAACGCTGGTATTTAATCTCAGGACTCTCTAATGCTGCAGGTACTGGCTGTTCTTTTACTATGCTTTGTAACATATACATTTTTTTTCTTGTGAACTTAACACGTTTCAACTATTAGTATTTTGTAGGGTTAGTCTGGGGGCCTATTGCTGTTGACATTGTTTCTATGAGACAATACAAAGTTTCAAACAGTTGACTTACAAATAATTTTTGTAGCACCGTCCCTTTATAAATTTAAAATTTTTTGTGTAATCCCTTTTAAGTTTTTTTTTTCCTTTTTAGTTATAGAGTTATCTCACAGATTATGTAACAATTTTAGTCATGAAAAAACTGGAAATATTCAGACCGTATGCATGTTTGTCCTGTGTCTTTTTGTAAACTGAGGGATGATACTTCAGGGTCTGGGGTCAGGCAACTGAGAACAGGGTGCCTAACAGGTGACTATCCTCAAAAGACAATGCAGTACCATTCTCATCAGTTAATCAATTAGTACTTTTGACAATTATGACCAAAAAAAAACACAGCACCTCTCATAGGACCTCTTAGCAATACTGTGTTAGGTTCAGGTTTTTCTTCATTGTTCAGTTATTCATGATAATAGACAAGCCTATATTCAAAATTTTAATCTTCTCATTCTCATAACAAATTAGTCCATAACCTAATTTGTTGTTTTTGTATGTATAAACTTCAGTTAGTTCAAGGGGTGTATAATTTTAATCTATTATACTCCTGTAGTAGACTGTTGGGTTTGTTAGAACTTTTCAGCAAGGTCTGCTAGGCTTATTAAACAGTCGTATTGCTTTTGTTTCAGAAAATAACATCTCTAATTATTTATTCTACAATAAAATTTTCATTAATATGAAGATTTTATACATACCCAAAACACCGACCATCATAAGCTCTGTTGGTAAAGCAAATTTGGGAATTATTACCCTCCCAAATTTAGTAATTTAATATCCTCCAAAGTCTGAGTTCAATGGCTATATAATGAATTTTTATTTCCCTCCAATATTTAATATCTTTTACTTCTCTTTATAAAACTATTAGACATGTTAAATATGTAATGTAGAAAAGGCACTTGTCTTTACAGTGTCCTAAATTATTAGTAATCTCACGGGTCAGAAATAACCACAATAAGGATTTTAAGCATATAATTTTTTAAACAAAACTGCCACTTTAATTCATTTTTAATATACTGCTAGTATTTTCCCATGGCTGTAGGTATTCAAAAGTATATAATCTGCCATATAAATATATCGTAATTTCTCACTATTGTTGATTTAGATTGTGACCTGCTTTGAACATCGTTATGCATAAATTTAACCACATCACTGTACACAGATTTCTACAAGTAGTTTTATTGGGTCAAGGAGTGTGAACTTCTTTAGATTCTTGATAAATATTATTAAATTTTTTCAGAAAAAATTGTATCAGTTCAAAAACAGCATGGGGTTTCTAATGTTACAAGACATTATATTTTAAAGCACATTTATTCTTATGGCAAAGCTTTGTGGACTTTACTTAGCTGATACTGTATCATTGTACTTCCATGTTTATTATTCTAGGTTTTCTGTGAACTGAATTTTCATTTTGAGAAAATAACGATATATGTTTTTACTTAAGGCCTCATAAGGAAAATATATCAATTGATTAAAAAATTATTTGTCGCTCATAGTGATTTTATTTTTTATTCTTATAGGAGATAATATTTGCCATAGACTTGTCACCTATATTATTTTCAACTGTAATTTTCTTCTATTCTTTTCATCGTTTTAAAACTGTGATCTGTGTTTTTATCTAAATAGATGACCCACATGTATGATTTGATAATTTATTATTGATTCAACATATTTTTTATATGGAGAGTCTTATGGTTGTCTCATTTTTTGTCACATTAGATTATACTTTTACATTTCTGAATTTTAGCATGGTATCTTTACAGTATAAGTGACAACCTCTCCCAAAGTATATAGCTATTAATAATCTCTACTGTAAGAGTACTTCTCATGCTAGCAGGAGCAGCTGCCAGAAATACTTGCCTGTTTCCTATAGCACTGTTACTTAGCATTACATTTCTGTCATAGCTTTGTCATTTAGCCCCAATCCTGGTTTGCCTTAAAAAAAAAAATTCTAGTCTAGCTATGATTAATTCTCATTTAAAGTAGTTGTAGCAAGTCTCCTCTTCTAAAATGTCTTGATGACTAAAAGGGATTTCACGAAACTCAACATCACTTTCATAGAACTCTTAGCCAAGTAAAAATATATTGATACCTCCTTAACATACGGAAATATAAAACGTTTTAAAAGCCAGCATCATCCCCCCCCCTCCTGTAACTAGTCTATTTGGTATCCACTGGTTACATTTGTGCCTGTTTTTCTACATCCTTTCCATGACCTCATGGTCCAGCTTACCTCTCTCTTGAAACCTCCCTTCTGGCACTGGTTTCATCCACTGTTGTCCTCAATTATTGCTGTTATCTTTGGTCCTTAGGCATACTATATGGGCTGCTCAATGATGTTATATGACAACTTTGTATAGATATCTCCTTGGTTAGGTTATAAACTCTTACAATTCAGAGGTTATTTTTAATACCTTTTTATGCTTCCAGAGATATGCAGGAGAAAGTTAGTATAAATATTTCTATGGCTGATTCATTGAAGTGTCTGTTAAACTTGGAAAAATCCTTAAGGAATTTTTGTGCTGTAAGAATGTGGCTTGTTTTTGTTTACTAAATGTTTTTAAGTGACTGTGCAGCTGTGATTTTGAATATTTCATTTTCTAAATTTAACGAAACTCAGATACAGTTTGACACTTAATTTTAAAAGTAATTACTATGTACTAATTTTGAAAATGAAAAAGAAACACACATGGTATAGTCATTTAGGTGGTACTTTTGGGAGTCTAGAGTAGCTCCTAAATATCAGAAAATGCTGAAATAGAGAAAAAAAATACAGTACTTTGAAGAGAAGAAAGAATAGGGTGGTGGTATGAGCAAATTTAGAGAGGGAATTTAATAGGGTACCTGTTTTGTGGTGGGGTTTTTTTGGTTTGTTTTGTTTTTGTTTGTTTGTTTTTGAGTGAGGAAACTAAAATGTGGCTTTCTAAGCTTCTCTTACTTGCATATATCTTCCATTGGTACTTGGAAAATATAAACATTTCCAGATCCTTTGGTGTTTTTTATGGTCACTACTTACTTTATCAATAAAGGCATTAATTACTGTCAGTTATCACATATCAGACCATTCTATTTTAGATCCTTTGGTCTTTTTCTCTTTAAGAATGTTTCACACATCATGCATCAACATGAGTAAGCAATGTAATTGTCGGTTTTCTTTGCATTCTCTGTGCTGTGCAAGCCACCGGCTATAAATAAGATGATGATCCCCCATGCCCATGCACAAATGAAAAGTCACAGTGATAAAACTACAAACAAACCATTATAGTACAAAATAATAACTGCTTAAATGGACCTACGTACAAAGTACTGTCAGAGTATGAGGAGGCACTCAGAGCTCAATATGAGTGGTTCAGGAAGGGCTTCACAGTAACCCTGAATTAAAACATGAAGATGTTTGCTAAGTAGGTGATCAGAGGAGTGATAGAGGGAACTTGTATCATTGCTTGGGATCGTGTCTTGTCTTATGTTTTTTCATATTAAGTATACTGCTGCAAATTACATCTTGCCGTCAATTTATTAATGTTGAAAAAATACGTATTGAGCACCTAGAGTAGAGAACTTTC
Source organism: Homo sapiens (assembly GCF_000001405.40). Classification (NCBI taxonomy): domain Eukaryota; kingdom Metazoa; phylum Chordata; class Mammalia; order Primates; family Hominidae; genus Homo; species Homo sapiens. Next base: position 152,373,471 of record NC_000004.12, on the reverse strand, counting down.
CTAGAAACTGTAGATATAACAGTGAACTTGATAGACAAAGGCCATGCCCTCATGGAGCTTAGATTGTAGTTTGGGGAGACAGAAAATAAATACTACTGTTAATATTTTGATGACAGTAAAATAGGGTAATAGAATAAGGTATGATTTGGGATGTAGAAGAGGCACTACTCTAGTTACTTTCTATACATAAACTCATTTAATCCTTAAAATCACCTTGTGAAGTACGTTGTATTGTATTTTACCTGTTTTACACGTGAGGAATCTCAGGCATAGGAAGGTTCTTGCCCCTTAGCTAGTAAGTAATGTAGCTAGGACACTAACTCAAGCAGTCTTATTCCAGCATCACAGCCACTGCAGGAAACGGATCTGGAGTAGGCATTTGTTGAACAGACCCTTAGTGTCCAAATGTTTTAAGGGTTAACTTTTGCCATATAATCTTGGAATTTTAAATGTGTAATTCTCACCTTTCCCAACAATTTATGATGGTCTCAATATCTAATTACTGATAATACTGCCTTCTGTATGTTTTTGTCATCAGATGATGTTTTAGTATTGGGTTGTGCCCTAGTTGTCAGATAGGAGTACAAAGCGACTTAGCACATGATTTATAAATCTGTAACTACACTATGGAAACAACTTGTATGATTTTGTCTTTTATGTAACAAATTTTTAATTAGGTAACAATTTGTATAATTTTGACATCAAAGGGCAAGGCTATTTAAATTTGTAAATATAAACTAAGTTAGGTTTTACAGAAACTAACTTAATGTTGAGGCTTGTAATATAGAAGACAGATGAAAAATATGCTAAAAATAAACTTGGAACTAAGCTCCTGGCAAGGTAAACAAGTGTGAAATAAGTCCACAGTCCCTTGTCTGCAAAGCAGAAATCCATCATGCTCTGAAAACTGAAAATTTAAAAATAAAGGTAGCAAAACCTAACCCAAACTAACATAAAACAGTCATCTTTATTATTTATCTGAATATTCATATATTTTGCTGGAGAAACACTAATGTGTGATATACTGGAAGTGCTCTGTAATAAATAGTATATGCACTCTGTTACCTTTCTACAATTCAAAATATTCTGAATTTAGGAACACAGCTGTCTCCAAGAGCATGGAACTAAATCCAGAGACCTTAGAGTTTTACAACTGTCACCCACTCATAAAAAACTGAACACACTTTGAAATGTCAGAGTAGTCTAAGCTTTATCTTAAGTCTCTGAGTACATGCATATTAAATACTTTAAAACATACATATATAGATGAGTACCTAAAGTTTATTAACCTAATTATAGGCTATTATAACCATATAATACAATGATAGTTTGGAGCTTTTATATTACTTTTCTTCAGTGATTAAAATACAGCTCATGCTAATAGACTTATTCTTTAAATGAGTGTAGAGAACCTCAACCACATTTTTTTTAATTGTCCCAGTATTTCCATGGGAAATTAACACCACAAAATTAATTTTAATCTGCTGATATATAGTATGCATACTCTCTGTGTGTGTTGCTACTGTTACAAAGATGAATAAGACAGCACACCTTTCCCTTAAGGAATCCACAAATGCCTTCATGTCTCTGAGAGACTTGTCTCATCATCCACATTTCATGGTCACATATCAAAATTAGATGAACATGGCTTAATTAATTTATTCAACAAATAAGCATCTGCTAATAGCCAGGCCCAGTTCTAGGCACTTGGGATACATTAGTGAACAAAACAGGAAAAAAAGTCCTTTCAACATTTTAGCGGTCCTGAGAAGTCCTCCAAGGCAAGAGGCAGTTTGTGCCAACATACAGTGTGTCATCAGACTCCTTTATTAAATTATACACTTTTCATTTCTAAATCATTTGGTGATAATTTGTATTATAGTTTTTTCATATGTATACATAACTACATACATGTACATACAATTTACCTGATTTGATAGAATTAAGTTAGTGGCCTTATTGAAATGTATAATCTGCCGGTTTTCAAATACTGTTAGATAGTATCTATTACAAGCAAAATATTATTTTGATGCTCTGAAATGATAAATAGGATTCCATTTAACTCCCTTTTTAAATATTTTTGTGAAACAACTTTCTTTTGGTGTTTTTAATAATTCTATCAGGCACAGCTTAGTGATTTCTTTCTGAATTATTCCTGGATCAGAATTAGACTTCTTGTCTTTTTCCATGCCACTATGGAAGGTTGCAGAAACTAGCATGTATCTCACATATAAATTAGTTATATAATGGTAGATAAAATTTATGGTAGATATATTTGTGTTATATTTTGGTATAAATAACAGTAGATATAATTTAAGATTTTTAAAGATGATATTAATTTTACTATAGAAATAATAGTGGAAAGGCCCAGCATTTTTGGTAAAGTTGATGACATTCTAAATGTTAGCAGTTTCAATTCAGTTATTTCCTTTCACAAGTACCTGCTGATGCAGCACGTCTCTTTATTTGTATATATAGTGTTTTACTCCTAAAATATGAAGGGTAAAATTATTAAAGTAGGGTTTTTTTAAGTCAATATCTTAGATTAATAAAGTTTTCTTTTGTGACTTTGATAGTGTCTTGTGTTTATATATTTATAAACTTCATTGCAATTTAGGAATGGGGGAAGCAGTGAGTCTTTCTCAAATATTAATACTGTTTTTGTAATTCTGTTTTTCTATACTGAATATTTTTCAGAGCTATCGAACCATAAAATAGCAGGCTTTTCTTCTTAGGAGAGCCATCATTTCTCAAACGTACATCTTACTACATTGGCATTATTTGCATATTTGTTTTTCTTTGAGAGAGAGAATAGTTGAAAGTGGCCATTGAAAGTAGCACCTCCAAGTGTAGATAATGCTAAAAACATTGCAGTGATCCACTATACATGTAATATTTTGATATAATTAACTTGAAACATTAATTTTATAGTGGAATTCCATGTTTGCATTCATTAGGAATTTACTCACAACTAAATCAAGACTTTTAATTTGAACTTTCTTCCTCAAGTAAAGGTAGCACTCCCCACCCCATACATAAAAGAGACAGAAAAGGTTAAATATTTATCCCAAAAGCACATGGCTAATTAGCCATTTGTTTATGATTATTTTGTGGTATCCTCATATAATGATGGGAAAATCTGTTTTGAGGATTTGAGAAAATTTATGGTAATGTTGAATGGGATTTTCTTAAATTTCTTCTCCTTTGCTAGTCTTGAACATGAAAATTGAAACTTATGAGCTATTTAATTACATTTTTATGTGTGGGTGATTTCATATAGTTCACTTGGGAACAATTTCAGCTTAAACAGCTTTTCAATAATCCATAGAAATCTCTGCGTTATCACTTTAGATTTTAAAATGTCACTGTTGCTACTAATATGAACATGTAGGGGCAGTATAGTACTGTTTTTGTAAATCTTGTCTGAATTTGTGAGTTTTAAAAATCTGTGTTACTGTTAGAAGTTTGTTCTTCTCTAAGATAACATAACTATATCTTGCTTTTTTAAAGGATGGTTGGTACTGCTTCATTAAGTTGGAACTATTCTTTCAGTTCATGTTCTTACATGTGTTATACAAAATCTCTTATATTATGAAAGCTCTTGGCCCTGATTTATATTTGAAGTCAAGGAATATGTTTAGTTAAAAGGAAAAATGCATTTTTATTGTCTGACAATAAAAATGAGAATAAATGGATTCATAAAAACCGGAAAATACCAAGATCAGTGCAGTTTTGCCCTTACTCTGTGTCATCCTTTCAAAATGAATGTTTATGATAATTTTTACAGTCTTAATTTTTCAATATGACAAGTGAACAAAACTGAGATTACCGAACAGTCTTATTTTTAAGATTCTTTAATTGGTACATCTTTTTTTCGTGTCAAAATGGTTAAGGTTATTACAAACTTTATTACAAAATATAGTAACTTTTCCCCCGACTTAATATTTAAAAGAAGACAACTGAGCAGTTATCTCTTCCATCTATGTATTCACTTTATTCAACACCTCCTATGAGCCACGGACTGCTTTAGGCATTTAGAGTACAACAGTGAACAAAACATCCCAGCCATCACCCTCGTGGAGTTCATATCAGAAAAGCAGAGTGCCTAAGAGCGCGGATTATAGGGTCAGTTGGACCTGGGTTTAAGTTCTTTGCTGTACCACTTACTAAGCCTTATCTGTGAAGAGCTAATAGTAGTACCTTTTACAGAGGGTTGTTGTAAGGATAAAATGAAATAACCCATGGAAAGCATGGTTATGTACAAGAGTTCTGTAACTATTATGAAGCCCTCATAAGACATTTTTAGATGTGTTGGTAAAATTTATAATTAATTCTCCTGATGTAATAGTACTTATGATAGAGATTTTGAGTATTTTTTTCATTTTTAGTTTCTTCAAGTGGTAAAAGAAGATGCACAGCATAAATTTTGAATAATTTTTCTTAAACAGTTTCCTGAGTGACTTTTAATCTTCTCTGAGTGGAAAGATACCATGCATAAAAAGTTAATGTGATTTGGTTCTACTTACATTATGTAGATTCATTCAGTGCGACTATCATATATGTAAAAATTAACCCCATTATGTCTCCCTACATGAAGAAAAGCATATGTGACATCTTGGTAGTTTGTTTGGAGATTCTCAGATGTTCAGAATAAATGTGTTGGTTTCAAATGTCATTAAATTGGAATTTTTAAAATCGCTATATAAGAATTAAAAATACATGTTATTGATTTACATATTATGTTAGCTGCTAAAATGTCTAGTATATAGTTTCCATTATAATTTTAAGTTCTGACACCATTTTCCTACTGAAGCCCCCAAAATTTGGTAATTAAGAAATGTAACATACTTTTTAACAAATTTGAAAACTGTCTTGTCAAAATGGTACCTGATATATCATTACTACATAAGAATTGAGACTTAAAACATTTAAAGAACTGATTCACAAATTTTAACAAAAGTACTTAGAAAATTAGACCTTTCTTTAGTACCCTGTGCTTCTCTTGGTTCTTGTTATTTCTGTGTTATACAGAAATTCCATATTTAACACACACACATGCATGCATCCGCACACACGGGCATCCCACACACATAGAAGTAAAATTCTAACCACCCCCTACCTCTATTTAATAGCTTATCAGCTATGTTCATGCTACAACTGCTTCATTGAAGGGAAGTCCTATTCTGCTGTTTTCATATTAGCTTTGTTATAATGCAGTATTTTTCAGCTGCTCATGCTCATTACCATACAGCTGGTATGTAGAGAAGAGAAGGAAACAGGCAGAAGTTGTACTGTCTACAAGAATAAGAAGCTCTCTTGCAGATGGGGTGCTGGCAGATGGGGCATGTGTTTGAACAGGTTTTACTAATAACAGAGTGCGTTAAAAATCATTCTGAGAAAGTCCTAAGGTCAGTGCCATGGATTCAGAGCTTGAGAGGTTGTTCAGCTTTTTCGTAGACCTTTTTAGAATATTAATCGACTCTTACAAAAAAAAAGTAATAAATGGCAAACCATACCTCCTCCAAAAAAAACTTACCAGTTTTTTTCTTCTTTATATTAGTATGTTTTTTCTTTAGTATAATTTTAAAAGCATTAATACTGTCACCTAGTATCATCAACTTGTGTTGTCGTAGTCTTAAATATATTTACTTAAAATGTCTACATCTATATACAAAAATGTAGATGCTTTGTGAAAATGGTAATAACATTCTTCAGTTTCTGTATATTAGAATATTTATTAGAAAGTGAAAACTAAAGATTTAGATATCAGTGTGTATAGTGTTGACTACGTTGAAGATTAAGTCGAGGAATGTTTTATCTGCATACAAAGTTAGAAGTGAATGGTATGCCCAGAAATGTATCTATTGTTAAAAATATTTCTTGCATATTTTGCATATTCACAAAACCAAAGTGAATGAAGTATAATTAAAATAACCATCATTTTTATTAGAGTATTTTAGTGGGATCTTAGTCTTTTTGGCCCTTTTTTATTAACTAGTATTTCTTGATATATCCTCTCTCAATGGGAGATGCTGATGAAAAGCAACTGAAGCAAAATAAAGCTAGGCAATTTTGTGTAACATATGTAGTATTCAATTTAATTTTAAAGGAAATAGAACTTGTTCTTTTCATAGAGATTAAAATATGTGAATATATATAATATATATGAAATGTATACAAGTATAGCTAGTTTTTTTTTATACTTTAAGTTCTAGGGTACATGTGCACAACGTGCAGGTTTGTTACATATGTATACATGTGCCATGTTGGTTTGCTGTACCCATTAACTTGTCATTTACATTAGATATTTCTCCTAATGCTATCCTTGCCCCATCCCTCAACCCCACGACAGGCCCCAGTGTGTGATGTTCCCAGCCCTGTGTCCAAATGTTCTCATTGTTCAATTCCCACCTATGAGTGAGAACATGCGGTGTTTGGTTTTCTGTCCTTGTGATAGTTTGCTCAGAGTGATGGTTTCCATCTTCATCCATGTCCCTACAAAGGACATGAACTCATCCTTTTTTATGGCTGCATAGTATTCCATGATGTATATTTGCCACATTTTCTTAATCCAGTCTATCATTGATGGACATTTGGGTTGGTTGCAAGTCTTTGCTATTGTGAATAGTGCCACAATAAACATACGTGTGCATGTGTCTTTATTGTAGCATGATTTATAATCCTTTGGGTATATACCCAGTAATGGGATTGCTGGGTCAAATAGTATCTAGATCCTTGAAGAATCGCCACACTGTCTTCCACAATGGTTGAACTAGTTTATAGTCCCACCAACAGTGTAAAAGAGTTCCTATTTCTTCTCCACATCGTCTCCAGCACCTGTTGTTTCCTGACTTTTTAATGATCGCCATTCTAACTGGTGTGAGATGGTATCTCATTGTGGTTTTGATTTACATTTAGTTTTTAAAGCTAGTATAAGTTACAACACTTTTGGCAACTCAGAAACTCATGCTTCAGATTTCTTGTCAGTAAAATGGAGGTACAAAATACTGTCTGTGAAGTTAATAACTATGAATAAATAAAATGATTTAAATGAGACCTGTGAGAAGTGGTGTACTTTAACAAGCATTGCTAAAACTGTGTATTCCTTTTAATAGTGAAAGTTTAGATTCTGTTGGGCATTTTAAAGGTACAGAAGTCCTAAACTGTGAAGTTGCATTTTTATTGCTCATCAAACTTATTTTCTTCCAATTTAATTTGTATTTGGACTGTATGACTGATAAATATGTAGAAATGCTTTTATGACTTTTCCCTGAGGGGGAAATATATTAAGTATTATAAACAATAGACAGTATAATTATAAAATGATAAACCTGTAAAATGTATTTTTCACCTACATCATCATTTCTTATTTAGAAAATTATGAGTTTTTAAAATTGTGTTCAAAATTAATGGTTTTCTGTTGTTATTTCTGTAGCTCTACCATTGTTGATTAGGGTATGTCTTGTGTGGCTAATTATCTCATATAAATATTTTTTATTGGTACCCTACTATATGCAGGAACTATGTGAGGAGCTGAGATACAACAAGAATCAAAACAGAATAAAAATACTGCCCTCATGGAACTTACAGTCTATTGGAGAAGACAGACAAATATTTAATGTGCTCACACTGTAACAAGGTGTTGGCTTCAAGCACTGGGAAATCAGAGATAGCCTGTATACAGATAATTCACATATTTTCATCTCCAACCCAGACCTTTCTTCTGGGCCAGAACCAGTTGGAGCATGAGATTTGGATACCCAGTTATCTCCAAGATATCTCAAGATCCTCCTCACCCCTGGCCCCCAGAAAACAAAAAACAACCAACTAACCCAGTCCTTGTTATCCAATTGCACAAGTGAGAAAACAGGTGTTATCTTTGATACCTTCCTCTTTTTTACTTGCCATGCATGACCCATCTGTTACTATCCTATCAGTTTGATGTCCTAAATGTCTCTTAACTGCCCACTCCTATGCATCTCTGTTTCTACCTAGCTAATCGAAGCCATCATTATCTCTTGCCTGGTCTAGTGGAATAACTTCCTCACACAGTCTCTCCACATCTACTCTCAATCACTGCCATTCTATTTTCAGCATTACACTTTGAATGATTTTTTTCAAGAAATAACATCTGATTATATCTTTTTCTTAACTACTATGCAGCATTAGCTTTTCATTACTCTTATGGTAAAACCCAAAATCCTTTGAGGTCTTGGGTAATGTATCCCTTGTCTACTTCTTCAGCCTCATCTTACACCTGCCATCCTACCTCTGTTCAGTGTCCTCTAGCTATAGGTGGTTATCCCTCCCTGCTCCGAACCTAGCTCAGTCATTCATTCAGCGAGAAGATGCCTTCTGTGAACCCACAGACTAGGTGGAAACCTCACCATTCTTAACACTCTTCGAACACTGCAGCATTTACCACAGTTGCAGTTTTGCTTTGTTTTGTCTCATTATCTTGCCCACTATGCTGTGAACTCCAGCCATGAAACAGACACAAGACTTAGTTTAGCTTATGTTAGGCAACTAAGTAACTATTATATTGAATGAATGGGAGTATCTGTGGCAGACTGAAATAACCATGTAAATCTGCATGTGTTGTAATTATGTATATTAGGTAGAATATAATTATGGAGATACTTGAGACAAAGTGTAGGGTAGAATCACAGAGATACATATGTTTCAATACAGATGTTCACTGTTAGGAATGATAACCATACATGGATCAAATGGACAATTAATGAAGATGGATTGGCTCTTTAAAAAAGGCCTTATGTAATGAAGTTAAGAAACAGGGCCCAAATGATAGCCACATATTGAAAAGCATGTGCTCTATGTATTCAGATGGAAAATCCTGTGTATTTGTTACTACTTGGTTAGTAAGTCAAGTATTTTTAGGCTGTGTACTAAAAAAATTTTCAATGAAGAAGTCATAGTCCCTTATTAAGTGTATTTGGGTTTGAGTAATCAACAAAGAACATTTGAAGCAGTTTCTTTCATAAATATTATGATTCATAACTTTTGCCAGTTTTCCATAGGGTTCAAATCATTTTGGTAAGGAGGAAAAAACCTAGTAGCTTCGTTGAAAGGACACTGCAATGGAGATCCTTTGATGTTTGTGTTTTCAGCTCTCTTTTATTTCATATTTTAGGGAAATAAAGCAGGACATGAAGGAAGGAGAGTAAGACATAGAAGTCCTGAGAGGGTTTGGGAAAAGGAAGCAAAACCCATTTGTTGTTGTGTTTCTTCCAGTATGCCCACTGATGACTGCCTGGCCTCAATATAATGTCACAGATTATAAGAGCAGTTCTTAACCAAGCGGAGCCACTGGCAGTAGTGTATTAACTTGTTGTCAAGCTGCTCCTGGTGAATTCCCAGAAATAAAGTGTATCACAGTACACAATTAGCTGCATAGTCCGTCTCTTCTTTCTGCAAGTCTGCAGTGGCTCTAGTGTGGATTTCATATTCACATCACACATTTGCATACTGAAATAACTAAGAAAACATCTTAGAGATATTTAAACTGCCAATATTTCTTGCTTTGTATATAGAGAACCCTATTTTTATTTTTTTGTAAACTGAAGACCAGGACTTCCTTAGGTTCAAATCCCATCTACCTTAAGTGACCTTGGGGTCGCTTAAAACTCTCTGTGCCTCTTTCCTCATCTGTAAAATAGAGATAATAATAGTACTTTCTGCAGAAAGTTGTTAAACCGTTTCATTGAATTAATATAAGAAAAACACCTAGGAAGAGTGCCTGACATATAGTGAGTTTCCTTCCCTGTATACATTGTATTCTTAAGAAAACATCTTTTTGAAAAGGAGTTGCTTATTCAAACTGGAATAAAGTTTGCAGCATCTTTGATAGTGGGCACTGAAAGAGCATTCAGGTCAGTTTAAAATCTAGTGTTTATTTTTCTTGTATACATTTGGTTTAAAATATTGCCATGTGCATTTCTTGAAAATATTATCTCTTCCTCTTTCTAGTTGTATATATTGTCATACAAATTAAGCAGTTTCACTTATTAGTCAAATGGATTTGTCATTTTTTATTGACTTGCCTGTCCTTCCCTCCTGAGTTGGGAGTGCTTCCAGGATAGATATTACATCTTGCTCAATTTTGCATCTTTTTTGCTTAGTGCTTGGCTTTTAGTAACCCTGGACAAATATTTCTAAAATGTGGTAGATCTAGATCTAAAAATATAACATTTGAATCACTGCTTAATTTTTTCTCCCTCTTGTTTTATTGTTTAGAAAATGGAGAATCATTATATGACTCAGGATTCATTTGGATGAGACTGATAATATTATAATGGAATTTGGAGTTAGAGGCTCACATGAATTGCTCTCAGTCACTAGCTTTTTCTGTGCTACCTATAAATGATAAACAAATATTGTGAATCTCACAAAGTTAAAGTCTTTGAAATAAATGGATTGGTAGGGGGTAAATTACATCTTAGTCTAACAAAATCTGTTTATTGCAATGGTTTAATAAAAGTCAGGTGACTAAAAATATCTTGGAAAATACCACTTAATTTTAATCTTTGCTGTTTATGTTGTGATCATGATGATTAACATATCTTCATTTATCTTCTCTTGAAAACTATTCCAAGTTCTTGTTGTTTTTTTTTTTTTTTTTTTTTGAGAGAGAGAGTTTCACTCTGTTGCCCAGGCTGCAGTACAGTGGTGCAATCTTGGCTCACTGCATCCTCTGCCTCCCGGGTTTGAGCAATTCTCTGCCTCAGCCTCCCAAGTAGCTGAGATTACAGGTGCCCACCACCATGCCTGGCTAATTTGTTTTATATTTTCAGTGGAGACGGGGTTTCACCATCTTGGCCAGGTGATGGCCTGGTGAACTTGATCTTGAACTCGTGACCTTATGATCCACCTGCCTCAGCCTCCCAAAGTGCTGGGATTACAGGCATGAGCCACTGCGCCCGGCCCTAAGTTCTTTTTTAATATGCTAAGTTGTCTGTTGTTGGAATGACTTTAAAGGAAAGGTTTAAAATGAAGAAAGGAATATGTGTGTGTCTTCTTTATCATCTCATGAACTAAAAAATACTGGAATTTTAAGATTACACTAAAGTTCAGCATCCTTTTGCTAGCTTTGAATTGATATTCTTTTGGGTAGATTTAGACTATTCCTCATAGGATTTTTTCATATTGTATAATTATGAACATACATTGACTCATAAACTTAGATTTTAAGAAATCTAAGATTTAGCTTTAAAAAGTGGTCTCAATTTACCATGTAGCAGTTCGTAACAGACCACAGCTATATGCACTTGTTCATATCAGGAGCAGTTCTTAATTTTAGTTATAATTCATATTTGTTTAATAGTCATCATTCCATCATTACATACCATGCCTTCATGCAACTGGTGGGAAACTTATGATATTCATTCCACATAAAGGAGTTTTTAGAATCATGTATTAAATGTGATAAGCTTTCTTTTTTCTTTTCTTTTTTCTGTTCTGTTCTGTTCTTTTTTTTTTTTTTTTTTTTGAGATGGAGTCTAGCTCTGTCTCCCAGGCTGGAGTGCAGTGTTGCAATCTCGGCTCACTGCACCCTCCACCTCCCGAGTTCAAGCAATTCTCCTGCCTTAGCCTCCCAAGTAGCTGGGATTACAGGTGCACACCACCATACCCGGCTAATTTTTGTATTTTTAGTAGAGTCGGGGTTTCACTCTTGGCCAGGCTGGTCTCCACCTCAAGTGATCCACCAGCCTTGGTCTCCCAAAATGCTGGGATTACAGGTGTGAGCCACCATGCCTGTCAAAAGTTAGTTTTCAAACATTTGGAGGTCTCAAGTGTTTATAGGTAAATATTTTTTAAATCATGTGCTAAAATAAATTTTAAGAAAGTGAATCTGTAAATAAAATATTTCTATGAGAATGTTGAGAAGATAGCAAAGTGCTTCTAACTATCAGTCTTACAGTTCACTGCACATAAAAGACAAATATACATTCAGATACCTTTTCAAGTTAAGTTGTCTTGAAAATATTTATTGACCTTCAGAGTCTTTTGGAATCTCCTAAACAGGTAGGGAATCATGTAAGTATTTGCTAGTCATAGAATTCTTGATTTTTTTTTAAAGCAAATAATGTAATTTGTTAAAGTATATATATGTATATAGGAAGTACTTTAAAATTTAAATTAATGTTTTAAAAATGAATAGAATCCTCTTTTTAAAATGTAGTGGGGGCCTGATTACTATGTTCTTCCCTACTCACTTGACAGCTATGTCAAACACTTGAATACTTAAAGAACAAGCAAGCTACATAAAAACAAAGAATTGATTAAAGATCACCATGAGGCACACTTTCTAGAGCAAGAATCCAGTGTTATTTTTGTTTCTCACTGGCCTAGCACCAAAACAAAATAGGTACTCAATAAATATTTTTGAATTAGTGAAATCAGTTTGAATTCACAGACTTTGATTCATAACTAGAGTTTTAAAAGATTGGTTCAAGTTATGCCTTGTCATTTTGAATTCTTCTGGAAAATTAGTAAGATGCTTGATGAGAAGAGATGCCTATATTTTAAAAAGTGCAGTAAGTATGAATCTGGACTTTCTGTATCTGCCAGCCAAATGTTGGCTGGCATTTTACTATATTTTATATATATATATATATTTAATATATTTTAATATATTTTTCTAGGCTTTTCTCTATGCATACACAGTGCGCACACACATAAAATATATGCTTGTTTTTTCAAAAGGACCGTACCTTATATTGTGTTATCGAATCTCACATACCTTCTAGTTTTACAGTCACCCTTCCATAGTCACCTAGCTCTGTACCTGATGAACGGTTTCTGAGACTTCAAAATGCTCTATAGTGAAGTCTGTTCTTTAGAAAAGAGGCTTTGAGTCTGGGGGCCAGACAGTAGAGGTGTGGGGAGAAAGGGCTGGGGTAGAACAAGATGAAAATTTTCTTAGTGAGCTATACCTTTTTGAATAGGACAGGTTCTTTCAGTCACATGTTGGCAAGAATCGGTGAATTGTGTACTCACCTGTTGCCCCGAGTAACTTTTCGGATTGTTTTTTCATTAACTTTTTCTGGGAATATACAATTTCAATGAATGTTTTATACACCATTTCCCTGCGCTGTGTATTCAGGAGTACAACTTGCTTGTATGTATGATTTCTAGTGTGAATGCCTGTTCAAACAGAAAGTCCCCTTGTTTGTCAGTGTTTGTAACTAAAATAAAAAGTCAACAGTCTTCACACCCACACAGTAAAGTTCTCCTAGTACAGAAAGACACATAATGCCCTAAGATGGAATGATGAGTCATGACAGGAGGTATTTTGAAGAAATTTAACAATATGTTAAATAACATTTTAACTCTAGTATTAAATGTTTCAGTTAGGAGAAATAATTGTTATCACATGGGTTATCCCCTAATGAACCTTGTAAGACCAGTGATTAGAAGTCTAATAGATGCTGTTAATCCTGCAAGTTAATAATAGTCGTATTTCCATTTACATCTCAGGTCCACAGGTGGTAATTTCCTTCTTCCCTCTCAACACTTATCAAACTTCTGTTTTTTAAACACAGAAGCAAGACCATGTCATTTATGAACTCCCAGACTATTAAAATAACTTCTCCATTTTCTGACTCACTCCACCCAATTTGGCAATTGATATATAGTCCAGTATTGCTTTCTATTTGTTTCTTGTCTTTGTGGGTTTTTTTTGTTTTTTGAGACTGAGTTTTGCTCTTTTTGCCCAGGCTGGAGTGCAACGGCACGATCTCAGCTCACTGCAACCTCTGCCTTCCGGGTTCAAGTGATTCTCTTGCCTCACCTGTCTTCGTGGTTTTTGTTGTTGTTTTGTTTTGTTTTGTTTTGTTTTTGGTAGTTTTTGTTTGTTTGTTTTTGAGACAGAGTCTTGCCTTATCACCCAGGCTGGAGTAGAGTGCTGTGATCATAGCTAACTGCAACCTCAAACGATCCTCCTGCCCCAGCCTCTCAAGTAGCTAGGGCTACAGGTGCACACTACCATGCCCAGGTAATTTTTTTTCATTATTTATAGAAATGGGGTCTTGCTATATTGCCCAGGCTGGTCTTGAACTCGTAGCCTCAAATGATCCTCCTGCCTCGGCCTCCCAAAGCTCTGGGATTATGGGTGTGAGCCACCACACCCAGCCTCATTTCTTATCTTGTCACCTGGATTTTAAGTATCTTGTGGGAGGAAGGTAATTGCAATGTTTTTGTTTGCCCTTGGTAGCATTTCGCAGATATTGGGACATAGGAGGTGACTTATTTCTCAATTGATTGTTTTTTTAACCTAAAATTTTCTCAGTTTCTGTCACCTTTCCCCCATCACCAGGCCTTTGCCTCAGATTTCCCAGATGTAGTAGAAGCATAGTTAATATGGACCTAAAATAACGATTCAATAAACTGAATAATCAAGATTTACTTGTAATTTACATACATACTTTTTGCAAAATATAACACTTTTTTCTTCTTTAACAATGTCTCGTGTTTTAGCTTAACTTGAGCTACCACATATCTAATGGAAATCAGTAAGAATTATTGATCTTGGGACCAGAGACCAAGGTTCTAAATATAGCTAGCTATTTAAGCATGGGCAAGACACTTAATTCTGTACCTACTTTTCCCACCTGTTAAATACAGCTACCATTTCTAGGGTATCTGTTATGTGCTAGGCATTTTCTGTTTCCTCACAGTGACTCTGTAGTTTAGGTGGTAAGGTAGGTGTATATCATTACTGTTTTATAAAAAGAGAAAACAAACTCGTAAAGGTCAAGTAACCACCTAACATTACACTCTGGTAATGGCAAAACTTGCGCTTAAATCCAGGTTTTTCTGGTTCCATTGCTTGTGTTCATTCCACAAACAAAGAGGAATTAGATGACATCCAAAATCACTCTATGGCTTCCTGCTGTTAATATTTTTTGCTGATTTAGTAGCTATACCTTTTTTTTTTTTTTAGTCTTTAGCTCTCTTCTCAAAACTTTTTTATCATGACTAATCACTAATTTAGGAAATTAATCCCAGAATTTTAAACAGTTCTTGAAATGAATACAAGATTAATATATCACACCTATGGGAAATTCTTCTCAAGTCAGGCAAATATATTTGAAAATCACAAACAGCAGCAATAAATATGGATTTGTGTAAAGAAAGCAGAAGAGTGAATAGGGTTTAGGCCTTATATTGAGGGAAATTTGATTTCATTCTTTCTCCATGTTAAATTCTTTCCTGGGTCATATTTGTGGTTTCATTTTTCTTGAAGTCAAACTTACATTTTATACTTTTTTTCCATGATATCTGTCTTACTTTACTGAAGGTATTACTATAAGAAATTCACAATAAAATTTTGAGAGGAAACTTATGAATTCCAAATGCTTATTGGTAGTTTATTTTGGATTTTAAGCATGAAAGATTCATTGCTTTCTGGATAAATCAGTAAACTCCAGGGTGACTTGCTAACTTTGTTGTCAAATTATTGCACTGATGCCGGCTGTCTGTGAAAAAGTAGAGGATGTTGACTTAGTATTAGTCTGACAGCTCTGTAACAATATAAATTTTAGAGGAGCGAATAAAACCCCCATATTATTTTATTCTGTGGCTGGCATAAATAGAACTCTTAACTTGCACTATTGGGTATGAATTATGTATGTGTGTATATTTATATATTTGTAGATAAATACATTTGTGCATGTGTCCATCAGATGACTAATTTGGCCCAATCTGAAGGAATGAAAAAACTTACACTGTTGGAACTAATACTGCAGTTGATTAGTGTGTCACACTAATCAGAGGCTGTGTCTTTGTAAGGAGAGTTTTAAATAGCTTAAACTTCAAGAATTAAAACTTCTGGCCAGGCACGGTGGCTTACCCCTGTAATCCCAGCACCTTGGGAGGCTGAGGCGGGCGGATTACTTGAGGCCAGGAGTTCGAGACTAGCCTGGCCAACATGGTGAAACCCCATCTCTACTAAAAATAGAAAAATTAGTGGGGTGTGGTGGCACACGACTGTAATCCCAGCTACTTGGGAGGCTGAGTCATGAGAACCTCTTGAACCCAGGAAGTGGAGGTTGCAATGAGCCGAGATTGCGCCACTGCACTCTAGCATGGGCAACAGAGTATGACTATGTCTTTAAAAAAAAAAAAGAAAAAACTACTACTTCTGTAATTATATTAAAATTTATTTAAAAGCAGTCAGCTATAACATTTTGATTTGCAGCTTGATTTACAAAGGTTTGGATTATATATATTATAAACATCCCCTTCCCCCCAAAAAATAAGTTTAAGTAAAGTAAGATTATCTATTACAGTGTTTAGTGTTTGGGATTTTTTTCTAAGGCACTAGTGTCACAGTATTTGTTTACTTAGATGGTAGTTTTGAACTAAAGCTGGCTCATCTTGTTTTATTTTACATGTTCTCAAAAATTTTTTAGAACTAATTTCAGTATGAGTTCTAACAGTCAGATGTTTGTGTATATTACGTTACACTATGCTCTTGTGTTAATTGACTGTATTTCCAATGGAGAAAGAACAAAGTTTCAATTGATGTATATAATATTCTGTGCCCAACACAAAGTAGGTGCTAAACAAATGCTTACTGAATGAATAAATATGGAAAATTGCTTATTGGCCAATACTGCCACCTATTTGTGTTAGTGAAAATGTAAATGCTGGGCATATATACTATTCCAGTTGATATCTGTAATAGAACAGGTTTATTAGTTTGCCAGTTTTAATAAGCAAACCTTTTAATAAGCACTCACATCCCAGAAAGTTAATGACAGTGAGTTAGTGAAATTTCAAAAAGTATTTCAGTCTCAACATGCTTGGCATTCCTTTCATTGATGTTGAAATTTTGAACTGTCTGTAATTTTGAACTGTCTGTAATCTAAATTCTGTGCTCAGGGCAAGACAGCTAACTGTGGTGGTTTCCTAGTCCTTTCTAGAGTACAAAGTGTTGTCATGATAATAATAAAATCACTGACATAGGAATATAAACACATTCTCCTACTATTATAAAATGGAAGTGTATTTTTAAATGTTAGCAAGGTAAAGAAAAGAACTAATAGTATTCATAGTATTTTCCACTAATTATAAACTTTTTAGTTGAGTTAAACTTTTTAGTACTGATTGTAATATATGTTTAAGCTTTAGAAAAATAATGCTGTGGTTTCTGATATTTGCTTGTATGGCCAATTCAAAAATATTAATTATTTGTTTTGTATCATTTTCTGGATGCCCTAGAAATAAATTTGAGTAAGATGTGAATCTTTAGGGAGGAGATAGGGGAGAAAGATGTATAAAAATAATGACAATGAACTATGATAACTGCAGTAATAGAACTATATATAAGACGGAAATAATGAACTCTTGAGAGTCAAGGTGAGGTAAAGTACTCTATTAACTACATCCTTTATGTTGACATTATATGTAAAGATAAGTATTTCTCTGAAGATACATGATTCGCTTAAGACCATTTGTGTATATTTTTCTCACTGTATATACACTATTTTTTCTTTCTGCTCACAACCACAACTTGCCCTTCTAAAAACTTAAGTCGTCCCAATTATTTGTTCAGAGCTCTGGTAGGAGCTCACGGGTTAATGATTCTATGGCATCATTCCCCAGAGGCAAACATATCATCATATATTTGTGTTGTTTTTTTTTCCTCGTTACTTCTAACTTCTATGCTAGCACACTAGTTCCACTTCTACACCTAGCACAGTGGAGTTGTGATGAGATGAGCATTGGGTCTGAGTTAGCAGATGGATTTTATTCCAGGACCTTATTGTTGGTCATTCCCTTTGCTAATGGAATTTCAATAATGCTTCTAGGTTGTCAGTCAACACAAGAATTAATTTTTTATAGAATGGGAGAAATGAGTGCCTAGCTGAAATTCCATGAAAATTATTGTAATGAAAATATATTTAATATAGTGAAATAGTAATTCTAAAAATATAGATGACAAACATTTTCTTAGCTGTTTGGTTGACTAACTTAGCTATTTGGTTTCTTAGCTATTTGGTTGACCTTCTTTCCTGTGAACTTACTACTTAATATTTTAGTGTAAGGCATAAAATACTTTAAAAAAACTTATTTAACATAGATAATAGACTGATCTAAAGTTTAAAATGTTTCTTGTCACAGAGATAAGATAGATAAATACAGACACAAACCCATAAAAATTTTTAAATATTATATTACCAAAAACTTAAATCTGAATAAAGTTTCAAACTATATTTTAGCCGAGTGGTATAAATAGAAATGCAAGTGATTTTATTTGCTTTGTTCATATTAAGATTATGATGACAGTAATATAATAGATCACAGTTTTCATTGATAGTACGTCAGAGAATGTTGAAAATCATTTTTATTCTGTTAATTTGAAATTCAGTTAGAAGCTTAGTTGACTAGTTTTGCTTGACAGATTCTTCACAGTTCAAATTAACATCATAAGATATTAGGGAGAATTGTTTAAATACTTGGGAAGACAAGGTCTTCATTAGTACTTATAAACATTCGCATTTCTCACTTAAAGGATAAACAATAAAAATCATTCCCAAATGGGAACCATGGTAGATGGAGGATATGTGGTAGTAGAAAGACTTCTCAGTGTAGAATTTTTTGTATATCATTTTGATGTTTGAAGCATACAAACCTGGTAATAAAACATGGATCTACAGGACAGTACCCACATACAAACAATATTTGTAGGGAACAGGTTTTCCTGTAACTCACAGCCCTAAGTAGGAGCCATATAACCATGGGAGCAGTCCTTTGAATATACAAAGTTAAGAGATATTTTCTTTAGGTTTTGAGACAGTATCCCCTACTTCATTAAAGTTGGTCTCTTCTTAACTGAGTAGATTTAATTTGAAAAGGTTAGTTCAACTAGAAATAGGACATGATTTCAGTTGAAGCCAAAGTATATACTATTATAGCACTAGTATTACACGTGTCTTATGGAAAACTTGTTACCACTGACAAATTCTGGATGAAATTTCAGGTGTTCTCATAGCCCAGAACATTGAGGAAAATCACCTTTTTTCCCCCTTTCCTAAATCTTGAGTCCTCAGAACTTCTGACAAAAGAGTTTATGGGTCCATTCCTAACAATTAGATTTTTTTGTTTTTTTGCTTCCCTTCGAAGTGAGATTATTTAGATAACTAACTTCTGCTGAGTACATATACATATTGTTCCTGAGGGTAAGAATTAATTTAAGAGCCAGGTAGGAGATTTTTTTTAAAGATAAGTAGACAGTAGAATATAATTTCTAGAAGACTCAAGATGTACATCTTCATAAAATTTTACGTTATCTTAATTTCATTTATGTTTTAAAGTAAAAGATGTTGCATTGACATAATGTCTTAGTTATAAAGGTAAACATTTTTATTTTTAAAATTATGATACTACTTTATGCAGTATTTAGAACCATTTTACTAAAGAAAGCCATTTACCACCATAGCAGAGAGTATTAAAATGTTAGTAAGTCCAAATGGTTGTTTTGTTTTGTTTTTCTGGAGAAACTTACTTCGAATAGTGGTAACTATAGGCACACAATTTACTTGTAATAAAGAACACTAATGGGGAGGGTAGGAGTAAATTAACTAGAACCTTAATAATGGGCTTTTCTAGCTCAAGGAATCTTATAATTGTCCCTGAAGGTAGTTGTGAAGGAAGTTGCAAGATGAAATATCTAGATTTGTGTAGTAGTCATTCCAGGAAAAATGTTGCCTTCTGGCAAACTTTGGCATCTTTATTATGTAAAATGCCTTTTTAATGATAAGCAATATAGATTGTCAAAATAATTTTGGAGATAGAAGTCTAGTGCCTCCTGTTTACTCCAGATTAAATTAGCAAATAAAAGTAAGCCTCTCCAGCCAGCACAGTGTTTGCTCTTTTGGGGATAAAATAGCCTTTTGGCCAAACTTTACACACTTAGGTAGTACTAGTTTGTTAATCTTACAAAGATATTCTTATGATTAGTAAGAATTGATGAAGTGTATGGCAATTTCCCTGAAAATTACTATGTTTTAAAGGATTGAAATGGAAAAGCATAGGCAATGTTTTTATTAAATCAATACCAAAATACGCAGTTTGAAATATAACTTAGATTACATAATTTCTGCAAATGCTGTCGGCTCCAAACCAGTTTACTTTATTGTCAGTCAACCCCAGAGTATATTAATTTCTCTTTTCGGGATTGCCTGTTTTGTACCATCCAAGCTACTTGAAAAATCTGATTAGTCTGTGCCAGGACTACGGTAGGATGACAGTGAAAATAGCATGCTTTGCCTCAGTTCAGGGGGACCGTATGAAAATATATCCTATTTTCAAAATGTTTCTGAAAAGACTTATTTGTGGAAATGTTCCTTGCTATTTAAAACTCTTCAAAAATGCAGGTTTTACAAAATACAAAAATAACCTCTTGAAAGTTTGAAAGGGGAGAGGGGGCTGTCGTGTGGGGGCGGTCTCTGCTGCCCACATCCTCCCTCTGTTCAGTGCGTTGTGTTCTTACGGGTTCCCTGGAGCGGATCACCATATAATTGATGTGCAGTCTGCATTGCTGAATCCTGGACTGCACCATTCTGTGTTCAAGGGAAGATGTAATCTGATCCCTCTGCTGCTGAGGGAGGAATCTGTTCAGTCAAGGCTTTGACAGGGCATAGTCTCCTCCAATAATCTTCTCCGTTCTCTCTCATTATTCCCTCGAGTTCTTCTCAGTCAAGCTGCATGTATGTATGTGTGTCCCGAGAAGCGGTTTGATACTGAGCTGCATTTGCCTTTACTGTGGAGTTTTGTTGCCGGTTCTGCTCCCTAATCTTCCTTTTCTGACGTGCCTGAGCATGTCCACATTAGAATCTGTGACATACCTACCTGAAAAAGGTTTATATTGTCAGAGACTGCCAAGCAGCCGGACACACGGGGGCACAGAATCACTGAAGGGGAAAAATACAGAAAATATGGGTTTCTACGGCACATTAAAAATGATTTTTTACAAAGTAAGTAAGCTGTTTTCTTCCTATGCTATGTGATTGTGTGTGTATGCCTGCCTGAGAAGGAAAATCTGTATCATCAGAGATGGCTGCAGTATCCTCTAATTTTGGTGGGTGGCTGGATGTCTGGTATTCTGTTTTATATCATGAATGTAAGCAAATAACGGAAAGACTGTGAGCTGGAAAAAGCTTTAAATTTAAGATAAAATGTATATTTTAATCTGAGAATTTTTCACTAAAAATACATTGAGACTTTAGAAATGTGGCTCTGTTAAATGCTGACCTGGAAATACTCTATCCTTAGTTGGCTTTTAGTGAACCTTTTGCCTTCAATTTTTCTATACCTTGTATACAGTTTTTCTTTTTTCATTAGTTGACTCTTTAAAAGTATAGAATCATGAGACTATTTGGGATTTATATTTAAAGAGATCATGTTTACTTTCTGTACCCCTCAAAAATTGCAGAATTAATTTTTGGTTCTGAAGTCAGTATTTTCAGTAAACAGTACAGTATTTAAAAGACTTCTATAGTCATACAGAAGGTGCTTTCCTTTATAAAATATTTTTAAAATAAAATCCTTTCTCAGTGGTTTCCTTGATACACATTTTGGGGCATGTTTATTCATTGAAGGATTTCTAAGATGGAAATAAAGTTTGCTTTTAGTGGCAAATGGTATTTGCACCAATGTTTTTTACAAGGTATCCTGGGAAGTTCTGAAAGCCAGTATTACAAACTTAATTAGAATAAATATCAAAGTTTCTCCTAATTATGAAGATAAGAATTTGTGGAAGTTATCAAAAAACTAGATTTTAACATAGTCTGTACTGACTGACCTTCCTGATGGATTCATTTGCATGTATGTTTATATATATATGTGTGTATCTATAAATTATATACACGGAAACACGTGGCTACCTATATACTTCAGCTTTTATATTTATATTTGCTTTTTAATAAAATTATTTGGAGAAAGAAAATAATGGTTTCTGAGAGGAATCACTTTAAAACAATGTAATGAGTATATAAACTTCTAAAGGGAAGAAACCAGCCAGATCAATTCCATTTCTTTCCAGTAGGTATGGCATGAACTAAGGTATAAATTGTAGGTGAGCTTGTTGTACCCTCACCTCTAGCCCCTAATGTCGTAAGATCATCCTAGTATTTTAGAAAACTCTTCGTGATGACAAAAACATGGTCTTTATTATTCAGTGTGGCTCTAAAACATTTTAAGTCTCTTTAGTATTTATATTGTATCATGCTATGTTATGATGTTCCCATGTAAGGCAAGAGGTAGGAAAATAAGGCTGCTGCAAAGCAAGGATTTTTACCTACTTATAAACATGAGGATAGCTCTCTATCACTTTGGAGTGTTTTTCCTCCTATAACTTGCAGTAATACAGTGATTAATTAGTGGACACAAATCTTAAAAAGGGGTTGTTGAAATGGAAAAAGTCAAATCTTACCAGATTTTATTTTCTAGTTTTAAAATATACATATAGTCAAATGAGAATATTTCAATATTGATGTTGACAAGAAACAATTCTGAATATATTTATAGTATAACATGGCATAATGAAACACCTTAAAATGTAGATTTTGGATACACCTTATAGAAGAGGCATAACTGATTCTTTTAAAACCTTTCTGTTGTTGCTTTTCAAATTAGAATATTTTGTCCTGAGTATCTGTCAATAGAGCTATATTCTGTATATATATCAATTGACAACTTTCCCCTCAGCGTTATTATACTATCTCCAGATTTCTCTTATTATTGATTTACTTTTTAAAACTGTCCTTATTGCCCATATTAATTGCTTTATGCCTTATCACTATTCAAGATTATTTATACTGCTCTTTACCCTCTTATAATGGTATGAGTGTTTAAAATTGAGTTTGTTACTTTCATAATTATTTCTGATTTTACAATTTTGAATTTTATCTTTATTAAAAACATGTTTTTAAAGAAAAATGATTCACGAGGAAGGCACGTTAAATATGATTATTTTCTGTGTGGATTAACTTGAGATTTTTCCCTATGTTGGTTATTAAATTGGAAAACATGAAAGATATATTATCTCAAGGAATATATATATATAATGAATATCAGTTTTCAAATCATCACACACTGTTCTTCTGGATAAAATATTAGGGGGGAAAATTCACCTTTCCATTCCATTCAGAGTAAAACAAAGTAGAACAAATAGAAGAAACTATGAAACATTTATTTTATATATTTAATTAACATTGTAGGCATATGAAAATTTAAGAATTTAAAATATTAACCATGCTGACTCAAGATTTGATAGTTAGACGATTTTTAAAAAACATATCTTGTTTGTTTTACCTTATAGATGAAAAGAAAGTTGGACCATGGTTCTGAGGTCCGCTCTTTTTCTTTGGGAAAGAAACCATGCAAAGTCTCAGAATATACAAGGTAATATTAAATATAATGATTATCTCATGATTCTCAGTTTTTTAGAGTTGATTCTGAAAGTGTTTTAGTTTATTCTTGTAGAATAATAATGTTACTAGTACGGTTGACTGTTTAACACATTTTGAGATTACCGGAAATTGAGAACTATATCATTTTAAATAAGAGGAATGCCACCTTAGTTTATGTTTTGTTACTAATACATTTTGAAGTAGGACACAAGCAGAAATTATCTTGTGAACAAAAATTTAAAATTACAATTTTTAAGGAATTCTAAAAAGTAAACCATAAAATATGAATATGAGCCCCTGTGTCTTGTTACTATAGGAACAGCTGTTCTAGGGTAGACATTTATGTATGGAAATTTGAAGATACATTTATTAGCAGTGAAGTAAAACAATTACTAACTCAATCTTATTTCATGAAATTAATGTGTTAGAAATTTTCTTTTATGGGCTTGGTAGGTCTTAAGTTTTTAACACATACATTTCTTTTCTATACCAGTAGAATAGTTTCCATAACAATGAAACATAATTGTAATCTTTTTCTACTTCAGTCCCCATTATTTTTGGATTTTACATCAGTATAAAACTTTTCCCACTCTCACAGTTATTAGGCTAACTTAAGCACAATGTCTATTGCCCAGCCAATTAAAAGTGGCTTTGAATGTCACTTGGAATGTCGTATTTTAAAATTTAAATGACAGAAGTATCTTAGAGCTTTTTTTTTTGGTCTTTAAAACAGAATTTTTTGTATAATTGCCAGTTTTTAAAATAAGTGATTGAAAGTTAACAGTAGAAACCATAAGAACTTCATGGTTATGACATTTCTTCCTTTCTCTCAAAATATTTCAATTTAGTTATTTTTATTCTATAAGATGCACTAAAATTAACATTGCTCAGATATAATTTTTTTATTGAACATTGTTGCAGATTGTGCCTCTTACAGAGAAATAGCTTGTTTTTATTTCAGTTGTAAAAAATATTTCTTTCAAATGCTGCTTTATGAAATTTGAAAATCATCATAATTGGAATAGTCTTACATTCAAAAAGTGAAGAGATAACACAGAAAAGAAAAATAAAGCTATCTCTTATTCAGGAGCTGCTTTTCGGTGTGATTTTTCTTATGTTAACTGTCCCCCTTCCTGTTACTCTTTGCCTTTTGACAGTTTTACTGTGTTTTGGCACTTCCACCAGAGGGTGTGGAGGGATAGAGAGACAAGTGAAACTATTCACTTCATTTTGCTTTTCCCTTCTAGTCATGATAAAGTATTTCTTGGATGAGAAATTTGCATTTAATGTTAAACTAACTGTTAATGCTATTTTTTAAATGTATCAGTCTTCTATTAATATGGCTGATACCAGGACAAAGGTATTACATTGTTCACTTGTTTTTAAGGCAGCTTAGAATAAATGAGTGCTGAATTTTTATTACAGAACACATTTTAGTAAAATTTGTCTTTAGTTGCTCACTTTTTATATTGACAAAGCAACTGAAAAGGCAGAAGTTTTATTTTTAGCCTGTTAATATATAATTTTATTAAAGCAAAATTAGACCAAACAGCATATTTATTTCCATGTTTTTCTGGAGACTCTCGGTTAGGAAGGTATATATTTGGTATTTTGTGATATTTTTGACAGATTTGCTAATAAGATAAAACTATGATTTTTCCATCAAAAATTTGTTATAAACATATCCTATTTTATTTTGGAGGAAAAGAAAATAGAACTTACCTTTGAATTTGAAAGAAGAAAAGATAGATTTAATTGCTGAATGTTAAAGATTGTCTTCGATTTATACTATTAGAGGATTTAAAGGGAGTAGATAAGAAGACTTTTCTGTAAAATCTGGTGACTGAGATACATTTTTTAACAAAATAATGCTGGATAGAAAAAAACAGCTGGAGGAGTTGTTTCATTAGTAATTTATCAGAGTTTGATTGTTAACTATTACGATGCAATTTGTAAGTGTTCTTTGAATTTAAAATAATTAATCAACATAGCTCAATGAATTGAGTGAGAATTTCTTTTCAAATATAATTTTGTTAAACCAGACCTTCCTGCTGCTTTTTTTCCAAGGTCTTTAAAATGGATACCCAATATTTACCTTGAGTTTAGTTTAATTACATGCAGAAATTAGAAAGGAAAGTTTAATACGTTAGTAATATAGTTATATATTCTTTCTGCTATTAATTGGTCATTTTTAGGGTAGTTAGTTTTAGAGAGATCATCTAGTCGTCCTCATTTTACTAGTGGCAGAATTGAATTTCAAGTTTGTTTGAGACAGTTAAATCTCAAAATTTAAATTATTGTATAAAAATGTTTAGATGATCTTATTTAGTTTTGCATATAAGTTCTTAATACTTACCTGTTTTGAATAAATGTATTTCTAATCAAGACTGAGTCCTGTCAACTATTCAGACCAAACTTTATAAATAGCAGTAAAAAATTAGAAATATTATAGACAATTTTGAAGGCATCTGAGGCAAACTTAAGGAATAATGTGATTCTTGAAATTCAAAACATTTGAACATAGTATTTCTATGTCTGAGTTTTTTAAAGCTTTAATAAAGTATCACAACCCTTTTTATAAAGAAAATTTAAACTTTACTTATGTCACCAAAGACCAGTCATAGGAGAAGTGGGACTTGTATGTTCTAAGGAAATATTTTAACTTTATTTGTATATATTAACAACTTGCAGTTTTGTCATGGAGATTCTGTTATTTGGTTGCAATTAGCATTTCTGGGATAATAACAGGCGTTATATAGGAGGGAGGAAACTTACTGTAAGAATAGCAAATAGGTTTTGTGTACCTGTGATCTCTGGGAAGAAAGGTAATTAATTGATGTTTGAAATATGCCAGATCATCATTCTTTGTACTAGAATCTATTATTAATAAGTATCTATCTTTGCTTTCACTTTTGTTTTTTTCCTTTTATCCTTTCTCTCTCTCTTTTTTTTTTTTTTGTAGTACCACTGGGCTTGTACCATGTTCAGCAACACCAACAACTTTTGGGGACCTCAGAGCAGCCAATGGCCAAGGGCAACAACGACGCCGAATTACATCTGTCCAGCCACCTACAGGCCTCCAGGAATGGCTAAAAATGTTTCAGGTGACATATCTAAACATAGTACTTGAAATGCCTCACTTAATTGCTGCAAAATAAGGGATTATTCATCCGTAAAAAAAGAAGGAAACACTGTTACATAGTATACTGTGGATGAATTTTGAAATCATTCTGCCAAGTGAAAGAAGCCAGACACAAAAGGCCACATGTTGATTCTCTTTATATGAAATGTCCAGAATAGGCAAATCCATAGAGACAGAAAGTAGATTAATGGTTGCCTGACAATGAGGGGAGGAGAAGGACTAACTGCCAGTAGGTACAGATTGTCCTTTTGGGGTGATGGAAGTGTTCTGGAATTGGATAGTAGCGATGGTTGCACAGCAAGGTGAATATACTGGGAAGCACTGAAGTATATACTTGAAAATGGTGAATGTTATGTGCTGTTTATTTCAATTTAAAAATGCTATTAAAAACAAGGGAACTCAATTTTTGAATGTCATAATTGAGAAAGTCCAATACTTATTTGTGTAACTGTGCACTGACATTTTTTTTATTGCTTTTTAAATAATAAGACCTTCCTTCATCTTCTCCTTTGTTTGAATTTCTGGGTTGTCTAGTTTTCTAAACTGCATTGCTTGTAAGTTAGGCATTTAAGAGTAATTTAAGAACCATTCTAGCTAGAGTTAATACAGCTTCTTTTCTTCAGTGCCATGCTTGTATATGGCTTACCATGCTTGAATCCTGATTACTATATTTTAATAGTATTTATATTCTTTGGATGTGTACAGGGAAGATTGGTTACAACCAAACCCTGAATATTATGAACTTTATAACCTAAGATAGTGATATTACATTGATTTATCTCTTCTTCCAGTAAGATAATGCATATACATCAAGTGTTTAGCAAAATACATGGCAAGGATTAAGTACTTACTCAATTATTTGTTGCAAATAATAAATAATATAAATTATGTAAAGTAAAAAATATCTGATATTAGCCTCCATAGTAATGTAAAAAGAATATACTACCCTACCTCTGGCTGCTTGAATGGTTAGGTATTTAATCAATGCATAAGGCAATAATCGTTGGTAAAGATGATACTTTACTTGACTTTTAGTGTTTCAGATTTTTAAGGTGTTCACTTTGTAAACCCTAATATTTTAAATACCTAGATGAATATGAGATAAATGTGTCTATTTTTTTCTTCTGTAGGTAGAAAACTAACTTGGAGCAGTATTGCTTTTAAATGGTTTTTTAAAATTGTTTTCTACCCTTCAGGTGATTTCTGCAAAACTAGGATAACCTTTTTTTGGTTGGTAACTGAAAGATTTAAGCCTTGCTCTCAACAGGGATTAGTTTTTCCCCGCGTTGAGACAAAAGTGTCTCAAGACATTTTTCATTTTTATAACTGAGGGGATGGGGCGCAGGACACTGCTGGCATCTAGTAAGTAGAGGCAATACAAAGGACGATCTCCATGCCAAAGAATTATCCAGCCCAAAATGTCAATGGTACTAAAGAATCTGGGTTAGAGGAATGAAAGTTAGATTTTATTGTTATTAAAATGTTATAAGCCACTGTAATTACAAAGAATTTTTTTTAAGTTTTCATTTTCATAGTCATTTGTTGATTAAACTTACCTTTTCCCCAGGGATTATTCCTACCCTTCCTCCTGAGTTATTTTGCCTCTGGTTCATGATGGTTTGTAAAATGTTAATTAATTTTTATTTTTTCCTATGCACACCCTCAGAATTCTAAATTTTTAATTTTGTCCCATCCTTTTAAAAGGAAATTTATCCGTCAATAAGAGGCGAAAATAAAACTCGGACACTTGTATAGCCTTAAAAAAATAATTTAAAGATTTTTATCATCTCTGATTAAGCCAAAGAGGTAGGAATATGGTTGTATGTTGCCATGCTAACACATGCATGTAGTGTGAACAGCATATATCATTCTGATTTCATATCACATGATTTCACTGATTTCATATCATTTTTATAAGAAAATACCAACATGATTGAAAATTACACTATTAGCAATAGTTTTATCATCATTGTAGATAACCTCCAAAATGCTTATTTTATATGAAAAGGCTTATTTCTTTTCAGAAGGTAGTTCAGAGTAAGATTTACTTTTTCTGTGGTAGGGCTCATTTTTTCCAACGTTTTGGAATACCTGAATATTCTTTGCTTGCTATCTAGGATATTTCTCAATTTTAAAGGGACTCTGTAGTATTGATCTATAGGAAGAGGCATTTCAGCTTTATTTTAGTCAGGATATTTTAGAGAGTTCATTGTACACCGTTTGCTTGTTTAGCTAGCTTATGCTTTTTAAATAAAATGTCCAAATGTTACCGCATGCTGTATTTCATCAAATCTGAGACACCATAGTTTTTTTAGATGCATTCCAATTTCGGAAATGTTAATGTGAAAAAAAAAAAAACTGTATTCAATAAGCTAAAGAATGTTAGAATAGCTTTTGGTCCTGTAAAAGGAGTAGGTGCAGTGAAGAAAACATGTTCTTAGTTAACAGGAATAGCATGTGGAATTACCCCTGCAGGTATAGTATTATATACATTTTTTTCAGATAAATATTCTGTAGCAAAGAAATCTGTAGCAACAAAAGGTCAACTGGACAGGTAGATCAGGACCTTCATCTTTTGAGTACCATGTCTGTCTCTGACACACCCAAGGCCTCATTGTTGTACACTGCCCTTTATTTTCAGGGCTGGTCCCAGAGTAACTAGAAATGATTCACTTGCCTAAAGGCTTACTGTGCTTTAATGTCTAACTTGTAGAGATATAATTTCATAATAAAGTGGGGAGTCATGAGTTGACCTATGTGAGAGAGTTGAGGGATAATTAAACTGGCATGTTTTCTACAAATATACTGTGGGGGCATTTCATGATGACTTTTCTGTTGCATAATAAGCAGTATGGGAGAGCTTGTCCCCTTACTGTTCTGCTATTGCTCCTAAGGCAGTGATACAGCATTGCTTTGGTCCAGTTCCATCTATTCTGACAAAGTACTCTGTATTCTGTTTATAAATTGAGTATGAACAAATGATATTCCATTTTGCATAAAAGAGGACTGAAACAGAATGCCACTAGAAAATAGAAGTGCAAATTAAAGACAAAAACCAAAAAAAAAAATAGAAAGTTTATACCATTTGAATTTTCAGTAGCCATTGATCCACTTTGTATGGCAGTCAGATTGATGCTTCAGTTAATTTAGGGAAGCGAGTTGGTCATTTTTTTGGCTTGTTTATATCATTCAGGTGCTAATAAATGGTTTTTCACTTAAACTTTTCAGACTGGGTAAAGACATTAATTACATGAACATTATCTTATATTGAAATTTGTATTCAGAAGCATCTTGAGAATAGCACAAATGACATAGAAGGACAAGTTCTTAGTTCAAATTTTGACATTGTCTCTTAAAAACAATAATTTCATTAATATATAACCATTCTTGCCTTTATTTTCACGCTCTATAAAACACATAACATTAAAAAGTTGTCAAAGGGGAAAAAACATGTACATCTGCTTAAAGTTATACTTGGAAATATATTGGAGACTCAATAAATGTTAGTTTCTTCCCTTGGTCAAGAAATAATCTTAGTGGACCTCAGAAATTTTCTCAGATCTAAAAAGGGACCGTTAACACTAGCTTCACAGTATTGCTATGAGGATCAAAGATAAAGTGATATGGAAGAACTTTAACCTTACACAGATGCCATTAGCTTTACATTATTTTAATTAAAGCATATTGGAATTAAGCTATTTATGTACTTTGAAAAGATGTTATACTAAAAATATTTTTAAATGATAAGTATAAAATACATGTGTTTTGATATTAAAAATGGAGAAAAAACTTCTCCATTGGAAGATTTAATTAGGTTTCATGGGAACACTTAGAAATTGTACATGTTCTCAAATCTACTTTATTTACATCTTATTTGCTAATCAACAAAAGATTAAAACCTACAGGATAGTGCCAAAATTGAATTTATTATTACTTTGAAATTGTATTTGGGACACAGTGATTTAAAAACCTTGTTTTGTGTGAAAGACTTGAAGAAAGTCATGTATTTAGCTAGAGAAGACCAGGAGAAAATGTGATGTCTGTTTTTAACATTTTAACGACTTTTGTATAAAAGTAGGAAAAGATTCATTCTTGGTTTCTTCAGAAAGTAAAACCTGAATTATGTTCTTTGAGTCAGATTTTGGCATTAAGTTAAACTTAGCAATTAGAACTGGTCCACAGTAGAATGGGAGATAATAAGTTACTCGAATCCTGGAACTGTTCAAACAGACTGGATAACCATGTGCTAGAGGTGCTAGAGAAGTGAGTTCTTTACCACATGAAATTCAGGTGCAGTACTACCCAAGGTCATAAAACAGTCTATCTAATTGAGACACTAAAGATCATCCAGACCAGTGGTTCCCAAATGCTGCTTTGTGAGTCATCTACATCAACACTGGATGAGTTGCTTGTTTAAAAAATAAAATGTCTTCAGCCACTGAATCAGACTATCTGCTGGCGGGTTTTAGAACTCAGTAATTCTTGCTGTCCTTGATCGGCATTTGGGAACCACTGGCCTGGACCAAGCCTCTCACTGTGTAGGTGGGTTCTCTGAGACTCAGACTCATTAAGAGACTTCCATGTTGTTCTACAGTGAGTTTCCTGGTGAAGCCCAGGCTCTTGATTGCAGTTTAGTGCTCCTTCTACTCTTCTCTACTACCTCTGTGCCCTAATTTACCTGAAATAAAACACCACTTCCATGGGGAATTTTCAAATTTGCATTTGCAATTTTGTCCTTAAATTAAAATTTGCTTCTGAACCTGGAATGTTTTTCCTCTCCCTTTCAATGTGTTCCAACATGGCTACCATGAAAGGCCAAAGGAAGTACTTTTTTTTTTTCTCTTTTCTGAGACAACCACTTTTCAAGTAGCAGTAAAATAATAATTAAAAGAATTATCCAACACTCTGCTTTTGCAGATAAACTAAGGCCTGAAGAGGTTAAATTGTAACCTAATTACAACGACAGTATCTCCTAAAATTATTTCCTGATCCCCAATTCAGTTATCTCTCAACTATTCTTCGTTAATTGTTGTTGTAGGTTGTTATTTCATGTACACATGCATGCGCGCGCACACACACACATACACACGTAGATAGTCATTAGCTGCAAGGTTTTCATGTTAATGTATATGTCCCTTGCTGCTAAATTGTATATATACAAAATTTGAAACCACTCTTGGAGCCAGAATAAGCAAGCAAGTCCTAGTGATACCATCAAATATAAAGAATAGAAACACTCTCTAGAGATAGAGTTGAGATGATAGCATTAATCTAGAGAGAGTATTTCCTGATTCTTTTGGGATTCATTTATTTATTCAGTAAACATTTATTAAGCACCTTTTCTGTGCTAGGCCCTACTTGGGTGTGGTATGCAATAGTGAATAAAACAGACAAAAAACACTTTTTCCTGAAACCTACATTCTAGTCAGAAGGGGATGAGGTGGATGAGTTTGGAACTGGTTGCAATTTTAGAGAGGTTGCTCAGGGAAGGAAGTAAGGAAGCAAGGCATGTGGGTATCTAGGGAAACAATATTCCAAGGAACAGCAAGGAAAGATGCTGTGAAGCTGAGTGTGCCTGGAGTGTTTACAGCACAGAAAGAGTGTGTATGGCAGAGCAGAGTAAATAAAAGGGAAAGTAATGGGAAAGTAGTGTGTTGTAGGCCAACCTAAGGACTGATTTCTACTTTGGGTGAAATGGAAAGCCATTAGAAGGTTTTAAGAAGGTTTAAGACTTTCTGACAGTAGCACTGAGTACAGTGTGGAGAATAGAACGAAGAGCCGAAGGTAGAAAGCTGGAAGACCACTTAGGGAGTTACAGGAATAATCTAGGTGACGCATACTGGTAGCTCAATCCAGTGTAGTAATAGTCAGATTGTGGATATATTTTAAAGTTTAAGGCTGTGAGTTCATTTGGATCAAAAGCATCTGATGGTGAAAGAGAGGGAGGGGTCAGGAATGACCAAAGACTTCTTGGCCTGAGTAACTAGTAAAATAGAGTTTATTTTACTGAAATGAGGAAGACTGTGGAAATACAGATTTGGAGAGAAAGATCATAGACATGTTAAGTTTCAATTACATATCCAAAAATAGATGTTGAAAAAGCAACAACATAATACAGGTCTGGAGTTCAGGAAGGACTCCAGGCTGGAGAGAGGAAAGCTGTTTTTATGGTCCAGATCTTTGTTTAGAATCACCAAAGAGATGTGATTTTAAACGATAGGACAGTTGAATATGTGTAGTCAGTGGAAACAGTCTCATTTTCTATTGCTACTCGTCTTTATCAGTGGTATCCTTTTTTTTTTTTTTTTTTTTTTTTGAGATGGAGTTTCGCTCTGTCGCCCAAGCTGGAGTGCAGTGGTACAATCTCGGCTCACTGCAAGCTCCTCCCGGGTTCACGCCATTCTCCTACATCAGCCTCCCAAGTCGCCGGGACTACAGGCGCCCGCCACGATGCCCAGCTAATTGTTTTTATATTTTTAGTAGAGATGGGGTTTCACCATGTTAGCCAGGATGGTCTCGATCTCCTGACCTCATGATCTGCCTGCCTTGGCCTCCCAGAGTGGTGGGATTACAGGCATGAGCCACTGCACCGGGCCTATCAGTGGTATACTTTTTAATAAGATAACACGAAGTAACATCTGCTGAGTATATAGATAATTTAAATTGAGACGTTTTAAATTGTCTCTGGTTCTTATTAAAGATTCTTTAAAACAAAATAAAAATACATTGTTTCAAATATTGTTTAAAGTCTTAGATATGTTTTGTTATACAGGCATAATTTTTTTCCATGTACTTTTTCTTAAATATATGGAAATTTCTAACACAGTTTCAAATATTTAGCTTAGGTCTGAATTAGTTGTTTATCATCTGTTCATCTGTTCTGTCTTCTTTAATTTCTACACCCTATCCTCCAAAAGCCTTGATAAAAGATATGTCTCATATATTAGCTTTTTTTTTTTTTTTTTTTTTGAGACAAAGCCTCGCTCTGTCACCTAGGCTGGAGTGCAGTGGCATGATCATAGCTCGTTGCAGACTTGACCTCCTGCCACAGCCCCCTGAGTAGCTGGGACTACAGGCGCATTCCACCATGCCTGGCTGATTTCTAATTTTTTTGTAGAGATGGGGTCTCGTTATGTTGCCAGGCTGATCTCAAATTCCTGAGCTCCAGTGATCCTCTTGCCTCTGCCTCCCAAAACTACTGAGATTACAGGCATGAGCCAACACACCTGGCCTAAGCTACATTTTAATCAAGTCAGCATAGTTATCCATCACTCCAAATGAGCATGTCCTTGTATTAGTGTCCATGCATTGTCTATGATGTAGATGGAGAGGTATAGCATATTATCAAAACCCACCTCAAATCCTGTGAGGGATGTGAATCAATAAATTAATGAGTTTGTTCTATTGATACCAAATGGAGAGAGATGAGTGGAGATTGATCACTATCAGTTATGTCAAAGAGGTAAGTTTTAAACCAGTGTTTGAAGTTATGTGAGAGAAACCAAACCAAACAAGGTAATTAAACTTCAAATTAACTGCTTTTAATTGGTCACGTGTGTACATATACATGTTTATGAGTATTTTACATTTCTTTGTATAATAAATCCCCTGACCAAAAAAGATACAATGTAAGACTCAAGGTGAATGTTCTGGATACATGTATTTGTAGAAGCAAAAGGAAGGGACACAACTGGTTGGAACCTGTATATCTTTAACATTAGGTGGTAAAATGGAATATACTATGGAAATAAATACCATTGAAATGTTTTATGGTATTGCCAATTTAATACATATTTTATGATAAGAAAGAAGAGAAGAAGTTCATTGTAGATTCCACATGGGTAAATACTTTAAAAAGTATTCCAAATACAGCTCCTCATATCCTTAATATATCTGTTGTCAATTATTATATATTTCATGTCTTGGATCAAGTTTTCTTGTTTGGACAAGAAATGGAATGGCAAAATCCAGATCTTTTTAGCTGAAAACCTCACCTATTCTCTATTCACCCACTTCTAAAGTGGACACAATAATTCTTAAAATGGTACTTAAATCAGTATAGATTTGCAGAAACAAAGGCCTGCTTAAGAATGTTCTTTCATTTAAGTATTATGAGGTTAATTAAATGTGTGAAATTGTAACATTTTGAATTATTCACATGGCATTTTAGTTTTTCCTTTTAAGAACCATGGCTTTTCTGTGCAGGTGTTCTTCACTGGGATAATGTTTTAAGATAATCCCCTGATGTCATTTAAAGGAACTCTTATTTCTGAAGCATGATTGTGTGTTTTTGTGTTTTTATAGTGTATCTCTTTCTTATCCTCTTTTGGCCTTTGTTTATATTCTCATTTTACCACTATCAGCTACTATTTTCTATTGTTGATTGTTTTTATTGTTTATTCTATTTTCTATTGTGTATTTGTTTTCACATAACAAATCAAAGCCTGTTTAATTTGTGGAAGACAGTTGTCAAATGTGTAATATATCCAGTTACTAATTTTTCTCTGATTGATGCTGCTCGTCTCCTTTCAGATGAGTGCCTTATTAAAACCATCTAATTTTATGGTGCTTACTAGAAAGAATGTAGAGAAATTGTCAAAATTTTCTATTATTTACTCAGTAACCCAAAATGATGTTTCTGGAATAAAATTTTGGCTTCTCAGTTAGTGACTTGGTGGTAGATGAACATATAACTATTATAATAATGTAATGAAAAAATATTTTTCTGTCAAACATGTTTTTTTTTAACCTTTTACGAAATAAAAGTTGTTGGTAAGTGATGAAATTAAATGCCTTCTTCAATGCCTTGTGGAAAAAATGTCACTATAAGGAGCCACTTTTTATACAGTTCTACCCTGATCAACTATGGTTGTGTGTAGATGTGAGTTTTCCTTTATAAGCCTGTAATTTGGGACATCTGTTAAAACAATAAAAATTTCTAATTCTCTTTGATAGAGCTGGAGTGGACCAGAGAAATTGCTTGCTTTAGATGAACTCATTGATAGTTGTGAACCAACACAAGTAAAACATATGATGCAAGTGATAGAACCCCAGTTTCAACGAGACTTCATTTCATTGCTCCCTAAAGAGGTAAAGATTATCAATTACATTCTTCATTGGGTGTTATTTGAATATATAACTCAACAGCTACCACCTTTAAACATTGTCATGCTAATTATGGTATTCGGTATTGTCAGTTTGACACTCTTAATTAGTGGTAAAGAGGGCTGTAAATTGATAAATTGCCATGACTTAATAATGTAATTGTCAGATTAAAGAATGCATGTGAACTAAGTAACTCCTTTCCACTATTTGAATAAGTCATATATGTGAGAGTAACTATTGAGTTTCACTAATTTGATTATTTATTTACCAAGATTTTTTTGTCAAGTTATTTGAAGCCCAACCTTTAGTTATCTTGGTATATTCATGATAGTAGATTTTTTAAAATTCTGACCATATTAAAATAGCAATATTTTTTCTCTTATTTTATTATATATCTTAAGTCCCTTCAAGACCAATAGGTTTATGATTCTATTGAATTCTAGTTCTCTGGTACTTAACATTGTGTAATTATTTTAAATACAAATATTATAATTTCACATGTGTATATTTTTCTAATCATTCTCCTCCCCATCTCCATTACACAAATACAGATTTCCCATACTAATTACATGCTAACAGCACTTCTTTGGGAATTATTTGTGCCTATTTCTTTTTATATTTTTATGTAAGCTGAAACTATCATAGACTGATTATATGGGCATTCATAACTATAAGGCATAGTTTAGATATAGTTCCTTTATTGATATTATAGACCTAGTAATTTTGTCAGTGAACAGAAATAATATAACATTAAATAATCAGCATCACCATGATTTATATTTTCATAAGTAATATGTATATGCCCCTAGTTATATGTCAGCTAAGAAGACAATATAAAATACTAACATACCATTTCAAATGATCCTGAAACTTCAAATTTGAACAGAAAAAAGTCATTTTTTTAAGATTATCATTCTAAATATCCTAATGGTGTT
Source organism: Homo sapiens (assembly GCF_000001405.40). Lineage (NCBI taxonomy): Eukaryota > Metazoa > Chordata > Mammalia > Primates > Hominidae > Homo > Homo sapiens. The sequence goes on along the minus strand of NC_000004.12, from coordinate 152,336,851 downwards.
AAAGATAGTCCCAATTAGAATTGCACGTTGGATACGAATAAAATAGTTGTATCATATTTAATGCATGGAACTAAGCATAACTCCAGAGAAAAGCAAAGTGGAGAAAATCTTTTCTTCCTAAAATGTGTTTTCTACTGAGTGCTTTTTAAAAATGACTTTGGCCCAGAAGAAAATTTTTATTTTTGCTGGCTCATTCTAAAACTGAATCCTTTGAATAGATTTGGCTTATGAAAGTGACGTCAGCTCTCTTTGCTTCCAGAAGGGCATTAATAATGGGAAACACTTACATAAGTATTTGACTGAAAGTGATTTTATTCACCTTTGATATATTCTCTGTAGTTTACTTAGTGATATCCTCCGTATTTTAGAGGTTATCATTTTTGTTAAAATGCAGGCTTTCTCATAGTCTCATTTTTTCTCTTATTTCTAATAATGGTGAGGTTTTTGGTTTGTTTTGCTTTATTTGAATTTCCATAACTTCTTAACAGACAAAATGTTGTGTAAGATCAGAATATGAAAGTATTTTGAAAAATCTAAGAATTAAAAACAAATAATCAATAACCAGGGTAAATCCAGTAAAGATTCTCTCAGTTTAAGTGTTCTTTTAAAGACTGCCTGGGGAAAAATAAGTGAAATTAGTTATATAGGAGACTAAGGGAGAGCCTTGGTTTAGCATATCATCTGTGTTTCCCTCTTGTTTTCAACTACCAGAAAAAAAAATTCCTATTTTGAAAAATGCTTTATTGTCTAAGTGGATAAATAATGATATAGAAAACATTATCTTCTCAGAAACAAAGTATTATTATTTAAAACATTATTACCTTCTTGTCAGGAAATGGACTTATTTTTCTTATAATTCCTTTGGCCATATCTCAAAACTATTTACAAACATTTACTTTATTAATCTCAAAAAGCTTGACAGAAGTCTCACTAATTTCACACTAGAGGCTTGTGATGAATAGCATTGTCTTTATAAGTGAATACCAAGAAAATCATAATCATACAATAGATGATCTAGAGCAAAACCTGAAATTCTTAATAGAGGATTAGCCAACATTTAAAAATAATTTTTTTTCCTTGACTAGTTTAATCCACTGAAATACAGCAAGTCTGGGAAAATATTGGCTACCTTTTAAGTACAATGTGGTTGTCTTTTATATAGGTTATAGAGAAAAATAAAAGCAATTCTTACAGAGTTGGACAAGGAAAAGGTAATTATCTGAAATACGTTTCAATTCAAGAGCTTTTCTCTGGCAGAAGTGATCTTTAGGAAGAAATACTAATCTGGGTTTTACCTTTAAAACAAATGAATAGAAAACTGCATTAACTGGACCATTTGACTTGGCTGTAAGAAACCCATAACTCCCTACCATAGCGGTTGGACAGACAAGAGTCTCACTCTGTTGCCCAGGCTGGGATGCAGTGGAATGATCATAGCTCACTGCAGCCTCAAACTCCTAGGCTCAAATGATTCTCCTATGTTAGCCTCTTGAGTAGCTAGGACTACAGGCATGTGCCACCACACTTGGGTAATTTTTTTGCGGGGTGGGGGTGGTGGTAGGGGGGGATGTCCCTTTTATGAGAGTACTAATTCCATTCATGAGGACTCCAACCTCATGACCTAATTATTTTCCAAACACCTCACTTCCTAATACCATCACATTGAGGGTTAGGATTTCAACATGAATTTGAGGGAATATGGACATTCAGTTCATTTTAGAGCCCTACATGACAAAACCTTGCTTCCTTTGAGGGAACTGGTATACTTCCTCCTCATAATACGTAGTAAGAATCATGCAACTAATTGCTATTCTCTTTTTGGCTTGGCAGTTTAATTCAAAACCTTGTAAGACATAACCTTGTTGACAGCGTATTTGTGCTCTACTTTTTCTCTAGTTTAAACCTTCTTTTCTGATTTTTTAATTCATATTTTTTTGTTTTGCTTTGTGTATTTTCTGTATTGCTTAGATGTTTTGATGGAACTGGCTAGATGTAAATAGGCAAACATTTAATAAGTCGAAGTTCTTGGTTGAGTTAGTATCTTCACTACTTTTAAGGAAAGTGTGCCAGTAACCTGTAGAGTTAGCACTTCAACTTTCTTTAGCGCCTTAGTATTTCTTTATATTTCTCTTTAATGCACTGGACTAGATGATCTCATAATCACTATTAATGCTGGAAATTTTACCTGGTGATTTGGGGATGTACTTTTGAAATCTAAGCTGCTCTGGATTTGCTGTTTCCTAGTCTTTAAGATACATTGACTATTTCTGTAAATTACCTGATTTGTACTTCAGTTAGATAACGAAAGCAAAGAAAAGAATAGACTTTTTCTGTTTTTAGATAAATATTTTGGTCATTAATTAGCATCTCTTTTGCACAAATATTTTTATGCCTGATAGCTTCTATGTTAAATTACAATTCCACATAGATTAGTAATGGTAACACCACATTACTGCTATACTGACACAAAGCGAACTTGCCTAGGCTTTGATTGATTGGTAATTCCCAAATTAAGTAGCTTTTGGAGTATCTGTTAAGTACAATATTGAGACTATATATGTGTGAGTATTGTTGAATATAGTTACACCTTTTTATTTTAAATGACTCAGCTTCTCTACATAATACTGGTCTTCTCTGATATACCAAAAGTAATTATTTCACAAAAAGTTTTTCACTATCATTCATCAGTAGTAGTATTAAACTGAATATTGGCTGGTTGGAGTATTTTGTATATTGAATATACTCAATACATATGTAATTAATGATGAGTTGTTGTTGTTGTTGTTGTTGTTGTTGTTGAGACAGAATCTTGGTCTGTCGCCCGGGCTGGAGTGCAACGACGTGATCTTGGCTCACTGCAACCTCCACCTGCTGGGTTCAAGTGTTTCTTATGCCTCAGCCTCCTGAGTAGCTGGGATTATAAGCATGCACCACCACACCTGGCTAATTTTTGTATTTTTAGTAGAGATGGGGTTTCACCATGTTGACCAAGCTGATGTCGAACTCCTGGCCTCAAGTGATCCACCCACCTCGGCCTCCCAAAGTGCTGGTATTACAGGAGTGAGCCACCACACCCAGCCCATGATGAATTCCTTATATATGCAAAGTCATTGGGAAAGCATAATTTATATTATATACTTTACATTTAGCATCAAAAAATAATTAAAATTGTGCTTTTACTCCCTGTGTGACCCTTGACCCTTTAACGGATAATTTATGTTAGTTCTTGTCATTTATTTCATATGAAAACTGAACTTAATTGCTCTATTTAAATTGTTTTCCCTAGTATCATAATTTAAAATTTTATGTGATATGTGAGGCTACTTGAATAATCAGTCAGAGGCTATAATTCCCCTTCTTTCTTTTTTTTTCTCTTTATTTTTCCTTTTTATTTATTTGAACTGACACACTGAAAAAAAATCAATAGTTTATAAGTATTATAAACAAAGTTTTTAAATCAGTGGTATACCAAAGATTTAGCTCAAATATACAACTCTTATGTGGCCCATCAAGAAGATCCTTATAAGTAATATAAGGTAATCAGAACTCAATTACTTTTATATGTCTATGGAATGGTTTAATAATTGTCCCCCTTTGTCATTTACAGTCAAGGATGTAAGTGTTTCAGAAGTTCATTACAATAATAAACACTTTGATTTGAAGACTGTTAATTATGATATATATCTATCAAAAATGATCTGGAGTCATACCACACAGAATATATACAAATCTCATTTCTTATCTGTCAGGGAAGCATTTAGGTCCTATCTTCAGTGAATTTACATTGTAGTAGGATAGAGAAAAAAGTTAAACAACTAATAACATTTTTTTTAAAAAATTGAGTTGAGGCTCACAGAGTAAAGGCAAGAGCAGAGACAGAGAGGTTTAATAAGTAGTCCTTGAAGAGGGTAAAGAGTTAGTAGAGTGAAGTTCATAAAAACCATAAGGTGTGTGTGTGTTTTTTATCTGGTATATATTTGTTAGGACTGAAGTTACTGCCTTTCATAATTTTAGAAATCAGAGTGCAGAATTATATTTATCAAGTATCTCATCCTGTGGAGAATAATTAACTTATTATATAATATATATATTTATTTAAATATGGGTATTATACTATGCATTTTTTTCTTAGTTGGCACTCTATGTGCTTTCATTCCTGGAACCCAAAGACCTGCTACAAGCAGCTCAGACATGTCGCTACTGGAGAATTTTGGCTGAAGACAACCTTCTCTGGAGAGAGAAATGCAAAGAAGAGGGTAAGGTTCAAAATTGCATAGAGAATATGTTTATACTTTGAAAAGCAGAGTGATTCTGAAAACAAGTAGAAAAAATAAAAATAATATTCAGCTACTTATGATAAAATCCACAGATTATTCTACACATTCAGATGAGCCGAATCTTAACAGCTAACCCCTTTAACAAGCAATATAACTAATAGCAAATATATCTGATTTGCTTCCTATCACTAGTAGAATTAATAAACAATGAAAAAGTCAAGATGAGGATGACTTAAAGGAAACCCCGAAATTATATTTCCAATTAAATATCCAAATATTTAGTATTAATTCATTCTTTTCATAAATGTTTATTGAACACCTCCTATGAGCCAGACATTTCTTCAAGGTGGGGGATACAGCAGTGAACTGAAGTTCTCTTTTGTCATGGAGCTTATGTTCTTGAAACCTGTTTTTTTCCTTAGTAGAGGAGTAGTTATCCTGTGTATTGGGAGAACTGTTTTTTTTGTTTTTGTTTTTTTTCCCAGCAGACATCCAGAAAAATATTTTTGAAAAAATATAAAAATACTATGTGCCTCAGAAGCAAAATATTTTAGAAAGAATCATAGAGCATGATGTAGGTACTCTATAGGTGATTATTCCCTTCATGGTAGTTATAGTCAAGTAGGAAGCATTGATGGTTAGTCCAGTTAATAAAGGTTTGAGGTAAAGATCCAGGGTGCTTGGTTTGTCATCCTGCTTTTGACCTCTGTAGGGCTTGGATTAATCAGTGAAATCTTCATTCTTAAGTATTTGCATACATAAAGTGGAATTAATCTGTGCCTTCCCTTCTTCCATATAATCATTTTTTAAATGATCTTTTAAAAATTGTGATAACATGTATGTAATTTATCAGTTTAACCATTTTTATATGTACAGTTCAGTGGCATTAAGTACATTCACATTGTTTTGCAACTACCATCTGTGTTCAGATTCACTACCATCTGTGTTCAGAACTTCATCATCTTCACATGAAACTCCATGCCCCCTGTTCTAACTCCCCATTATTCCTCTCCACAGCCTCTGGCAACCACCCTTTTACTTTCTGTCTCTATGAGTTTGACTACTCTAGGTACCTCATATAAGTGAAATCATACAATATTTTTCCTTTTGTAATCAGCTTATTTCACTTAGCATAATGTCTTCAAGGTTCATCCATGTCATAGCATGTGTCAGAATTTCCTTTATTCCATTGTGTATATGTATCTAATGCTACATTTTGTTTATCCATCTTTCGATGGACCCTTGGATTGCTTGCACGTTTTAGTTACTGTGAATAATCCTGCTATGAGCATGGGTGTACAGATGACTGTTTGAGACTCTGCTTTTAATTGTTTTGGTTATGTATCCAGAAGTGGAATTGCTAGATCATATGTTAATTCTGTGTTTGTTTTGGGGAACCACCAGACTATTTTCCACAGCAGCTGCACCATTTGCACAAGCATTCCAATTTCCTCACATCTTCACCAACATATTTTAGAATCATTTTGAGAAATGAAATAGTGAATACAAAAATATGCCATATAGAATGTAAACTTTACATTATTGCTACATACTGTGATAACAGTATTGGAAATTTGACAATGTCTTGCATTTCAGTGGTTTTGAGCAGAGAGATGGAATACTCTTTATAAAGATGGAATACTTTATAAAATGTATAACTGTTATTATTGGTGAAGGCAATTTACTCTTGAACTGTAACACTTTAGGGATTGATGAACCATTGCACATCAAGAGAAGAAAAGTAATAAAACCAGGTTTCATACACAGTCCATGGAAAAGTGCATACATCAGACAGCACAGAATTGATACTAACTGGAGGCGAGGAGAACTCAAATCTCCTAAGGTAACTGAACTCTGCACAATGTAACAGAAACCGTTAATCAGTGTTAGTACCTAGTGTACTATTTCACTTGGCAAACTGTATAATATGACACTCCTCTTCTGTAGAAAGAAAACCGTATATTTTAAAATAACTGAAAGTATTAACTGACAATATTCTTTTATTGCTAATTTCTCTAATCTGACAACTAATTGTGCTTGAATAAAAGATAAGTTAAATTGAGTATCTTTTTATCTTACGTAAATGAAAATCTCTCAATATCCTATTGAATTTTACTGTGTCATACACATTCTACCTAAGAATTTGCTGCCTCCTCTGATCACATACTCCAAACATGATTTTTTGAGGAGTGTCTGTGTTTTGGATTTGGTGACTTTTGTGTGTCTTATTTTTACAAATTGAAGCATAATTCTGGTTTTCTGTCTAATAACATTTCAAATACATAAAGAATGGTAAAAACACTTGAAATTATTGGGCGTATTTTTACAACTGGAAAAAACCAATTTGGGGAGACATTGTTATACTAATATGTATATATTATGATTTTTTTTGTTTTAAGAATGCTAATAATTGTTACTCTTTGTGGTTAATAGATGCTTATTTTGTTCTTGTGTGTCAAAGTTGTAAAAATTAGAGGCATATTCTTCTGGTTTGAACAGATGGAATAGATTATTGTCAAATACATTGGTGTTTGAACCATCTTTATGAGGTCTTGATGCAGTAAAACTTTAATAGTTGATGTTTTGAGTATAAATAATAGACTATGGAAACAATAAAATGTTTAATTCTGGATTCGTCAGCCAGGAAAAATAATGCTTTATATAAATTTAAATTCTAGAGATAGACTACAAATTACTGTTCCTGTTTATGCCTTCATTTTTCTCTTCACCAGTATTTTAAAGAACATAATTTAATTAACATATTTCTAATCTGCACATCTTTCTTATAGGTGCTGAAAGGACATGATGATCATGTGATCACATGCTTACAGTTTTGTGGTAACCGAATAGTTAGTGGTTCTGATGACAACACTTTAAAAGTTTGGTCAGCAGTCACAGGCAAAGTAAGTTTACTCTTCCTACACTTCACAAAGTCATAATTTTGTGTATATCATTGCAAGTAGCAACTGGAAAAAAGAAAACAATAATTCATTTTTGATTCTTAGTTATTTGGATAGCAAATATCAGAGCTCATAACTTAGCTTTTTTCCCCATATTTATGAAAGCCAATGGCATGAGGATAGTGATGCTTCTCATGATAGAGGTTTCATTAATTTTTTTTCATTTACATAGTTTGTCTATCTTTGTGACAGATACTTTAACATTTTCAAGGGTGCTTTATGTTTTTCTTGGCTCAATTTTTCCCCACTTTTATTTACTATCTAAGTTATACCTCATTACTTTGTAATGTTTTTCAAAAGTATGGTTGAGGGATATTTATTTTTCCTTATAAACTGCTTTGTTGATAACCTACCTGTAGTTTAGAACTTAATAAATCATGTTAATTTATACTTATCTCAAACCCTTGTGAGATGAGAGTGGACAAGGCATTTAAATGTTAAGTTTGAAGAAAAAGCCCAAGCAATCAGCTTGACTGTGTACCATATCATACCTTAATGATTCTCTAGTGAATATTTATTTTTATCTGTCCAGTAGAGAATATTTTCATGAATTAAGTAATTGCCACCTAAAAAATAACAGAAGAGAGTATGAAAACAAAAAAAAATCCATGTCTTTTAAAATGTCTTTTACCATGTTGCTTCTTGGCAAGTATCTTATAAATATTCCAAGTCAGATGTTAAAATTTTTTAAAGCAGCTTTATATTTCCATAGTGTAATATTAGTTTGGGATTTATTACAGGGCTTTAATGTCTGTCTTTACTTGTCTAGAAGTAGCTTCACTGGCTCCTAACTACTGCCCTGGGGCAGATTCAGATGAAATGTGGTATGTAGCCACACCCAATACTGTTGGCATACTTTCATTGAATCTATTCCCATGGAAGAAACCCAGTTGCAATTTCAGTATTATTTCATCAAAGAGGCCAGGCCAGAGCTATCATAACTGCTTTCATGTCGTGTTTCCTTTTTATTATATCATGTTTTATATCATATGTTTGCTTTCTACATACTACATACACAATTGCTTGTGCTTATATAAATTTATAATGCTTTTGAATAAACAAAACAATAAATAGTGATGGGATCATTTTATACGGATGTAATATTTTCTGAAGAGCCAAACAAATTAAATAAGTAACTTTACTCCAAATTTTAATGAGCTATTAAATTTTATTTAAATCACTTTTCCTTTCTACCCAAAAGTAATCATCTTAAGTGTTTTTCCAGTGTCTGAGAACATTAGTGGGACATACAGGTGGAGTATGGTCATCACAAATGAGAGACAACATCATCATTAGTGGATCTACAGATCGGACACTCAAAGTGTGGAATGCAGAGACTGGAGAATGTATACACACCTTATATGGGCATACTTCCACTGTGCGTTGTATGCATCTTCATGAAAAAAGGTAAGGGAAAATCTTGTCATGGTTGGGACTTCTTCCTCTATTATTGGTGAATTTGGGCCCTTTCTGTGTAGAGTTACTGAAATAGTGACAGTGTGCTCTTAAATTAGATTTAATTATTACACTTCAGATGTTTCTATTCTAGGAAAGCCATAGCGTTTTGTCTTAAAATTGGTGATTGTCTGTAAATTTCCTTTCTCATTTGCTAGTGTTGTCAGCTTCCTGTTTGAAACTCTCTACTCTCTAATCTCTAATCCTTTTTGTTGTTCTGTATCTTTGATGACTCATCATATTCAAGCAGAAATCATGTTTTCTCTCTCTTTTTTTGATATTCTTATTTCCGCAAGTGGGACAAATTCAGGCTTCAAGCGTCTGAGCCTTTTTAAATTACCTACCCACCTTACACCCACCCTATCTCTAAGTCTAGGCAAAAGCTGAGGCCTGTGGGTAATTTGTTCTCTCATTCTGAACTATTGTCACAGCTTTCTAACTTGGTTATCTTATGTTTTATACAGCTGACATATAGTCCTTTTATAATTATGATAGTGTCACTGCCCAGTTCTTAAGTCTTTTTGAGCCTACTGTTGACTAACGAATTAAGGAAGAAATCCTCGATCCAGTTTTCAAAATGGTTTCTGCCAAACTGGACTTTTTGACTTTCTCTTCTCAGTGCCTTTGCTGTTGCTTTTATCTCCTCCTGTAAAGCCCTCCTATTAAAATCCTATCTTTCTATTATCGTCATCATACCCCTGTTAAACAAGTGTGATTTCTACCTCATTTGTCAAAAAAGGTCTCTCTGAAAGGTCCTTACAGTGAATCCATGGCAGTCTTTACCTTTAATTCTGTCTATCGCATCTTCTTTATTAAGAACAATTACATTAAGCAGATTTCACACCAGATTTGTAATATGTGAAAAGGAGTACCTTTTCAATTGTCATTTACCTCTACTTTGAACAGTGTGCTATACTGTTAAAATTTGGGGGATGAGTATCAAGAGACCTTGTATTCCAGTTTCCATTATGTTCTCTCAACATTAGGTTCTCAATTAAAGGGTTCTCTCAACCCTTTAATTATCTACTTTTTTAAAATATGGAAACTGTGGTATTTCTTTATCTCTTCAGAATGACATAAGGATACCTGAGTTTTCAGCTTTGTTTTGTAATCCAAAAGTGATTACAGTATTTGTATATTGCTCTGGTTTTCAGAAGAGTATAGCGCTGATGTTGAACCAAATGTTTAAGGGATAGCCATTGTTTTTAAAGATGTACATATCTTTTAAAATCTTTATCTCTTAATATTTTTATAGCCTATTGCATATTTATAAATCTAATCATTAAAAGCATAAGCAGCCTGTGTTTGAGGACATGTCTAAAACTGGTTAATTTTTACTGGAATGTATAGTGTAAACACAAATCTGCAGCTGTTTAAATTCCAAATTCTGACTTGTTTTGTTGTATAAACTTTATTGAATTTTTTACCTAATCACAAGGGAATATATGCATTCATAATTGAAATTTTGGAAAATGGCAAAGAACATAAAGAAAATTTAAATTCTTTAAACCACTACCACCTAGAGTTCTCCCATTAACATTTTATACATATGCCCACATTAACATTTTATTTCTAAAATCAAAATCTTATTGTATATATTTAGAGGCAGCTTCTGCTGCTTTTTAAAAAATACAGTACAGTGGTTTTCAAACTCAGTCCCACAGAACCTTAAGGTGCTGAACCTAAGGTCCCCAGGTCAGGGAACCAAGCATGCAGCATTCTAGGCTTCCCAACTTCCCATTCCCTTATTATGTTTATATACCAAGGTTTTACATAGGATTTCTTTTGAAAATGGTTGTTGCTGTGTAAAAAAAAAAAAAAAAAAGCTAAAAAACCTTGACTAAATCTACCATGTTTTCTCATATTATTAAAAATTCTAAACGTGGGTTTTTTTGTTTTGTTTTGTTTTTCTGTTTCTCCCTCTGCAGAGTTGTTAGCGGTTCTCGAGATGCCACTCTTAGGGTTTGGGATATTGAGACAGGCCAGTGTTTACATGTTTTGATGGGTCATGTTGCAGCAGTCCGCTGTGTTCAATATGATGGCAGGAGGGTTGTTAGTGGAGCATATGATTTTATGGTAAAGGTGTGGGATCCAGAGACTGAAACCTGTCTACACACGTTGCAGGGGCATACTAATAGAGTCTATTCATTACAGGTAAGATCTCTTATCTCTCCCTTAAATGCTCTCCTGATGAATCATAAGGTTGTTTTACTCAGATAATCACTGTCAAATTGCTGATCCAGTACAGTCCAAAAAAGATTAATCAGATTATTCTGCTGTTTTTATATACGTTAAAATTGGCATGAAGAAAGTGTAAATTTCAAAATTATTTAAATGCTTTCAATTTTCTGTGATCTATTTCTCCTCTAAATACAAATATTTGTTTTGCAACCTGACACTTTGGGGCTCTAAGTTTTGCTATGTTAATTAATGGTTAAATAGTCTCATAGGAGAGTAACCTGGATTTTAAGAAACTCCTTTGCAGAAGATTAATATGGCCAAAAGCTGCCCCTTTGCTTTGATAGCTGAAAGTTGATGGACCATGTAATTGTGATTCCATCCCCATTCAAAGTGGAAATAGATCCTTTCTGCATAAAGCACTCTACTGTCCCAGGCCCACTGATTTGTAGTCATAAAGAAGTAAAGTTGACTAAACCGATTTCTTTTTTTTGGTTTATATTTCAAGCCCATATCCTTGAAAACATTGCCATATTTTGAGATCATTAACTAGATGAATAGGAAGTTTAGAATATGAATCTTGTTTTATTTCCAGAAAGGCAACATTTTTAATGTAAAAATATTTCCTATAGCTTATATAGTTTATTTACCAGTTATTACCCATTAATGTTCAGCAAATTAGTACATAATCTTAGTACTGTCAATTCTGTTCTTAGGATATTTGTTTCTTTGTCAAAGGGATATTGTCCATGTCATGAAATATTGACAATATGATAAAAATGTTTGCTAAATTAGAAAAGGTGATGAATTTGGAGGAAGGGGAATTGGCTGCACCTGTTTCTGATATGTTCAGAAGCTTAATGAATATAATATTCTAATTTAAATAAACTGTTTGATTGAGAAAAGAGGTAGCCACATTATTGTTTAGAAATGATAGACTGTTATTGACTTTTGGTGTAGCTGGGAAGCTGGAGAAGAGGTAGTATGTAGTTTGCTTTTGATTTCAAAATGCCACCTCTTCTGATTCCAGATACAATTATCTTTTGGCACATTTCCTAATTAGCATTAGGTTCTTATAAATGAAATTTTATTTTACACACAGTTTTTAATGGAACTTACTTTTGAACATCACGAAAGTTATCTCTAGCCCTTTTCATGCCTTAGGTGCTGATAAGCATTCCGTTTATCATAAGCTATGTCATTAGTCTCAGCTTCCTAGTGGGAAGTAAAACTCATAGCAATTCTCTCAGTCATCCATGATATATAGCTAGGTGGGGCCAGATGATTTGAAAATTAACATATTGTTCATTTTAGGTGCTTTGTTTTCATTTTAAGTTGTTTCTGCATCTAGTTTGAAGCTGCTTGGCATAAAGATGAGCCTTTCTGATAGAAGTGTGTGAGAACATACATTGTAGAGTTGCTTGATGGCATGCACTTTATCCTCATTGCCACTTTATCTTAGTACCTCATTTTGTTCCTGGCATTACCTGTTTCCCATCCTCTTCCCCCTTTCCTACTAGGATTAAGGTCAGTAATTGATAGGAAGAGTATCCATACTTCTATTCTAATAAACTGTGTCTTTTGTAGTTTGATGGTATCCATGTGGTGAGTGGATCTCTTGATACATCAATCCGTGTTTGGGATGTGGAGACAGGGAATTGCATTCACACGTTAACAGGGCACCAGTCGTTAACAAGTGGAATGGAACTCAAAGACAATATTCTTGTCTCTGGGAATGCAGATTCTACAGTTAAAATCTGGGATATCAAAACAGGACAGTGTTTACAAACATTGCAAGGTAAGTCTTACTCACCTTTCGTTTTGTTCATTAAAAATGAGATCATTATTCAAGAGAAATATGGAGCCTTAGCATCACAAAAAGAGTCAACCTCATACAGAATGGTTACTTCAGAAAAGTTTATGAATATTTTCACCCTGACTTACAGAACTAGTCTACTCTTGAGGAAATGTTTTAAACTGTGTTTTTAATATGTAATATAAAATTGTTTAATCACTTCCTGCATGTTCAATTGACTCTACTTAACCTTTAAGAACAGTGAGAAGAAAGATCTTGGCTATATCATAGAAGCAACGTACTCATTATATTTTTTGATTGACCATTGCATTTTGAATTTGTAGTCCAATTTTAAAGGGCTACCTTATTGAAAAAAACAACAGCATCCTTGATAGAAAATTTATTTGGCCTCCACTTAGTCACGTGCTTAACTGGAATGGAGAGGAATAATAGTGCCTACTAAAGTAGAGAAAGAAACAAGTGAAAATCACTAATATTAGATGAGGTACAGCAGTGCCTCATGATTAACTTTTTCTATTTGTTATAGCCCTTAGAAAGTGTTTTTTTCAGTGGGGCCATCTGATAGGCAACATTGCAGCTTTTTACTCATTGGTTTTGTCTCTCCTCAGAGTTTTGGAATAGTGACTGTTCAGCTTTGAGTGGTTCATGGTGGTGGGGTAATAGATCTCTTAGTGCTCATTTGTCCATCAGCAGAAGGTATGAAGTTGCACTATCTACATCCTCACCAAGGAATGCTGTCGTTCACACAGCCAGAAAATAAGATGTTTGTCTGGTAGCTAACCAAGCTTCTTGGAAGACAGACCTCTTGAAAGTTAATGTTTCAGTTACAAATCACTACCAGATTTTCTTACATCCATGCTGATCCTAAAATACTGAGGACATGGGTTTCTAAATATGTATCATTTCAAATGTTGCATTTATTGTATGTTCTAAAGTAGAAGTCTACAAATTATAATGTAACTAACTCATAGCCATTATTTCTAACCAGTAATTAAATTCTTTTGGTTTTTGTCTAGGTCCCAACAAGCATCAGAGTGCTGTGACCTGTTTACAGTTCAACAAGAACTTTGTAATTACCAGCTCAGATGATGGAACTGTAAAACTATGGGACTTGAAAACGGGTGAATTTATTCGAAACCTAGTCACATTGGAGAGTGGGGGGAGTGGGGGAGTTGTGTGGCGGATCAGAGCCTCAAACACAAAGCTGGTGTGTGCAGTTGGGAGTCGGAATGGGACTGAAGAAACCAAGCTGCTGGTGCTGGACTTTGATGTGGACATGAAGTGAAGAGCAGAAAAGATGAATTTGTCCAATTGTGTAGACGATATACTCCCTGCCCTTCCCCCTGCAAAAAGAAAAAAAGAAAAGAAAAAGAAAAAAATCCCTTGTTCTCAGTGGTGCAGGATGTTGGCTTGGGGCAACAGATTGAAAAGACCTACAGACTAAGAAGGAAAAGAAGAAGAGATGACAAACCATAACTGACAAGAGAGGCGTCTGCTGTCTCATCACATAAAAGGCTTCACTTTTGACTGAGGGCAGCTTTGCAAAATGAGACTTTCTAAATCAAACCAGGTGCAATTATTTCTTTATTTTCTTCTCCAGTGGTCATTGGGCAGTGTTAATGCTGAAACATCATTACAGATTCTGCTAGCCTGTTCTTTTACCACTGACAGCTAGACACCTAGAAAGGAACTGCAATAATATCAAAACAAGTACTGGTTGACTTTCTAATTAGAGAGCATCTGCAACAAAAAGTCATTTTTCTGGAGTGGAAAAGCTTAAAAAAATTACTGTGAATTGTTTTTGTACAGTTATCATGAAAAGCTTTTTTTTTTTTTTTTTTGCCAACCATTGCCAATGTCAATCAATCACAGTATTAGCCTCTGTTAATCTATTTACTGTTGCTTCCATATACATTCTTCAATGCATATGTTGCTCAAAGGTGGCAAGTTGTCCTGGGTTCTGTGAGTCCTGAGATGGATTTAATTCTTGATGCTGGTGCTAGAAGTAGGTCTTCAAATATGGGATTGTTGTCCCAACCCTGTACTGTACTCCCAGTGGCCAAACTTATTTATGCTGCTAAATGAAAGAAAGAAAAAAGCAAATTATTTTTTTTTATTTTTTTTCTGCTGTGACGTTTTAGTCCCAGACTGAATTCCAAATTTGCTCTAGTTTGGTTATGGAAAAAAGACTTTTTGCCACTGAAACTTGAGCCATCTGTGCCTCTAAGAGGCTGAGAATGGAAGAGTTTCAGATAATAAAGAGTGAAGTTTGCCTGCAAGTAAAGAATTGAGAGTGTGTGCAAAGCTTATTTTCTTTTATCTGGGCAAAAATTAAAACACATTCCTTGGAACAGAGCTATTACTTGCCTGTTCTGTGGAGAAACTTTTCTTTTTGAGGGCTGTGGTGAATGGATGAACGTACATCGTAAAACTGACAAAATATTTTAAAAATATATAAAACACAAAATTAAAATAAAGTTGCTGGTCAGTCTTAGTGTTTTACAGTATTTGGGAAAACAACTGTTACAGTTTTATTGCTCTGAGTAACTGACAAAGCAGAAACTATTCAGTTTTTGTAGTAAAGGCGTCACATGCAAACAAACAAAATGAATGAAACAGTCAAATGGTTTGCCTCATTCTCCAAGAGCCACAACTCAAGCTGAACTGTGAAAGTGGTTTAACACTGTATCCTAGGCGATCTTTTTTCCTCCTTCTGTTTATTTTTTTGTTTGTTTTATTTATAGTCTGATTTAAAACAATCAGATTCAAGTTGGTTAATTTTAGTTATGTAACAACCTGACATGATGGAGGAAAACAACCTTTAAAGGGATTGTGTCTATGGTTTGATTCACTTAGAAATTTTATTTTCTTATAACTTAAGTGCAATAAAATGTGTTTTTTCATGTTAGTATGCCTGTTTCTTCCACTGAAGTAATAATCCTTCATTATAAGTATTTAGGATTTGTCTATAATATTTAAATAAGCAAAATCTTGGTTTCTTTGCATCCTGCTGTGTGACATAGAAATCAATACTTCAAGCCTGTTTTATACCGCGAAAGTAAGGATAATGTGCTGCAACTGCAAATTTTATTTCTCTCCTAGACTATGAAGGAGGACACTCCACTGTGCTCATCTCTGTAGATTGCATTGGGGTGTATAAATATGAAATCTGGTTCCCTCAAAGAATCCACAAAACTTTTGTGATAATTACAACTAGAAGCCTTATAAATAACAAATTCATTTTGAAATTTTGACCACATATTAAGTGCTTACCCTCGATACTTTCTGTTCATTCTCTCTTAAGCTCCCACTATCCCTGAGAAGTAGGCACTATTATCTCCCATCTTAAAGACGAGCAAAAATCTGCAGCTGAGACTGGTTAGGCAATTTGTCAAATCATAGAACTAGCGGAATGCCAGAACTCAAACCCATATTTCCAAAGACTAAATACATGCTGCTCTTTAAGAAAGTTTGACAGACTAAAGCAAGGTTTGAGAGGGAAATAAGCCATTTTTCTGGTACTTTCTGACTGTTCTGTAGCCGTTTTGTTCAACAAATCTAAATTTTATAAAATCTAAATTTTATGATGTAAGGGGAAAAAATAAAGTTGTTTTTGAAACTAGTTCTAAATATATTTAGTATCTCAAATAGCAGGAGATATATATATATATATATATATATACACACACATATATATATACACACATCCAGTAATCTCAACTAACCAGGCCGTAGATGAAAATATAAAAGCTACTGAAAATGGACTCCCCTTTTTCTCATAGTCATAAAGTATGTGTTCTTTACTCATAGGGCAAATCCTGGGCCTCATTCTCCCAAAGCTACTAAATCAGAACACCTGGGAGTGTGACCCAAGAACCTGCATTTAAACTAGCTCACCAGGTGAGTTGTGGATACTAAAGTTTCAGAACCATTGCTTTAGATACCATTCCTGTACATTTGGTTATTTGGTTTATTAGTCCACAGCAAATTACAGACACAAAAATAGCAAGGAAAAGTGACAGGGTAAAGGAAAAAAACAAAAAACTACCTGGTTGAATGCAAGGCAAAAATCCTACTAGGCCGTGAAGTGCAGGGTCTTTAGAGTAAACCACGTTACTGCCCAAACCGTGACTACTGTTCACATTGATGACTGTGAATTGTCAAGAAAAAGTTGTAATTCTATTTGATAGTTCTTGAAACTGCTTGATTTTTCATAAGAGCATATAAATGAGGCTTAACTAGAATATAATTGAAGAGAAACATCCATTTTTAGAACTTTAGAGAATAGAATGAGTTCACAGGCTTTGCAGACAAATAGCCCTGAATTCATCTCAGTTCTAGTATGGTCTAGTTACTGGGACCTTTATCATGTTTCTTGACCTCGTGTTTCCTCATTTAAGATGTAGAGGATACCCATCTCCTAAGGTTATTATAAAGATTAGGTGAAACGTAAAGCACATTGCATACCGATGGCATTTAGAGCTCAGTAAATGGTAGCTTCTATTAAAAATTTTAAGTAAATAGACCCAGATAACTTTCTATATTAGAGAATTGAATGTATTTGTTACTCAGATTATGTAATAAAAATAGCATACACATACACACGTGTGCACACACACACACAGCAGTCCATTCTTTTACGTGGAGCCATCTAGATTCTCATTTGAGTTTTACAGAAACCTTGTGAGACAGACTGATATTGAGCACCTAACAGTGGTTTTGTATATACAGTCATCCTTCAGTATTTGGGCGGGATTGGTTTTAGGATCTCCCCAACCTCACCCCCATGGATATCAAAATTCATGGATGCTCAAGTCACTGATATAAAATGGCATAGTATTTGCATGTAACATATACAAGCCCTCCCGTATGCTTTAAATCATACCTAGATTACTTATAATACCTAAGACAATGTAAATGCTATGTAAATAGTTATTATACTGTATTGTTTAGGGAATCATGACAAGGGAAAAAGTCTGTACATGTTCGATACAGACATAGCCACCCTTTTCAAATATTTTTGATTCTCGTTTGGTTAGATCTGTGGATGCAGAACCCACAAATAATGGAGGGATGACTGTGTTTAGGTGTTCATTAAACATCATTTTATGAATAAATGAATAATCTTTATTACAATAAATCTTTGCTTGAAGGGAAAATGTTAGCATCCTTCTACAGGAATCAAAGTATAATTGTTGTAAAAAGGTCACTAAGAAAACTCCATTTTGTGGCCTTTTTAATGAAAAACTTTACCACCTCATGTAACTGTACATTTTAAAATCTTCATAACAGATATAGGCACACTTCATATTTAGATGTTACAAGTTCCCAAATATCAAACATTGCCTGAAACTAAGGCTGAAATTAGGACACAAAAGTAACCCATAAAAGCCAGTAGCAGGTACTTAGTATACTTGTTGAACTGAGCAGAGTTGATTATCTCATTATTTTATATTAGAATTGTTTATAATTTTGACACTTTGAAACCCCCTTATTGAGATTCAATTACCACAGCTATTTCATTAGGTTGCAAAAGCTAATGCCTACCAAATGGTAAGTAAATGTTTCAACCAGCCTTGTTTCATTTCAGAAAAGTAATTGACATTTAGTTATTTGTATTAACTGCTTTAAGCCATTTTCTCTACCAGCTTTGAGCTAGTCTGTTGTAAACTCTTCCATTTCCCTGAATTGATTAGAGGCTACAAAAGACCTCTTTGCTTTTCTCTTCCCTAAAGTGAAATGGGGATCAAGGGCAGCTTCCCCAGACCCAGCTGAGCCCTGGTTTTCTGTACACTTCTCCCTGAGATACACGTTGCACACTGTGAAACAAAGGTACGGAGGTGAAGGAGAGAAGACATCTCAGAGGCGCCTACTCACCACTGTCCTTGCCCCTGTAACTCCCTCTATTCCATGTTGAAACCAGAAACATGAAGCTCCGTTGCTTTGCATAGCAGAAATAGATTCACATTACATTTTTTTCTGATTGGTTCCCTCCAGGAGAAGGAAAGTTTTTGAAATATTTCTCCCCAATGAATACCGCCCTCAGACACAAATTTGTTTTCATTCTTTTAGTCATCTCCGGCCCCAATAAAAGTCAGAATTGTAACCTATACTCCTTCAGGTTCATCAGCCAATAAAGGATCCTGCCTTGTCCCTTATAGCAATTGGAAGAGAACCTCCTATTTTGCAGTGCCATTTGTAATTCTAATAGTAGCAGTGGCTTAGGTTTGCTGATGAATGAATTTGAATAAATGCTTCTGACACAGATTGTTTTAATGTTCTCTGCCTTACTGCATTTTCAAGATGGCTTTTATGTGTGTTTGTGTATGTGTTTACACATAGTTACACATACATACACAAGAATATTTTGGAAACTGAGAATAAGCCTCTTGTTCTTATTGAGTCATACCATCATTCCCTTAGGCCTCTTTTTTCATCTATCAAAAATAAGGAATGGGTCATAAAGGGAAGGGGTTGGTGGCCAAGAGGAGACTTCCTAATATTCCTCTCCATGATAGATTAGTGGTCTCTATGTCTGAAGAGAATGTGTGTGCATAATGTTCCTGGAGCCCTGCATCAAGCAACCATATGGTAATTTGAAAAGTTGATGCATAATTTTTGATTTGGGCATTTTCTGCTGCCCAGGAGATGGATATGAAGTTAGATCCAAAGTAGCTGCACCCAGCTCCTTTTTGGGGGAGTGCCTAGTCATTGCTTTGAATTGCAGACAACATAGCAAGATCTGTCATTGTTGACTAACCAACATGTCCTATCCATTCAGTTAATACTAGTGATGCCCAAATGAGTGAGGTTCTTGCCAACTTTGTACCCTGCCACCTTCTCTTTCTAGGTTGAATGAGACAAAAAATTTCAAGGGTTCTTCAGGGAAAGGAAAAGCATCAGAAGCTGAAAGGATTCAGAATGCACCTTTCACCAGAGCGTGAAGTATAAACAAATTCTAGATCCAGTTCCTAGGAAGACTCATTGCTGAGACAAAAAGCCTGGCAACTTCCCAATTTGCAATTGGGTATAAAAATAGCAGAGTTTCTATTTCAGATGATCTGTTTCTCCCCAGGATTCTTAAGGACAAGGAGCCACTGAATGGACATTTTGATGTTTCATTCTTTCCTTTGGAATATCTGTGATGGCAAAACCTGTGAAGGCTGTTTGGATTCTGTTTTGCTTCAGCGGCCGTGCTCTGCAAGTAAAATTATTTTGAAGCCACTTGCAAATCAAAGATTCAAATGTAATAGACCACAAAAGTATATTGCCAATTTACCCTTTTCCAGGAGGTTAATCAATTATAAAAGAGACATTAAACCCTGCTACTCACCTAGAGGGGAAGGTTATTTGCAGGGCTTTTTAAACTTAGTTACAGCCACTAAGGATTCATCAGACCCTTACTCCTTACTAAATGTAGTTGGAAAAACTAAGTCTTTCAATTTGAGTATGCTCTCCACTCCTTTAAAGGGAGTTTGAATAGCTTAAATACATCCAGCAAGAACACAGTATGGTATAAAGAGTAAAACTGCATACATCTCTGGTCAGGGTTGGATCTGGGTTTCGGGAGCCTAAAGCTTACAAACTTAAGGACTCTCTTAAAAAAAAATACAATTAGATCCAAAAATAAACATTTAGAATGAGAAAGATGATAAATTACTGAAGCCTAGAAGCCTAGGAAATGCAGATCCTTCTGAGATTTTTTTTTTTTTTTTTTTTTTTTTTTTGAGACAGAGTCTCGCTCTGTGGCCCAGGCTGGAGTGTAGTGATGCAATCTTGAATCTCGGCTAACTGCAACCTCCACCTCCTGGGTTCAAGCAATTCTCCTGCATCAGCCTCCCGAGTAGCTGGAATTACAGGCGTGTACCACTAAGTCCGGCTAATTTTTTGTATTTTAGTAGAGACAAGGCTTCACTATGTTGCCCCCATGGTGATCTCAAAGTGAGCTCAGGCTCAGGTAATCCACCCGCCTTGGTCTTCCAAAGTGTTAGGATTACAGGCGTGAGCCACCAAATAAGATCTCTTTAGGCAATTATCAGAAATGCTTCAGATTGCAGCCTGGCTTCTCTTGCCCACCTGAAATACTACAACTCCCAGCAACCCCTAGCTCTCCCAGGGATCTGTTAAATGAGGGCCTCAAGATTAGCTTCATCAGTTTCAACATGAATCCATGTCTGCCTGTCTCAACTTCTGTGTTTTACCCCATCTATAAATGAGGAAACATTATGAGGACTACGTAAGACCATGTATGGCATAGTGCCTGGCACATAGTATTTGTTAAAGAGTTGTTTGTTGTTATTACCTGTAATAAACTATCGTAGCTAACTGCCATTGTGCACTTAACACTTAGCATGGCTCTAAATATTTTTAAATTATTAATATTCTCAACTATCCCATGGCTTACTATTATTATTAATACAAAGTCTCATTTTACAGATAAGAAAACTGAGACACAAAGATACCAAGTAACTTGCTCAAGGACACAAGAGGAAAAAAAGGGGGGCTGGCATGTGCAGTGGCTCACACCTGTAATCCCAGCACTTTGGGAAGCCAAGGCAGGAGGACCATCCAGGAGTTCAAGACCAGCCTGAGCAATATGGTGAAACCCCATCTCTACAAAAAATAGAAAAATTAGCCTGGTATGGTGGCACGCATCTGTAGTCCCAGCCACTTGGGAGGCTGAGGTGGGAGAATATCTTGAGCATGGGAGGTTGAGGCTGCAGTGAGCTGTCGTTGTGCCACTGCACTACAGCCTGGGTGACAGGGCAAGACCGTGTGTCAACAAAACAAAACGAAACTTGGAGAAACTGGGATTTAAACCCGGGCATTGAGGTTCCAGAACCCAACCTCTTAACCACTATGTTATATATTGATTCACAACTGCCTTGAAAATACAGGAACACGTAGTATCTCATAGGTCATGCCAGAAAATGATGTAGTCCTCAGCCTTGACCTGTCAAACTAGAAGCTGACATAAAGCTATTCAAGCAAGTGCCTGGTTTTCAACAGGGGAGGCCTGAAGAAAAAATGTGTAGTAGATTCCTGGTATGGTTTGGCTGTGTGAATCCCCTCCTGCTTTTTTTCAACTGCAGAAACAAAAGAGAGTGAGTTGCCTAAGAAGAAAGAACCTACTCTAAGCCATCTCCTTAGTAATGAAATTTTAGGAAAAGTAGGTAAAATTGCATATTATTAAAAGAAAGACTACTACCAGATAATTCAGGAGGAAAGAAATGCTGTTTCTACAGAAGATGGATACTTTCGTTACATAAAAAACGTTAAAAATAAATAAATTCACCATTGATGTACTTGTGTTCTAAAGACAACTAGGCAAGTGAAGGAGCAAGCTTGTATGCTGTATTGTCAGGAAAGTCAGGACCATGTAGAACTTACACTGATACCTAGCAAATTCTCAATAAATGTTGCAGCTATTATTATTATTTTATTATGAATCAGGAATGAGGAAGACAGTTGAGTTCAAATTCCATCTCAGCCGCTCATGCAACTCCGAAAGGATTTTAAAATCTTTCTGAACCTCTTTCATCATCTGTAAAAAAGAAACTGTTGTGAATGTTACATGAAATAACATAAAGCATCTGGTACAGTACTGACCTAATTATGTGTTTAATGAATACTAGCCATCTTTGTTATTATTACTACCACTAACAAGATATCGGTAACTATGTTTCAGGTTACTATTTCAAAGTTTATCTGGAAGAGGAAATCTGTAAAATTTCCAGGACGCAATGCTTGAACTGCCTCCCAAAATGTGCCGGGAACCTAAGACAGTAGTCTCCCCTGTTAGAAGGCAATATGCAATCCCAGCTGGGTGCAGTGGCTCATGCCTGTAATCCAGCACTTTGGGAGGCCAAGGCAGGTAGAACACCTGAGGTCAGGAGTTCAAGACCAGCCTGGCCAATGTGGTGAAACCCCATTAATACTAAAAATACAAAAATTAGCAGGGCATGGTGGTAGGTGCCTGTAATCCCAGCTACTCGGGAGGCTGAGCCAGGAGAATCGCTTGACCTCGGGAGGTGGAGGTTGCAGTGAGCCGAGATCACATCACTGCCTGGACAACAAGAGAGAAACTCTGTCTCAAAAAAAAAAAAAATGCAATCCAGTCTAAAATGACAAATTATTTCTTTCTCTCCAAAGAACCTATTTCAATTGAGAAATCTAAAAATCAGTACCCCAGAAAGGAAGCAGGAGAAGAGAATCGAGTAGACAAAAGATTTCATCAACTTTGGATGTAGGAAGACAGATGTAGGAGTGGATTACTCTAGTTGAGTAGAGTATAAAAGCTACAATCTAATGTGCCCAGAAAGGGGGATACAAATGAGAAGCAAGCTAATTCCTTTTCTGTGAAAGGCAAAGGTAAGACAGGAGCTGAAAACTGGGGGACTAGCTGAAAAGGAGAACACATGGAATGATTGGAGCCCTACATCCTTTTCTCAGCCAGGGGACCACCTCTGTGTTACCCCCTATCCCACTACCCACTTCACCCCACCTTGCACTGAGCACACAGGCACAGAAGAGGCTCAGAAACAAAAATGGAGATTACATTCTCCCTAACCCTCTCCCAGAATGCCAACAGTCTGAAATATACCAGAGGATTCTTTCCCAGAGAAGTGAACAACCTGAGAGAAAAAGTCTCTAGATACTGGCATTTTATTGGAGGACTCCTTCAGTGAAACTGCTGGCTCCCTACCCAATCAGAGGAGAAATTTCTCATTCTAAGAGCCCCAACCATACAGAGCTTCCTATTCACTTTTTAGCATCTGTCTCTAAAATATGAACAGATAGTCAAGAATCAAAGAACGTTTGAGAAAAGACTCTGATTTAAAAGACTAAGTAAGCCAAAAACTCATGAAATAAACTTTGAGAAAGAAAGTTTTATACCCTCAAAAAGATACTGCATCTTATAATATGGGAACAGAATACATTTTTTTTTTTTAAGACACAGTCTCACTCTCTCCCCCAGGCTGGAGTGCAGTGGCAAAATCTCAGCTCACTGCAGCCTCGACCTCCCCAGGCTCAGGTGTTCTTCCCACCTCAGCCTCCTGAGTAACTAGGACTACTCATGCCACCACACCTGGCTAATTTTTAATTTTTTTCTAGAGACAGGGTTTCACCATGTTGCCCAGGCTGGTCTCAAACTTGGCTCAAATGATCCATCCACCTTGGCCTCCCAAAGTGCTGGGATTATGGGTGTGAACCACTTTGCCCTGCCTAGGATACAATTTTTAAAAGAGCTCATGAAAACTAAAATATAATGGAAATTTCATAAGAAAACCTTAAACTGAAAATAAAAATTGAGGAAATCAAACAAAAGTTAAAGGAAGAGATGGAAATTAGTAGAAAAAATATTAAAAACTTAGAGGATCAGTCTGGGACATCTGACATTCAAATAACAGGGTGTCCAAAACAGAAAATAGAAAACAAAGAATAGAATGTTTTTAACTGCAAGAAAAATGAACAGAATTGGATGACAGAAAACCCCTAGATGACAAGGACCCACTGGGTGCCCTTTGAATAAATGAATGAAAAAAAACTGCCCATCCATGTTCATCATTATGAAATTTTGAAGCACCTAGGCTAAAAAGACCTTCCTAAAAACTTGTGGAGAGAAAAGTCGGGGTTAAATAAAATAAGAATTGGAATTTTGGACTTCTCAATAGCAACATTGGATGCTATAATAGAAGACAAAGTCTTCGAAATTGTACAGGCAAAGTATTTTCAATTTAGAATTTACACCAGCCAAATAATCAAGTGGGAGGGAGAATAAAGACATTTTCAGCATGGAAGGACACAAAGCACTCCCTCTCAGAAACCTTTTCTTTCTGAAATGAATATGTGGTCCAACAAACCACAATCAAGAAAAACGTGGCAGAAAATAGGGATTTTAACACAGGAGATGGGTGAAGGGAGTTCTAGGATGGTAGGTGGGCATTTGAATTCAAGAACTAGCAGTTGAGGTGTAAGCAGGGAAAGTAATGGAAGAAACATCCCAAGCGTACAAAAGGAAATGATAATCATCTTATTATCATGCCAGAGCTTTTAGAGAAAAAAAGTCTCAGCGTTCCGAACAGCTGATGGTACACTTAGAAATTTTTTACGGTTCAACATATAAAAAGCTATGCAACAGATAAAAATAAGGCAATTATTAATTTTTAAAAGTATGTTTAAAAACATAGTATACTAGTTAGCCCTAGAAACTATACTAAACTATATTTATGTAGCCATAAAAATGTAAATACTATGATTATGATTGCTAAAACATCAGTGGGGGGGAGAGGATAGTAGAGGGAGAGTTAAATCCTCATCTACCATAATTAGAAGTTATTAATGTCTAAAATGAAAAAATAAGGTGCACATATTATATAAAGATGGGACATATATATATGTATATATCAGAAGAGTTAGCTAAAAGTTAAAAATATTTGCCTCTATGGTTGGGGGGAAAGTGGAGGGTTATAGCATTTTTATATACTTTGAGTATTTGCATTACTTTGCTAGAAATATATTTTTTAAAGCAAGTTCCCCCAACACCCTCTGCAAAAAAAAGTCAGTATGGCAGATTTCAGAAATAGTGACCTTTCTTTACCCATGCCAGTAGAATCCATCAACAAGAATGATCTATCTAGTCAGTCTCATGTCACAAAGAGGGCCTTAGGGGTGCTCTTCCTGGAGGAGTTGTATAGCTAGATAGAGGCTAGGATGGAATCCATGTGTGGGCAAATTACCTCAGTTCTCTGGTCTCTTGTTTCATCTGTAAAACAGGCACAATAATAGTCCTAACCTCATCAGGCTGCTGAAGACTGAACAGATGATGTAGGTAATGTGCTTAGCATAGTCTCTGGCTCATGAGTTCTTAATAAAAAGTACTTGATAATATCACTGTTAGCAGCATTCATCAGTCTCAAGGTGGAAACCATCATATATTAAGATCTGGAACTAGCAGAATCCAGAGCTTTTGACTTCAGGTTCTGATTTGAGCATGTGCAGATGGATAAACTGAGCTGTAACCCCATGCATCTTATATCAAGAGGACCAGCCACTTGGGGATCCTCAAGGATATAAGTGCCCTCTCCCCTCTCCAACCTGTTTTCCCATCACCTCCTCCTAACTTTCATTGGGGTTTATTTCCAGATTCTCCCACCAGGTATCTTAAGTGTTTTCTCCACATGGAAATGCTTTTCAGTAAAATGAAAATGACTGAACTTTTTATAAAGTGAAGTTCAGAGTATCCCTTCTGGGACTCTATTTTTTCCCTTGAAATTCTAGATCAAAATTTCAAAAAGGCCAGAGTGGGGTCCATAGAAGAGCAGAAGCAATGAGTTGGAAGGACTTCTGTGCACCTCTATTAGTCCCACTGCATGGAATCCTTAGGGTGAGTTCATAATTCCCATGATGACCAAAGGTCTTTCATACCTGGAAGTGTGCAGTGTGAATTGGTCTGGGTGTACATTGGTCCGCAGCCCAGCTGTGACAGGGTGTGCCATCACTGTGAGTTACTCCTGACTTTCCAAATCTGCCCAAGACAGTCAGAGACATTGCCCATGAAATCATCTGCCCTGGCTGCTCTCTCTAAAGGCCTAGAGCCAGTGAGAGCCTCAGAGGCCCACCCACAGGCATGGCAGTCAGCCTGGGGGGCTCCCTGTGTCAGCTCAGCTCTCCAGGCTAAGTCCTAAGGTCTAAATGACAGACTGCTGCCACCTGATCCTTCTGAACACATCCTGTTTTGCCAGAAGGCCCCCAAACCACAGACATTCCATGTCTCTGCACTTGGTGGTTTGTGGTGTTTGAATCCCATAGCCACGGGCTATTCATTTGTATATGTTTCACTGTGGCTTTCCGCTTGGTGACCTAGACTCTTACCCAGCAAGATTCCTTAAGGTTTCAAAGCAGCTAGAGAGACCACTAGCAAGTTTCTCTTTGTTAAGGGCTTTTTAACCATTCCTTCTTAACTGAAGTTGCCTGTTGGTTGAAGTGGGCAGCTTCTTAATTTTCTGAATTCGTCAGTGATGATTGCTCAGATGTCTCTGCAAATATTTTTAGGTATGTGTGAATAAATCAGGCCTAGTATCACTACCCTCAGTGAATTTTTTTTTTAAATTAAAGCAGCCCTTAGAGGCTTAAGGTCTAATTTAATTGAATAACTAGGTGTCATAATGAGGGACTCCAATGAAAGAATGAAAGAATCTCTGAAGTGTTGATTGGCTGTTTCTGGAACTTGGCCCAAGTTCCTACTACAGATGTACCATGTCCACTTTTCTCAGAATTCAAGTTTCCTGGTTGGTGAGTACAATTCTTTAAAATTCATGGGAGAGGGATCTCGGTACTATATTCCTCAAAGCCTCCCCACCCCAGACTAATACACACACACACACATGTTCTCCACCTGCAGGACCTGAGTCTACACAACCCCCCAGTGTTTCTGTTTATTTCCGCTCAGCTAAGGAGTCATTGCAATGGGGAAAATAAATTAGAACCAAATTAGACTGAGATTCAGAGTCCAGGAAGCATGGCTGCCTATGAAACATTACTGGTTGTTTTATGTATTCACTGCCTGGGGGGTGAGGTTGGGGGAAAGCCAGATATGTGGCTAATCACTGCACAGAATGGAAATCTGGAAAGAGGTCCAAATCTGATAACATATATAGTATCTTCCCTCCAGTTGTGTCCACCTCGAAGAAAAAAAAATTACAGAATATTCTCAATCTGTTAAAAATATCTTACTTCACTCTTTTCCCTTGCTTACCCTGGAGAAATCCAAATTAGAAAACTTCCTATTTAAGATAATCAACAGAGGAGAACAACAGATCAACTTGGGCTAATATCAGTAGCAGGGAAGACCAATTAACAAATTCATGAATTGTGCTGTTTACACTTCTATTCCTAAGGTTAATTATGCGATCAAGTAATAGCTTTTGCCTTGATTAGAGGGCCCTTAGGAAATAAAAGTGTGTTTCCTCTTTACAAGTATGTTTGCATTTCAGTCCTGCAATGATAGCACAGGAACTGGGCTCAGCAAACATCGCCTGTGCACACAGCTGTAGTCAAAGCAGAAGGTCTTAATTTAAATAGCCTCAAGACTCAACGTGTAAACAGAAGCATCATCCATAAAAGTGCTAACAGTCACGTATACATTTTTCTCTCTCTCTGCTTTGGACTACTTATAGTGTCAATTCTTTGCAGAAGTTTATTTTCCCATTATTCCCTATTGTAAAGAATCAGTAAAATTAGCTCCTGGGGCTATAGGTATAGAAGAAAGAAACATCGCCCACATTTCAGGGAGCACTCTCCGCAAGGCTGTTCCAGCTTCCTGTTAATAATGGCAGCTCACGTTTTTGAGGTGCTATCCCATGGCAAGGGACCTCACATGTATAAATTCTGTAATCCTCACAGTAAGCCTATGAGGGGAATATTGTTATCATCCTCTCCTTTTCAGGCGAGAAAACAGAGGCACAGAAAGGTTATGTAAATCACCCAAGTCCATAGCAGCTAGCTAAGCCAGGGTTTGAACCCAGACATTCTGGCTCCAGTGTGGACACATTTAACCACCATGTGCTGTTGCTCCTCTCTTTAGGGCCCTGACTTAAATGTGCAGTGTTAGAAAAAAGTGAATTATTTCACCCAAATGAAGAAGCAACACATTGTGCCATTTGAAATTCTCAAGTGAAGTGCAAAAGTTTCCTTGTCCGTTTACAATCCACTTCTGAGTAATCTGACCCAACGTCATCAGAGAGAAAATGGCTTCCTTGGGGAGTGCTGAAAGCATTAGAGAGATGTGACCAGAGATCTCCGTCACACTGATTCCTCCCTTACCTTGCCAGGAGCACTGGGCCAGCCTACATTGGCTACTCAGCGCTTGTCGAGGTTGGGTTCTCCTATGGCAACACAGTGATGCCCAGCTGGACACAAACCTTGATTGACAATGGTGGTAAATTAAGAGATGGCTTATTGGCTTTAACAAGGACTACCCACAGAATATTCTGGATTAAGAGCAATGAACCAATTCATTTCATGTCTTCCTTTTCACAAGAGCACCTACTGAAAAATGCAGGAGCAATGTGCAGGGGTTGTATTCTCAGGCTTTGGAATCAAATGGAACGGAATCAATTTCAGACTCTGCCGTTTACAGCTCGTTGACCTCAGGTACATTACTTCCTGTTTTTGCACATCGGTGGCCTCATCTGTAAGAGTACTACCTCAGACGCCATAATGAAGAAGAACTCAGACTATCCAGGTACAGAGCTTCGTTCTTACTACTCAGAGTGTCCTGCGGCAGCAGCACCCTCACCAGAGAGCTGCTTGGAAATGCAGGCTCTTGGGTCCTGTTCCAGACCTGCTGAACCAGAATCTGTACATTCACCCTCCGGTGCTGATCTGAATGGTCCTTCATCTCAAATACTGAAATTTGAGAAGTCATGGCAAGTGAAGCACATAATGGCCATTAATTGTAATGATATATATTGAAATTATCTGCCATCAAAGTAAGCTCAGCATCACCATTCCAGGAGTGAAGTGTTAAAGGAAAGAGACCTTGGAAATGAGAGGCAAGGTCCAGGTTGGAAACCCCCTCCCTGCTTCTCCAGCTCCTCAGTTTCTAAATTCTCAGAGATAAAGGGAAAACACCTGCAGAAAGTAACTAAGCCTTTTTGGAGAAACTCTTGGGAAGACCAAAGTCAGGGAAACAAACAGCTATACAATTCATGGTTTTTGCATCAGGCAATGATAGAAACCAGCAATTCATGCCTTGTACCTGAACTAGGAAAGCCTTTTCTTTTCTTTTTTTAAAGCACAACCCAAGTCTCCTGCCAGATCATGGCTTTTAATTTAAGTGTACAGTTACTGCTCAAAAGTGATTCACAAGCCTTTAAAGAGCCACTCTCCTTTAGAAGTCTGTTTAGAATGCAGAGGGTTTGAAGATTAGTGTTGGGAGTGAGAGCATTTGACTGCCTAAGTGTTCAATCTCCCAGGTACTTAGATATTTCTCAGCAAGAACTGATGTTCATTAAACTGTAAGCAAATTAAGAGTTCAAGCCAAAGAAATAAAGGAAGACATAATTAGTGTACGGGAGTCATCCACCATCGTAAGCCTTCTCTTAGGTGAGAAGTCTTCAGAATTAGTTCCCTGCACAAAAGAAAATTATACAGCTGCTTTATGCAGGCTGCCGATGCTATGTTTTATTGCACGCAATTTACAATGAAATGAAGCAGAAGTCTGCAAGACTGCATTAAAGCTTTAATTTTCCTTTTGGGTTTTACCTCCATTTTATCTTTAGAAGAACCCAGAATGGTTTGATAAATAGAGTATTTTGCCAGTCAATAAATTAAAAAGCTATTTTTACCAAGTGGACGCTGAATTGCTACTGCACATGACAGAAGCTTCCTGGGATTTCAGAGGGTGGGAGGGCACACCATCCTTCAGCAGAATTGATTTGTGGAAAAAATATTACTCCCTGTTCCCCAAATCCAACTACTCTGAAGAAATGTGGTTCTCAGTGACTTCTGACACACTCTGGTGGCTGTCTTATTACAGGGTCTGGGTTTCAGGCAAAACTTTTGGGAATCAGATAAAGGAACTGGACTCCCATAAGACAATAAATCTCATCAGACATATTGTAGACTGACCCTCCAGCCCCAACAGGAGCTTTGTAAGGAATGAAATACCAATGCTCCCCCATCCCACCCTGTAAACGATTATTTTCAACTGAGCTAGAAAACCTGAGAGAGCTGGTTTGAGTCTGTGGAACTGTCACGTGCCACATTCTGTGCCACCTCCAACTATCCATCCCCAGGCTTTGCCAGTTAAAAGGCAGGATGGCTGGCGGCGGTGGCTCACACCTGTTATCTCAGCACCTTGGGAGGCTGAGGCAGGTGGATAACTTAAGTCCAGGAGTTCGAGACCAGCCTGGGCAACAAGATGAAACCCTGTCTGTACAAAAAATACAAAAAATTAGCCGGGCGTGGTGGCTTGCACCTGTAGTCCCAGCTACTCAAGGGGCCGAGATGGGAGGATCACTGAGCCCAGGAAGTGGAGGTTGCAGTGAGTCGTGATTGCCCCACTGCATTCCAGCCTGGGTGATAGAACGAGACCCTGTCTCAAAAAAATAAACAAAAAGAAAGGTGGGAGTGAACTTGGAAAGAGGTTGGGAAAGCCCTTCCTTGAATCTGGATCTGGAAGGTGGTTGTAGAGCTCCGCCTGGCATTTGCCCTAGGACCCCACTTCTCTCACTCTGCAGAGCAGGGGAAGGCCCTAGGGTCTGGTCTGAAGGGGGAGGTTTTGGAAGCCATCATTGGCTGAACAGACCCCTGAGAGAGTAGCTGCAGTATGGAGGCTCCTGGAGGGTCCAAGAGAGGAACCTGCAAGCTGGCTGGGAGTTGGGGCTCGGCAGGCTGACCACATTTAGGTTGCCCTCGACCTGCAGCCTTGAGGTCCAACTTTATGGGAAAGGTGCTAGGCAGCTGACCTGGCTGGAAACACCGTTTTGAAACTAAAATGGTGTTCCATTTGCACCATCAGTAGTAATAATGGCCACCTCTCAGCAAGCCAGTTTTTGATACTACAGCAAGCCTGAGAAATGGGTGAGTTTTATCTCTAATTTACCAATGAGCAAAAGAGGCTGAATGTGTGTCTGTCATTTGACTCGTCAAACAGATGGTGGTGGAGATTGGAGATTGGCCTCTACCCAGGAAACTAAAGCTGGCCCTCCTCTTTGTCCAGTTCCAGGAAGTTCTGGAAGTTGGGGAATATGTAAGATACAAGAAGAAACTTGTGACATGATTTCTGAGGAAGGGAGTAGAATGTTCAGAGAAATGGGAGGAAATAGGGATTCAGGAAAGCAGGGGAAATTTTTAAAAGAAGGATCCCAAGAAGGAGGGTTAGGAATGGAAGGAAGCTCACGGTCATCTCGAGTTCTGGGCAGTGAGGAGTGAGGCCCTCTGTGTGCACTCCCACCTTATTTGAGTCAAGAACCTCAAAAACATTCCTGGAGCCTCATGTGTGGGAACTGTAGCCGAGAAGGAATCTGAAAGGACATAGCACAAACCACTCCAGAGTCACCTGCAGATGTGGAAATTCTTCCATCACATAACATGGTGCAGTGAGGTGACCACTGGCCTGGTGACAAAACTCCAGCTGCAGCCTGAGACCCACCCAATTCCCCTGCCCGGAGGATAGGTGGGGATGCTCCCAGGGGCCTCTCTCCCAAAGAAGGAGGGAGCAGTCCCGCTGCCAGGCTCGGTCTACATGACTCCATGTTCCAAGGGGGATCTGGTGGTGCCCCCTGGTCTTTGGAATAGGGAGGAGATGGGGTACCCAAGTGGGAAGATGTGATGTAGGGCCCGGTCACACAACGTAGTTCTGTTGATTTTGCAACTATCATCCACCCAGTGGCCTTCTTTCTAAAAGCACCAGTAGGTGTATTTTGTTTGTTCCTTTGTTTTGTAAGACATACATTTTAGTTAAAACTTAATTTTCTCACTCTCTAAGACACCTGGCACCAAGACTTTGGAATTACTTGTTGAAAAATTGATTGGGGGGCAGGGAACAGAGTAAAATAGAGAAAGAGAGAAAACTAAAAGAAAAATCATTTCTCCCAGCACTACAAATGAATCACTAAAAAAACCCCCTAACTCCCAAAGCAGCAGTATGTCTACTGTTTTGCCTGGGAACAGAATCACCTGGCACGCACGAGCTGTTTCCTGAGCTTGGTCTGTCAATGCATGGCCTCATCATTAATTAACATTTCCGAAAGGCCCTTCTTGCACGGCAGATGAGGGAGCTCAATTTGCTGTCCTGAGGACGGGCAGGGAGCTGACTCATAACATTTTGTAAAAGAAACTGGTCTTGCTGCCCTGGTGCAGGGACAGAGGCTATGGGAGTAAATGAAGCAGAATCAGAAGAATCAAGAGAAGCTGCAAACAGAGGCAAGGCCCTGCCAGGCCCGGACCCCTCCCTGTGGACCACGAGGAGGTGCTGAGGGGGAGCTGCAACCCAAGGGTTCCTCAAGAGGACTGTCAGGCTCTGTGGCAATGGAAACAGGCCAAGAGGGGCCTTGCATACAGAGACACCAAACGTTCTCAGATTTCCAGGACTGACCTGACTGCCTTCTATTCTTTTCAAGAAAAATGTATTGGCATTTCTGCTCTAACATCACATATACATTGCTAAAAACTCTGAGTTCTACAAAATGGCATGCTAAAAAATAATAGGGCTTATGGGAAAAATAGAGTTGGGGCAGTCCATAAAAACCAATGGAACTTGGTAACCAAAGCACTCGCAAACAACAATCACAACCTTAATAAAATATGAGCCTGGTTACATTTCTCCTGACATTTCCACTGGGCATCATCAGCAGTGAATTCCTGGCAGCCTTAAAGCCTCTTGCTTCTTCCTGAACATAGGGTCTGGAGGGCATTCACTTCCACGAGAGAGAAGTTTCTTCAAAGTACAAAGTCTCAAAGTCTCATTCAGGGTGTAGGCTTCCTCATTAACGTTTTTAACTTTGGGGGATATATAATCAAGCTCCTGGATCTAATTCTAGTTTATAAGAAATATGGGAGATAGATGAACATCTTAAATCACACCATGAAGATACAATTAGCCAAATCCAGTGTAAACCTGATTTCACCACCTCAACTATAAAAATGCCTTTTTTAACAGTCAGCCAAGATTAAGCAATGACTTATCATAGGTGATATTTAGGAATTAGCGTTTATTTTGTGAGATGTGATAGTGACATTGCAGTTTTTATAGTTACATGTTTTAAAAATCTTTGTTAGAGATAAAAATAAAAACAGATGATGTGAATATACCAAAAAAATTTTAGCAGTTGTTAGACCTAAGGGACTGGAATGTGAGATTTCTTTATACTATTTTCTTTACTTTTATGTAAAATTGAAATGTTTATGTAAAATTGTAATATTTTTAAAAAGGCTCTTATCTTGTACTGCCAGAAAGTAAGGAAGGTCTAAAAATAAATAAAAATGTTTAAAAAGCTAAACAAACACCCTCTCCCCACCAGTTGTGGGGTATGTCAACTGGAAGAGCTCCCAATGGCCAAAGCTGGAACAATTTGAGCAAAATAATAATAATAATAAAATAAGATAGAATTATATTATAACTGAAAGTATAAAATAAATATCCTTAAGTTCATACTGACATAGACAAATGAGCGGAATGGGACAGAAGAGACAAATCTCCCAAACAGAAGAATTCCAAATAATTGATGTAGATACTCCATCTTGTAAGGTGGAGCCTGTCTCTCCACTCCTTAAGTGTGGGCTGCATACAGGGACTTCTGTCCAAAGGCTGGAGCATGGAAAAGATGGGGAAAATGAGTAACTCTGTAAGTGAAGAAGCCAGACAAACACTACCTCAGCCCAGTGATCAAAGTCAGCATCAACAGTGATAATTCATATTGATAATATGTGCCCCGGATATGTGATTAAAATGTCATTTTACCTCTGTGATCTTCGTCTGAAAATCCTTTAAGCCCAGTCTAATTATGAGAAAAGCATCAGACAAATCCCAACAGAGGGTTTCTACAAAATGCCTGACCAGTGCTCCCCAAAGCTGCCAAGGACATCAGAAACAAGGAAAGTCTGGGAAACTGGCACAGCCAAGAGGAGCCCAAGAAAATGTAATAACAGAATGTAATGTGGGGTCCTAGGACAGAAAAGAGATACTGATTTTTTTTTAAGCCTAAGGAAATCTGCATAAAGTATAAACTTTAGATAACAATAATGTATCAAGCCTGGGCAATATAGTGAGACCCCGTCTCTACAAAAAAAACATTTAAACATTAGCTGAGCATGGTGATGCATGTCTGTAATCCCAGCTACTTGGGAGGCTGAGGTAGGAGGATGGTTTGAGCCCAGGAGGTGGAGGTTCCAGTGAGCCGAGATCATGCCACTGCACTCCAGCCTGAGCAACAGAGCGAGACTCTGTCTCGAATAATAATAATAATGTATCAATATTGGGTCATTAATTGTGTCTAATGTACTATACAAATGTCAGTTGTTACTAATAGCAGAAACTAGGTACAGGGTATGTGGGAACTATCTTCACAAATTTTCTGTAAATCTAAATTTACAGAAAAATTTTCTCAAAATCTAAAACTGTTCTAAACCATACTTTAACAAAAAAATAGGAGCAGATGGATTAGCAAGATATAATCGTCCCCGGACCCAATTATCTTTTGATTTTTAAAAATGTCCTGGAACACTATGGCAGTTAAAGGAATCCAGTCTGGTAGACCAGTGGAGCAGGCTGTGGCCAGCTGAGGCAGGATGGGGCTCAGGGACCCCCTGCCCTACCACCTCATTCATTTTTATTAACTCCCAGCCCTTCCCACTTTTCTAACCTCTGCCCTTCTAGAAATGCCCTCAGTTTACTTTCACATGCTTTTGCACCTGACTTCCTTGTTTGGTACTGTGTTTAATAACAGCTTTATTGAGATATAATTTATGTACCCAAAAGTTTACCCTTTCAAATGTACAATTCAGTTGTTTTTAGTATATTTATAGACTTGCGCAACCATCACCACTGTCTAACTTTAGAACATTTTCGTTACCCAAAAAAGGAATCTCAAACTCGTTAGCAATCACTAACCCATGCCCGCAGCAACTACTAATATGTTTTCTGCCTCTATCACTTCGATGGTTTTGGACATTTCATATACATGGACTCATACAATGTGTGATCTTTTGTGACTGGCCTCTTTCACTTAATACAGTTTTCAAGGTCCATTCATGTCGTTGCTTGTATCAGTATTCCATTCTTTTTTAAATTTTTAAAAAATATTTCTTTAAATTTTTTTTTTTTTGAGACAGGGTCTCACTCTCACCGAGGCTGAAGCGCAGTGGCACAATCACAGGTAACTGCAGCCTCAACCTCCTTGGCTCAAGTGATCCTCCCACCTCAGGTGCCCTCCCCTCCACCGCAGTAGCTGGGACTACAGGCCCACCCTACCACACCCAGCTATTTTTGTTTGTTTGTTTTTGGTAGAGACATTCACTATGTTGCCCAGGCTAGTCTCAAGCTCCTGGACTCAAAACAATCCTCCTGCCTTGACCTCCCAAAGTGCTGAGATTATAGGCAGGAGCCACCAGGCTGGGCCCATTCCTTTTTTTTTTTTAATTGTTGAATACTTACATTGTATGTTTATGCCACATTTTATTTATTCATTCAATCGCTGATGGATATTTGGGTTGTTTTCACCTTTAGGCTACTATAAATAATGCTGCTATGAATATTCATGTATGAGTTTTGTGTAGACATATGTTTTCATTTCTCTTGGGTATATACCTAGGAGTGGAATTGCTGGGTCATATGATAACATTATATTTAACCTTTTGAGGAGCTGCTAAACTGTTCTTCAAAGGGGCTGCACAATTTTATAGTCCCATGAGGAATGTAGGAGGGTTCCAGTTTCTTCATATCCTCACCAACATATATTATTGTCTTCTTTTATTTTAGTACATCCTAGTGGATGTGAAGTCAGGTATCTCACTGTGATTTTGATTTGCATTTCCTCAGTGACTACTGATGTTGAGCACCTTTTCATATGCTTATTGGCTATTTGTCTATCTTCTTTATAGAAATATATATTCAAATCTTCTGCCTATTTTTAAATTATCTTTTTTATTGTTGAGCTGCAAGAGTTCTTTACATGTTACGTGGGAGAAATTCAAATATTTTCTCCCATACTCTGGGTGGCCTTTTCCCTTGTTTAATGGTGTCCTTTGAAGCACAAAAGTTTTTAAATTAGATAAGGTCCAATTTATCTTTGTTGTTGTTGTTGTTTTCTCTTGTTCCTTTTTGTTGTTGTATCTAAGAAACCCATGACCCTAGTTCTATGAAGATTTATACTTATGTTTTATTCTAAAAGAGTTCTATAGTTTTAGCTCTTACATTTAGGTGTGTGATTCACTTTGAGTTAATAATGGTATGAAGGTCCAACTTCATTCTTTTGCTTGTGGATATCCAGTGGTCCCGGCATCATCTGTTGAAGAGGATGATTTTTTTCCCTTGTTGAATTACCTTGTCACCCTTGTTGACAATTAACTGATCATAAATGTAAGGGATTACTTCTACTTTCTTATTTTCTAATAGCTATTTTTTTCTTATTACCAAAGAAATATTTGTTCATTGCGGAACTTTTGGAAAATATGACAAAGAACAAAGGAGAATATATTAAAACATGCTATAATCTCATCATCTGGAACAAACCAGGTTTTTGAAGCTATCATTTTGAAATATGTTTCCTGGTAAATAAAAAAGCTGGGGCAGAGAGTGGAGGTGTTTTGATGGTCTGTATATCCTAACAGTGGCAAATGTGGTTCTGATGGGCAGCCAGAGTTGAGAACCACACTGAGAAAGGCTGTGGTGAGCCATGCAGGTGTGCTCAGGGGAGCTCCAGGGATGAAGATTGTGCAAGCATCCTAGAGAGTGAGTTGACCCAGGACAGCATCTCAGCAGCCTAACAGTCGGGAGAGTCAGGGTGCCTGGGGTTGGCTGATTTCCTTGGGCTCCCCTGCCGTACCCTATGGCTCCTGCTCTGGGACCCACCACACCCAGGATTCAGCCTTCCTCCGTCTATGCCACTACTGCTTGTGCTTCTCTGTTTCGGTTTTTTCCTAATGTTTCTCTTTTTCTTACTCTCAAATTCACAGCCCTCCGAGAGTAGGTCTGATTGGGTCAGTGATTCACAATCTCCAACATGGAGCAACTTGGAGTCCTCAATACAGGTCACTGGAAGTGACCATATAATTTATCATTCAAATTGGGGCCCTTCTGAGAGTGAATGTAGGGGCTAATGGTGATGAAACTGGAGCAGCAGGGATAAAGTAGGACTGTCCCAGGCAGATTGGGATAAATGGCCACCCTATCTACAGGTCACCGATCTTCCTGAGGTTCATTCCAGCATTCTTCAGTGTGCTCTGTGTGAAATCCTACATATTCAGCCCCGCTCTTCCTAACTCTTTCTTGATCATGCATATTGTAAAAGTATAATAGGTATACATTAACATATTGAAGGCTCTGAGAAAGAAATAAGTGACTGTTTAACCTTTTTCATACTTATGTGACTATTGTGTCTTTTCTTTTTGTAATATGTGTTTCCTTTGCCCTGTGGATTCCTCCTCCCACCTCTCATAACCTCCAGGGCTAGCCAATTAGTGCATCCCCTGCCAATTAAGTGATTGGTTCAGGGATGGTCACATGATAGAATTTGGACAAATGAAGGCATTACTCCCAGAACTTGCGTAAAAGCTACCAAACCTTTTTTCTTTCCTTCTCTGGAAGATGTGAGGTAAAGATGGAATTACTACAGCCATTATGTGAAAATGAGCCTAAATATGCCATCAACTCCCAGGAGGGCAGAAGAGAAATCCTCTGCATCCTGCCTGATCCTAAGGGAATAAGTAAATGAGGGACAACTCCAGTGGCTTTCTAGCAGAGATTTAAAAACCCCTGTCAATGACCAACTCAGATATCATTCGTAAAGAAAGACAGGGGAGACAAATAACTTCCCAAAAGAAACCAGGTCCGTGGTGACATTGTGGAACTATTGGATGGTTTCCCAGCTGAATCCAGCCCTGCCTTTGGGTTATTAGCCAATTTAATACTGTTTGTTCCTAAGCCTGTTTGGTTTGGATTTTCTTTCACTTGCAATTAAAAAAAAAAAGCTACTTTGGGGAAAGCTGATTTTGTTCTATACTTCTTGAGCACAGACCAAGGTATTGGGGGAAGAGGCAGGTGTCACATGTCACAAAAGCAAGTGGCTATTGATGAATACTGAGGAGAGAGCTGTGGTCACAGCAGGCTGGGTGTACTCTTCAGTATTTTATTTGACAGTAAAGCACAAATACTTCGAACATCATCAAATCTACTTCTGCTACATGATTTATAATTACTGCATAGTATTCTATTGTATGTATTTATTATTCACTTAATCAACTGCCCTATTTTCTCTTTAGAAGAACAAAATATAAATTTAATATTATTTAATATAAATGATGCTTTGATGAGCATCTTGTGCATAACTAATTGTTCATGGACATCTCTGATTACTTCCTTATGACTGGTTAATCAAAGTGGAATTGCTAGGTCAACTGGTGTGACATGGTCTTAAAGCTCTATGTACCCATTGTTAAATTGCCCTCCAGGAATGTTGCATCAGTTTACACTCACAAGACAGGGCCAGGAGAGAATATATGCCAGGGGCTCCATGTGGGATTATTCCAACACCTTTGCCAATTGATAGAAAATGAGATCTCCTTGTTTTAATGTGCTCTCTTATTATTATTAATTGGCCATCTTGGGTTTTTATAGGTTTTTTTCTCATCCAAGAATCTAAGAAGAGTCCATAAAGAAGGCTGACAACAAATGAATGGAGAAAACACAAGCCCCAAAGCCTGCAGCACAGCCAGGGACCCTCTGTGAGCTGAGTCTGTGAGTTAGGTAAGAGCATCTCCCAGAGATCTTGAGATAGGCCTGGGACTCAGAAGAGAAAAGGGCAGGCACAAAGGAAGGTGAGACTTTACAAGATCCATCAGCATCACATGTAGTAACTCCATACAGAGTCATGCAGAAGAAAGAAGAAGAGAGAGAGAGAGAGAGAGAAAGAAAGAAAAGAAAAAGAAACTCAGATCATTTTCAGAGGAGAAGATGCCAGCCAGGGCTTTTTGCAGCAAAGTCATTAAAACTCTTTGCTCCATTTCAAAGGTGTTCCTGGGGGAAGGTGAGGGCCTCACAGACTGGGGACAGGGGAGCACTGGGGGACAGAGGGTCCTTGCCTCTTGGGAGGCCACAAAGGGGCCACCTCTGATCCACAACACCCCGCCTTTGCTAAACTTAAAACTTGGTGCCTTCCTCTATTTCTCTCTTGGGTTAAAGGCCATTTCTTATTTCTGAAGTAAAAGTAGAACTTTTGTCATTTTTTCTCAGAGCAACACATCCCCCAGGAACCAGCCAACACCCATTTTTCCTGGATTTCTCTGCCCTGGCACGCAGAACCTCTCCTTCTATTTGAACCTCTTGTTGTCATCACTGTTTGCCTGTGGGTTTGGTCTCCTGCGCACATACCATATCCCCAAGGCAATGGGACTGAAGACTGATTTTTAAAACACATGTTTTGTTTTTTGTTTTTTGTTTCTGACTACAAAAGATATACAAGAGCAAAGAATAAATGAAGATTGTACATAATCCTACCGTCAGAGATAACTACTATTAACATGACCTCTACATATCTGATAGTTTTACTTGACATAGATAAATATGTAATCTTTTCAAAATGTAATTTCTAAAGGAATCTTCTTCCTGGGGCCTCCCCCTCCCTATCCTTGACCCATTTGCTCCAAATAAGATTCGTGTCACAGACTAATGAGCTTATTGGAAAAAGAGAAAGCAACATGACTGCTTTAGAAATTCTCTGTGATACACATGAAGGAAATTACTACCTTAACATGCATTTCAAAGGTTTTCTTTTGTACAAATATGACCTGTCAGATGGCCCCTGCTTCCTAAGCTTCCAGGAGGTTATTGTGGAAGAGATTCTTTTCTCTTTTTAACAATCATAAATGGGAAATAATATTCAAGCTGGGTGGTCTCAGAGGCCAAGCAATTGGTGGGATAATGAGATACAAACAGGAACAGATAATAAGGCAGGGGAGGTACAAGTTCTCTCCTTGTGGGAAGCCAGCAGGGAGGTTTCCTGGGAGACTCAGGGTCCACCAACCTCCAGGACCCCAGAGCAAGTGTCTCTTGAAGACCCAGAACAAGCTTGCAGACCAGATGCAGCACTTGTTCTGGCACCTTCTTTGACACCAGCTGCCCCTGGCACTTGGGTGAGGGAGGTGCCTTCAAGATAGATGGGGCATCCCAAGTATAGAGGCTGATAAAGAACTGCTGTAGCCCAGGGCTGCCAACTTCCTGGCCCCATTTGTCTCAAAGCATCCTACTAACAGGCATTTCCTCCTTAGTAAGATGAGCTCTGCCATCTAACTCTGTCATTTGAGGCCCGAGAATCTTTTGGGTGAATCCTGGAACTACAGACTGGCTCATCTAATTTGATGAGATTTCTTTTAAAAATAATTAAAAAGTTACCCAGGCATGGTGGCTCACACCTGTGGTCCCAACTACTGGGGAGGCTGAGGCAGGAGGAGCACTTGAGGCTGGAAGTTCCAGGCTGCAGTGAGCTATGACTGTGCCACCTCACTCCAGCCTGGCCAACAGATCGAGACTCTGTCTCAAAAAAACAAAACAAAACAAAAGCATAAAGGTAGTTTTTACTTAAATACTTAACCCATCCTTTAGCCTTCTTTGGGAATACTTTAGACCAGCGATTCTCAAAGTATGGTCTCTGATTATCAGCAGCAACCTGTCAGAAATGCAAACTATGCCTTAACCCCAGACCTACTGAATCCAAAAATCAGAAAATGCTGGGTAGGCCCAGCAGTCTGAAATTCTGACTCACCTAAAATTTGAGAACCATTGTTTAGGGAAGGAAAAAGAAAAGAAAAGAAATATGTGTGTGTGTGTGTGTGTGTGTGTGAGTCTATGCACACATTTATATACTGTATACACACACTCGTAGATGTGACTTAGGTGGCTGTGCAAACACAAGGCATTCTATTATAACAGAAATTCCTTTTGGGAAGACTTAGAGAAAGACTTTGCCAACACCTCTGTCCCCAAGGTCCCAAGTGCACAATCCGAACACCATGACAAGGGCAAGTGGCAGTTTCCATAGGTTTGTCTTTGGAAAATGAACTCCTTCTGCTGGCCCTTGCTTCTATTCCCCTTTCCCGGTTCCCCACCCTGCACTCTCCCCTTTCCATTTTCTTTTCTTGCCCCTGAATATTCCCTTCATGACTGAAAAATGCCTCCTTTCAGGGACCAGCTCTCTTCTCCATGAAGCCTGCCCTGATTCTCCCCAGAGGGAAGGCTGGCCCCCTTTTCCAAACTCCCACTACATTTTGTCCAAACGATGTTGGAAGCCACTGGGACTCCCCAAGAACAATATCCAAGTTGAAGACACCTTTTGCCACCCCCGCCAGTGGACATGGAAGGAGTGCCGCACACACCCGCCCTGAATGCAGAAGCAGCAGGTAAGGATGCACAGCAAAGCAGATAGGGGAGGGCTTGAGGGAGGAGAAGGAAAAGTCACGGAAATGAATCAGCATCTAAATGGTGACGTGATGGACCAAGACAAATTGGCCCCTAGTTTCCAGTTTAAAGATGGATTATCACATTAATGTTAAATTCTATTTAAATGAGACTATTTCTTCACAGTGGGCATTCAATGAAATACCCCTGTGGAACAGAATATTAGGAGAAAAGAACAAAGGCTCAATAAAGATGGGAATAGCTAAAGGTAAAACCAACTATATCCATAAAAAAATACATCTTTTAAGCTTTATTTCCCTGGTCTCAAAGACATCTCTATTTTTCTTTTTGCAACCAGTACCAATTGCTCCTTTGTGTGATTAACAATGAGCTCTTTAATTTTCTACCACTTGACCATGCTCCATTCAGCAAGGTTCATCCTTATTTCCCCAGCCTTCTCTGACAATTTCACCTTTCATGCCAGGAATGTAATTGCTGAAAGGCAACCTCTGAATCCTGGGAATTTGGAACAGCCTTCATTATTCTAGCCTCCGCCTCACCTCCCTGTTTTGTATCAATCCACTGAACTT
Organism: Homo sapiens; assembly: GCF_000001405.40. Classification (NCBI taxonomy): domain Eukaryota; kingdom Metazoa; phylum Chordata; class Mammalia; order Primates; family Hominidae; genus Homo; species Homo sapiens. The sequence goes on along the minus strand of NC_000004.12, from coordinate 152,294,459 downwards.
GGTTCAATGCCAGAACATCCAAAGCATCTTACACAGACTGTTGGTGGGAGGTGAGACGTCAGACAACCAATTCCCTCCTCATTCTACAGACGTCAGAACTATCTCAGCCTCTTGCAGCTACCATTGATCCCTAGGTCTGTGAAAACAGCACATTCAAATTTTAGTGGTTGCCTCCACCGGAGCAAGTAGAGATTAGAATCAGCTGTGGTTCTAGATGCCCAGGCATCTAGATGGGAACACAGACCTGCGGTCCATGAGAGCAGAAGTGGGAAGCCAGACTGACTTGGGTGGGTTCCCCACCCTAGCATTTGAGGCATTGACTTGTAGCATCACCTCCCCAAGGCTCAGTGTCCCTCGCCTATAAAATGAGGGACTAAACGAGAAATCAAAAGACTACTTGGCAGAGTGTCTAGAATAGAGTAAGTGCTCAATAAAAGATATTAACTAATAATTATAATAGTAGTAGACTTCCATGTGGTGACTAGCCAGCCAAGCTGACATTCGGCCTGGGGTCCCTGGGACCTGTTGTTGTTGTTGCTGTTCTTTGTTTGATTTTTACCAGTCACTTCTCTCTAACCTGCTCCGATCAGGCAGAGCTGAAGCTGTGCATGAACACAGCTAGCCAGCTGAGGGGCCATCCCATCATCTCCTCCCAGTCCGTTTCAGGAGGCTGGACTCTTCTGCTGTATCAGCTGTACATCACCTTATGTAGATCGCCCTGAGGGCCTGACTCCCTTGCTTGTAACAACTTGAGAACAGGACCGGTTTCATTTAGTCCTAAATCCTCCTTCTCAATAAATCTTTGCTGAATGAATGAATGAGTGAGCAAAAACTACCTCTGCTCCAGCGCCAGTTGTATCTCTATATCCAGTCTAATTCTTTGCTTGATCAACACTTGGTCTGACTTGTCACTGGTCCCCTTGGGCTGCTAGTTCCTCCTGGGACAGGGGCTCCTCAGCTTTCCACCTGGACCCTTGTCAGGAACAGTGGAAGCCTAGGCAGAGAGGGCTGGGTCTTAGTAAGAGCAGAGGATCAATAAACTTCCTCTGCTAAGGAAAAAGTTCCCATAATGGGATAAGGCTGCACCATTTAGGACAGTAACCCAGGGCCTCTCTTTTTCAAATCTAGCTTCGCACAGAAGCAATAACTTTTATTTGAACATCCTTTGATTTTAAACATTATCAATCAATATACATTTAAGAGCACCAGATATGTGTTTAGCATTTTACTACATGCTGAGGGTAAGAAAGAAGGGCTGTATTGTTCTGAATATAAAGTAGGTTTTCTTTAATATTATACAGTAAAACATGCATTTCTGCTATTTGCTTTACTGGTGATCCCAGCTTTTTTATGCATGAAGTCTGCATGCATAAGAAAGCTGGGATCACCAGTAAGGCAAATAGCAGCATGCAGACTTCATCTCCAGGAAGGGAGGAGGAGGGTCAAAGGATATTGGGGTGGGAGGATGTAATAACAGCACTTATTATTTCACTCATTGTTAGTAACATTTTCATAGCAATTCAAGTCAATAAACATACAATAGCGCTTTGGTAAGAAATAAACTTATAGGTACAAATTAAATATAAAAAAAACTAAACTTAAACTGTCATCAATTAATGTTTAACTCTGGTGTCTTTTTCATTTTAAGAAAAATGTTTTCCTCTTTCCATGTTGATTGGGCCAAGATCCAGAACTTTCAACTTCCCACTGTGTTAGTTGATGCATGGAACAGAGAGGCTGGGAGGCTACTCACAGGATGGTTGGGAAGGTTGCAGATGGGAATTAAAAAACAAAAACAAAACAAGACTTCCCAAGCACAGTCATATAGCTGGGTCTTGCAGAGATTAGAATGGAGTCCCGGAAATGAAAGGATCCAGCACAGCTCTTGGGACTGGGCTCTCATTGCCCCCATTAGCAGGAGTTTGTTGATTCTCTGCCATTACTGAGACAGGCCTCATTCTGCCTCGGCCTCTGTTGTTCCTGCCTTTCCATTAGCCCCTCATCCTCTAGTCAAAGTATTGTTCCCACACCTCGTGGATTTTGTCTTCTGTTTACACAAAATTCATCTTCTCTCATGTGAGTTTTCTCTGCTTCTAGTTCTATTAGCCAACTCATGAATTTTCTCCACCCACCCTTCAGTTCAATCCTTAGAAAGAGAGAATACAATTTCAGCAGCTGGTCACCATTGTCTCTGTTGGAGATGAGTTTTGCTCCTTGCCTACTCAGAGGTCACAGGCAGACATATGGATCAGCTGTCCTCAGGCCAGTGCCCACTCAGCCACTAGGATGCAGGCAGAAGACAATACATCCACCTCATGCATCTCCCTAAGCAGGGCACCGTGATCCCCATGTTACCTATATTTGACCTTCTAGCAAAATTATATCAATCCACTGAAGTTAGTTCAGTGCAGCCTTTGTCCTGCTGCTGGGGACTGTGTGCTCCATCAGGGCAAGGCATGAGTCTTTTTTTAAATCACATCTGTAACCTCAGTACATAACACAAAGGTAGTTTTTTCTCAAAGTTATTGGAATATTTTTCTGAATGTTGAATGCCACTGGAATGTTTTCTCCCTGCACTTCTTTGCCTGGCTAAGTCCTACTCAGTCAAGGCTTGTTTCAAGAGATTAATTTCCGTGATGTCTCCATCATTCTAGATTATTTAATCATTCTCTGTAATCCTAAAGCATCCCATGTGTACGTCAGTCACATCATTTGTGCTTTCTACTGTAGTTGTTTATTTAATCACTGTAGAGGACAATGGTCATTTCTAGCAGCCCTAAATCTCTTAAACAGCGTCTCCATATTCTTATAGTTTCCCATGGTTTACATCTCAAATTCCTATCACACCACACCTGCAGTTCCCAGCCTCTTGTGCTAGGATGCAGATATTGATTTATATTCTGCAAGTCAGATATGTTCATGCAGGACTTGGATTCATATCTAAGTTTCATGGGAAAAGAGGCAGGATACGGGCCTTCATTCTGCTGGCTTGGATGATGGCAGATGTGATGTGGTTATGAAGCCAACAGTAGTGGTGGTAGCTTCCTGATTCAGAGGTTCCTGTCTGTGGGAAAGACAACTTATCTTTTGGGCAAGCTATTTTAGTGGAGTCCTGGAAGCTCAGCATAGAGTCTGTTTCTTCCCAATGGTTTTTTGAGATATTTATAAACCTTAATTAATCCCTTTCAGTTTAAACTAGCTAGAGTGGATTATGTTGTCCACCATCCAGAACCTTGACCAATACTGGCTTCTTTCCTATCAGTCTGAACATGAAGGCAGGAATCGTGCCCTATTTGTCTTTGTATCTCTAGTACTTAGAACCATGTGTGGCACGTAGTAGGTTCTCAATAAATGTTTATAGGTGGTATAGATCATAGTCATGTGCCAAGTGACAAAGTTTTGGTAAACAATGGACTGGATATATGAAGGTAGCCCCATAAGATTATAATGGACCTGAAAAATTCCTATTGCCTAGTGACATTGTAGCTGTTGTAACATCCTAGTGCAATGCAGTACCTTTTCAATGTTTGGATATATTTAAATACACAAATACCACTGTGTTACAATTGCCTACAGTATTCAGTACAGTGACATGCTGTACAAATTTATAGCCATGGAGGCTATCCCATATAGCCTAGGTGTGTAGTAGGCTCTACCATCTAGGTTTGCGTAAGTACGTTCTGTGATGTCCACACAATGATGACATTACCTATTGACACATTTCTCAGAGCTCATCCCCATCATTAAGTGATGCCTGGCTGTAGTGTGTTAGTCATGCATGTTTGCTGAACTATGTATAACTCCTAACTAGCTAGTAGTTTTGTTGAATACAAACTGTTCTTGTGAGAAATCTAAAATATGTTTCCTACACAATTATTATCCATTTTAGCAACTGTGCTGGGCACGGTGCACATCAAGTTTAATAAGATACAATCCTCATTCCTCCCTCAAACCAATGGGGGTGATGAATCATTTTACTATTTAAATATGATTTGTAACTCATCTTTGGAGTGGGAAAGAAAGCAAGATGGTATTTGGCCATCCTAAGACAAGGTTGACTGAATCCTAAAAACACTGTGGTATTTCAAAACTACTCCCCATTTAACCAGAGTCAACTCTTGATTATTGGTACTGATGGCGAAGAAAACAGCTTTGACCATCTTAAAGAAGCTAATCAGCCAGATAACATTTCTATGGAATTTTGGAACATTTTTTCTGAATGTGGCAGAATCTTATGTTCTGGGAATTTATTTCAAACAACATGATGAAGCAGAACTGGAAAGACTTGACTCGGGTGAATCTGGGAATCCATCCAGTTTCCCAAGCCTGCCCCTCTGTTCAAATCTTTCCGTTAACAGTCTCAATGCTGGGAATAGACTCTTCATCCATCGGATTAATGTAAAGCATCACCCAGAGCAGAGCTGCCCTTACTGAAATCTTTCTTAAAGTTGGAAATATCATTAAGTATTTCATTTCCACAGGGCTTCCCTGTTGGGACACAGGATTTATATAAAATCAGAGCAATATGCAGTTGAGGTCACAATGAAGGAAAGAGAAAAATAGCAAATTGAAAGCAGAAAAGATATAGCCTAATCTGCTGACAAACCTTGGACAGTTTTTATCTATTTTCTCTGTGCCTTGTAAAAAAAAAATACTTTTCTTTAGCTCTCCTGGAATCCCAAGTTTCTTCAAATCATAGCCTTTCTTGGCATTCACTTCTTGCCAGGCACTGTGCTAAAAGCTTTCCCTGTGTTTCTCGTTTAATCCTCACTCTAACCCTCTCTGGTGTGTATTGTAATCCCAGTGTTACAGATGAGAAAACCGCTCAGAGGCGTAAGGAAGAAAATGAGCATAAGGCCATGTAGGCAAGGATTCAAACTCCAGTTTGAACTGTGTTCTCACTACTGTTACACAGCTGTCCACATTACCAAGAAACATACAAGTAACTTCCAGAAACTTCATCTTGTTCTTTTCAGTACTTTGAGGTACTCAAAATTTTTTGCACCCTTTCTCTACTTCAAAATTAAGTTCCTTCTGGCCAAGCATGGTGGCACACGCCTAACTCCAAGCACGTTAGAGGCTAAGGTGAGTGGATCATTTGAGCCCAGGAGTTAGAGACCAGCCTGGGCAACATGGTGAGACTCTGTCTCTACCAAAAAAAAAAAAAAAAGTAGGTTCCTTCTGATCGTTTTCAATGGCTAAGTCCCAAAGTGTAAAAGTCTACCCATTATATTTTTACTCCAATATCACTTTCCTAAGCTCATTCCTTAATAGAAAATCACATTCTGCCTCCCTATGGCTGGTCTTGTGCTGTCTGTGTGGCTTCTAGAACATGACCTGAGGAATCTGCAATAGTGGTATCTCGTGTGTATGTGCCTTTTTGTTTGCAAAAGGATCATGAATCTATTACCTATTACCTATTTGAAGTCTTTACCACAAAGCTATGAAATAGGTATTAGTATTGTATTTTACACATAAGTAAATAATGTGTATTTTACACATTAGTTTTGTATTTTGCACGTAAGAAAATCATGGTAAGCCATGCACGGTGATGACACAGCTGTCAGTGGCAGAGCTTTGGGCCCTGTACATGGATGCCACTGCTGCCGTGGCTCCAGCAGCTCCATTCAAGAGAAGAGCCCTGCTGAAGTGATAGACTGTTGAAACAGGGCTCAGAAGGCTCAACCGTAATTTCCCACAAAAGCATACATCTTCAAAACAGGCCACAATTAAGTTTCCAGTGGCAGAAGTGTTCCTTACAGTGGGTTTCAAAGTCACAATAGCAGCCAAATGGTAGCTCTTTTGAGCGCATGGAAGAACAAAGCATAATTTCACAATTTAGACCTCACTTTTTACATTTTTCAAGCAGCTTCCTGGGAGGATCTGGGCATTTTGGGGTGACCGGTACTAACACATTCTGGCCCTTTATGGCCTCCTTGAGCTGGGGGGACAGTCTTCACAGGCTGGGGGACACTTCTTCTCCCTCCTTGGCTAATTGCTCCATAACTTCCCACTCTCTGTAAATGGCAGATGACAAAACTCTCAAGGAAGCTTCTCATGGCTATATTTGTCTGTTATCAAGGGAAATTAAAATACCCGCATTTACATACTCTGGAGTTTGAGGCTTCATTTTCATATTTTATTGATCCCACACTCACATAGTTTTCTGTTCAATGGGGAAAATGCATCATTCTGTCGGCACTTACCTGCATAACCATGTGAACACTCAGGCCGGCTGGAAACCCCTGGGAGGAAAAATAACATTGCAAAACTCTGAGAATATTGTTCATTTTATAGCTTTCTCTACAGCCTTCATAGTTACTAGATTCAAAATTTGCCCAGTAAAATAAGTCTTACAATCATAAACATTCAGCAATGAAGAGTCCCTCTGCACAATTTTTTTTTTTTTTTTTTTTCAGATCTGAAAATTCTCTCACAAGCGTGGGAAACCTATCCCAAGGCAAGGGCAAGGAAGAGAAAGTTTATTCTATTTTCTTGGGCTTATTGCCTGACTTTAATTTTAAGGTAGACAGTTACTGAATAGGGCTTAAGTGGCTAGGGAGAAAAAATATATATGCATGCACACACAGACCTCCCCCCACATACATATGTGTGTATGCCTCTCTATGTACTTATTTTCACTTAAACTGTTGGGAAGAGGAGAACTACCACTTTCCTTTGCTTACCCTGTCTAGAATTGGGAATTCCCTTCTTGAGTAAGTCAGGACTTGAAGACTCTTAGGAATAAGTGAGAGGAAACCCAATTCCGACTAGTTTAAGCAGGAATTTTTTAAAAAATGAGAATTCTTTAGTTCACTTAGCTGGAAAGTCCAAAAGGAGTGAAGCATCAGGCATGGCTGGATCCAGGGGATCATGCAATGTTATCAAGGTGTGGTCTTCTTCCTCCATTTCTTAGTGTTGATTGCATTTTTCAGCCAGACTTTCTTTATCTGCTGGTCTCCAGCATTCAAGGTTGTAATTTACCAGTTTGGCAGCACCAGTGGAAAGAGAGCATCTTTATCAATCGCTTCAGTGAAATGTCTTGGGTTGGTTCTTATGGGACCAGCTTAGTTCATGTGTCCATCTCTGAACCAGTGACTGTGGCCAGGAAGATGGAATGTGTTGCAAGGCCAAGTGTGAGCCAGGGGAGGTGCCCACCCTTAAAGCTCAGAATGTGGTCAACCCCACTTGCACACACGTCCTGAAAATGGGAGAGGGATGCTTTCCCAAAACAAAATACAAGTTCTGCCCCCAGAAGGGGGAGTTATGCTGGGTAGGCCAAACCTACAAATGTTCACTACATTTACAACTCCTCAAGATAGATTTAAAGACATTTTTGTTTTTTCTGATCTAGTCCCATCGGTCTCCATGAACTCATTTTTCAAAGACAGGGATCTTAGTGAGAGGAGAGATATCAGTCTTACTTCCCCAGTTAAATAGTCCTAGTCCTTTACTTGGACTAGGTGGAGTAGATTGGATTATTATTAAAAAATATTTGCTGTGTGATAAAATTGCATAGAACTAAATGCACACATACACACAAAGGAGTGTATGTAAAACCTGACGTCTGAATTGGGTTGCTGGAATTTCCTGGTTGCGATATTGTTCTATCATCATGCAAGATGTTACCATTGGGGAAAACTGAGTGAAGGGTATATAGGATCTCTTTGTATTATTTTTTACAGTGCAGGCAGTCTATAACTAACTCAAAAATAAAAGCCAAAAAGAAATGTGTTACTTTTTCCTGGGGAAAATTCATATTTCTCAACTTCATTAATCCATTTATGGAGACTTAGCCGTGTGACTTGCTTTAGCCAATAAAATGTGAGTCACAACCCTGCTAAGCAGAAGCCTTAGAGCGAGGTTGTGGTTCACTGTGCTCTGATTTCCCTCTGCCTTGATGATTGGCATCATTCCAGACAAGGTAGCTCAGTGGGTCAGCCTGGGTCATGAAGAAGAGCACAATTAGCCCTCGATGAACATGAGGTGTCAGCAAGAAAGCAATCTTTTTCACTATGAGCCTAGAGATGAGGGTTATTTTTTTCTGCAGCATAACCTAGCCCCGTGCTTCTCAGATTCTGTAGCTTGCTTAGAATCGTCTGGAAAGCGTGTTAAGGCACAGATTTCTGAGCCCTGCACCAGAGATTCTGATTCAGCACCTTTGAGGTAGGACCTGAGAATCTGCATTTCAAACAAGCTTCCGAGTTATACTGATTTGCCCATCTGAGGACCACAGTTTGAGTATCACTGACCTCCTTGACTGTTACACCTTTGATTCTCCAGTGAACCTTCCCTTGAACTTTCCAAGTTGTTCATGTCCCTGCTATCACAGAGTCCAGAACTGAGCCTAGAACAGTGCTTAGCACATGACACTCAGTGAATTTGTTTAATAAATGGCCCAGTGCTCTTGACAGAACCTGATCTGCCAGTTCAAATGAAGCAATTATCTTTCTAGCCTTAAAATCCCAGTGAAATGATTGTGCTCTTTAAAAAGTATGTTTATTGTTTTCCTGATTAGAAAATACATAAATGTTTGTTATAGAAAATTTTATTTTCAAACACAAAGATAAAAACCAATCCATAATCCAACTACCCAAAGAAGGATACTATTAAAATTTTGGCCATATTTTTCATGTTTTTGGTATTTATAGTTATCATATGATACATAATTTTTGAGTTGCTTTATTAACAGCATGTTGTGCATATGTTCCCATGTCATAAAATAGCATTCTGCAGCTTCCTTTTTCATGGCTGCACAGTGTCAAGCTAAGAGGTAATGCATGTTGCCCAGAGTTTTGTGAGCTGCATACATCAGTAGCCCATGTTCAGTCCATGGTTCATTCAGATCTCTTGCTTCCCTTAACTCGTAACTGCTCTTATCCAATCATTTCCTATCTGTGTTTGTAGAGTTCACCCCAAGGATTTCACCAAGCACTAGTGTTCCTTGTTTTGCTTGTTTTTGATGCCTAAAGAGCCAACAAGTGACTAACAGACTGTTGTTCATGGATTGTCTAAAGTCAGCCTTCTAATAGCACCCGAAGGGCTCCTCATGCTGGTGCAACCCCGCTGCCACTGCTCCTGAGCCTATGTTCCCTTCTCTCCACCATGCACCTTCTGACATCATGACTCACTGGAGAACCAGGCCAGGATCCCAACCACCCCGTGTCTCAGTGGGCCTGGGCGGGAGCCCTGTGCTGCCAGGAGGAGCAGAGATAACATTGATTGTCCAGAAGCTCTACGATGGAGACAGGTTGTCATTGGAAGTCCAACAAGAGACAGAGGCAAGTGAGCTTTATGGAGCACCTACTGTGTGCCAGGCCCCATGCAACGGGCTTCTGTGGAGGCCTGCCCCTGCCATCTTCACAACCCTCAGGTGAGCCAGCTTTAGCTTTACATTTTATAGATGAAAAAAGCTGAGAGTTGATGAGACTAAGATACTATTTGTGAGACCAAAAGAAAGAGGAAAATCTCATTTAATCTCCAGGATTTGTTAAATTAGGCAAAGACAAGAAGGAACTTTTATGTGAGGACAGACTGAAGTCCTGGCATTTTCCAGCTCAGAAAGTCTGAGAAAGGATATGCTCAAGAACTATCACATGAAGGAAGAGCTCCTGCTTGACCGTGAGCTGGGCCGTCAAATCCCACATCCTCATGGGGACTCGATGCAGCCTGGATAGCAGGGTGGTAAGACTCTCTGCTTCCTGAGCACAGGGTCTACCCTCCTCTTGTGAACTCTGTGTCCTTCACCAAGTCATTGAACCTCCATCTGCTTCCTCACCTGTTTAAGAAAGGATGATCGTAATAGGACCCACATCATAGGGTTTTGTTAAGGGCTAAAAGAAAAATATGTAAAGCGCCTTGCCGAGTGCCTGGTACTACAGTAAGGATTTGATAAATATTAGCTGTTACAGTAATTAGGAGTCATATTTTATACCCTACAAGAGGCATTTGTAGATCAAAAGAAATCTCACATTACAGGGTGGGAAGTAAACTCACTAAACATAGCCCCAAGGGTGGCACAAACGGAAAATATAAATAGAATAAAAAAGGGTTAGATCACGAATGGGTAACCTTTTCTCTACCATAAGCCAGTGACACACAGGGGCAAAAAGAAAATCCATTTCTGGCCCCATGTAAGTCAAAGAAGCCATTATAGGCTGTGAAGGGAATTCAATTAGTCACTGGTTGCCATGCCAATGCAAACATCACCCTTCCACCTACTCTACCATCAACACATTTGAATAAGTAACAATGATAATAGCATGCACTAAAAATGCTATTTTTAAAAAAGTTACATGTGCTTCTTTCAAAAGTCTGGTTTTCAGAAATAATTGCTATAGTCCAGATGAGAATTCACATGGAATCCCTAAAATGGGTTGAGTATCATCAGAGAAGAGACATCTGTAGATTATTAAGGGACTCTTAGGGTTTGGAGTTGATTTTCTTGTGGGGGAGGGGAAATTTTTTCAACATTCCAAGCTTGATCAAGCAACCCTTCATGGTGTCAGAAATTGAGCTCAGACAGTCCCTTGCTCAGCACTGCTCTCCTCACACCCTGAAGCCTGACCTGGATCCCTGGTTTCATTATGCCTTCTTCAAGCTTTGCTTGAGTATCTACAATTTGGCAATGTGTACCTAAAACTTAAAAAAATACTTTGATCTAAGAATTTACTTAAAAAAATACTTTGACCTCAGAATCAATCCTAAGAAAACCAATACTGATATACAGAATTTATAGGAGCAAAAATAAAAGTAAAGAACAGAAATAACCAAAATGTCCAAATTAAATTGTTATACATCCATATGCTAGAATATGATGAGCTATTAAAAATGAGGCTGTCATAAAAATGAATGAGATCATGTCCTTTGCAGGCACATGGATGGACCTGGAAGCCATTATCTTCAGCAAACTAATGCAGGAACAGAAAACCAAACACGGCATCTTCTCACTTACAAGTGGGAGCTGAACAATGAGAATACATGGACACAGGGAGAGGAAAAACACACACTGGGGCCTGCAGGTGCAGGGGGAGGGAGAGCATCCGGAAAATTAGCTAATGCATGCTGGCTTAATACCTAAGTGATGGGTTAATAGGTACAGCAAACCACCATAGCACACGTCTACCTATGTAACAAACTTGCATATCCTACACATGTGTCATGGAACTTAAAATTAAATTAAAAAATAAGAGATGGAAAAAAATGAGGCTGTCAAAGAACATTTCATGATGTGGGAAAATATTGTATATTCTGTTAAGTGAAGCATGCAGATTACAGAAGAGAGGATTTGGTAAAATCCAAATTTGATGTATGCAATTTTATGCAAATATATGCATAGGAAAAACTAGTAGTGTGTTACTCTAAAATGTTAATAATGGTTATTTCTGGATGGTAGGATTACAGGTGGCTTTTGTTTTTCTTTTGTGCCTTTCCGTATCTTCAAAAAACACTTCTTATGATGATTGTATATCTATTCTAGTAATAAGAAAAAAAGTCGATAAATGTGATTGAGAGAGAACGGAGGCCTCTGTGTCTGACCCGCCAGAGGGAAGGGCTTTGCGGAGGGCTGCACTTGGGCCTTCTGTGGCCAGGCCCGCTCTTTGCCCTGAGCACCAGCAGCTATGTCTGGGGGGTCAGCCAGGATGACTACATTCAAGTCTGAGGTGACCTGGGCTCTCAGAGGACTTGTGTGCTCCTGGAAGAAGCATTTCACACTCCCTGAGCTTGGCGCCGCCCACCCCACTATTAATAGTGTTTCAGTGTCTCCAATGGGTCTGCACATTCTGGTCCTAGAGGTGACCTCAGATGCTGCCCAAATAGCCCGCTGGTTTTCTAATGGAGGCTTGAGGGGGAGGTCATTATTGGGCTTGTGGATGTTCTAGATAAGCTTTTCTGACCAAATGAACTCCCATCATCACCTTGCCTTTCCTCCCACAACTCCCATCTCATCTTCCATCCCCAGGAACATCACAAGAAAGGGAATTAGAGAAGTTGTACCCCAAGGGGCACAATGCTGATCGTTGTGTAGGAGATGACTGTGTCAATGAAGAGAGTCCACCTCAGAGAAGGACATTTCCCCTTCTGCAGTATTTCTCCAAGTTCAGCCTTTCAACTATTTGCCCCAGACTTCCCGGCATGAAAATGCAGATCCCTGGGCCCCGCCCTAGGCCTAACAAAAGCGAAATCTCTGGGAGTGGACTCTAAAACTGGAGAGCCACTTCCCCACGAACTGGGAAAGGCAAAGAAAGACTGTCCATGTGTTTGGACTATGCAGCATGCAGAGGGTCACCTCTGAACTGAACCGCTCCACTTTAGTGCCCTCGAATCTAAACCAAACTCTGCCATTTGTTGAGTGTCTCCTGTGTGCTAGACACACCCCAATTGCTTTATAGTCTTTATCACAAATCAGCCTCATGATCATCACCCTCCCAGGAAGTTTTTAGCTACTTCAGGAAACTGAGAGTAAGACGTTTCCTTAGAACTCACGTAAGAGTCCTTTCAGATAAACTTGGTGACTGTCAATTATCTCCTGTTCCCTTTCTCCTCTGGCTTTCTCTCTTCTCTCCCTCCCACACCTAAATTTAATTGACTTCCCTTGACCCCGACAGATAAAAGGGGTCTCTGAGGAGAGACTCCCGAGGTGCCCCACGCTGCTGGCCCTGCAGGTCCTGTCTCCTAGGTGCCTTCGCTAAGTGTTTCTCTCAGAGCTCTCACAAGTCAGAGGTCCCATAGTGCATGGCACAGCATGGATTCAGCACAGGGTGGGCTTGCCCTCTACCTGGGCCCTGCGGGAGGGGAGCCCCCAGGCTGCCAAGGCTCTATCTTGCTGCCCGCTTTCAGAACTTACTGCCTCTTACCACCACAACTAACTAGGCTGCCTATGTCAGAGATGGCTGGTGCCCCCTCCCCAGTTGACTGCCTAGCAAAGATGATATATTCTGAGCTCCCTTGAAGCTAGGCTTAGTCCTGTGGGTAAATTCTGGCCACAGGAATGGAAATGATGCATGCGATTTCAGGGCCATGCCTTTCTTCTATTCTGCTCCTGTGGAGTGGATGTGGTGGTGAGCCCTGTGGACCATGGGGGCAAAGTCCTCATCCTAAGAATGACAGAACAACAAGATGGAAGGAGCCTAGAGCCCTGGCGACTTTGCAGAGGAGGGCTGCAGGCAGTGTAGACTTTGGCAGGAGAGAAACAAACATGGATCTGGTTGAAGCCAACTGTGGATTTGGGGTCTCCTTGTTGGAATAAATCACACTGATACCTGAACAAGTGCACTGAGCCTATTAAAACTCTCTCCCAGGAACCTGGAATTACTACTCTGGAGCTCACTGTGGGGGACCAAAAGTTGTTACCACAGTCAGAGACCTGGCCAGCCCAGATAGAAACCTGAGGAAGCAGGGGAAGCTCTTGGTGGAAAGATGAGTGTGAAGTGTGTGGTGAGAAAGATGCAGAGAAGGGACAGCAGGCAGAGGGTGGCTGTCACCATTTTCAATGCCATTCCGGCCCCAGCATGGTTCCTGTAGGGCCTAGATGTGTATCTTGCTGTTGCATGTCATAAATTGCCCTCTGTTCTTTATATTTGAGTTACTGTGACTGAGTTTTTCTTTCTGGCAACCAGGTAAGTTGCAATTAAAATAAAGTGCCCTTTATGACTATATTATATATTATATTACTATGTATTATTGTTATGTCACTATAAACTATATTATTATAGTTCTTTGGGTTTCAGATGTGTATTTTTCTCTACATTTTAATATTTCTGAAAATGGGATGATGCACTTTTTTTTTTTTTGAAGACAGAGTCTCACTCTGTCACCCATGTGTGGTAGCATGATCACAGCTCACTGCAGCCTCCACCTCTTAGGGTCAAGCAATCCTCCTGTCTCAGCCTCCCAAGTAGCTGGGACTACAGGCACAAGTCAGCAATGCTCAGCTAAATTTTTAATTTTTTGTAGAGACAGGTTCTCATTACGTTGCCCACAGTGATCTTGAACTCCTGGCCTCAAGGGATCCTCCTACCTCGGCCTACCAAAGTGCTGGGATTACAGTTTGTGAGCCACCACACCCAGCTGGATGCACTTTTTATCTCACTTGTTACCTTTTATGTTTAGTGTGGTAAATTTTTCCCCCGTCTCTCTCACAACTGTTAGTGAATTCAGGTTCTGTCTTAAGATCAGCTTCCCCCATGGATATGGAAGCTCCCTGAGGGAAGGGTCACAACAGTGCCAGGCACGTAGCAGATGCCCAGTAAATACATAGTAGGATGAATGACCATCAGCCACAGGCATCATGGAATTAGGAAATTATCCACACATGGTGGGGACCACCCCCTCACCATCGCCTATCCCACCTGCTCTGGGCATGGTGATGACGGTGGTGCTGGCCAAGGCAGCCCTGCCTGGCAGTGCATTGCTCCGGGCTCCGTGACTCCAGTGAGAACAAGGCACCAAACCCTTTGGAACTGTGGACACTTGACTCATTTCAGAGTTTATGGTCAAGGGCAGTTGCCTCATATTAGGTGCTGAACACAGGCCAGCCAATGTGCTGAGCTTTTTACAGGCTCCTTCTTCAACATATGTGGATATGAAATAAATCAGATCCAGTAAAAGCTGACACGTCTGAGTGAGGGATGCGGGCTGAGATGGAGACAAGTACCCATGCTAAAGACTGTTCTGGCAGGGGCTGAGCCTAGGGCTGGGGCTGCTCCCCTGGTCCTGTGTGTCCTTCCCCAGCTTGGCTGCAGTTGGAGGCGATGCCCCAGGGGACACTCTCAAGGTCTGGGTGCAGTGGTGAGCATGGGCCTGGGGGGCTGTGTCCTCAGGGAGCTCCCAGCTGTGAAGAAAAGCACCTGTCCTCAGCCTGTGCTCTCAGGCCTGAGAGCTCCAGGTCACCTAACCCTGCAAGTGAACTTCTAGTGACGCCAGATTTGGGCTGGCCTTAGGTGACCTGGGGAGGGGAAGGGGGACTGAACTGTTTTCCCGCCATATGCAGGATAATCAGAAGCCAGTGCAGGGCCCGCCCATACCCTCCGAAGAGACCCACCCTCCTGCCCAGGGCGTATCGGATGTGGGGGAGAAGAGGCCTTCTCAGGCTCACCCCCACGCTGGAGCTAAGGTGGCACTGACAGGGCCAGGGAAGGGCAGTCAGACGGAAGGGAGGAGGCCCTGGGTGGGCAGCACAGAAGAAGCCTCAGGCATCAGCTGCTCTGGCTTTTGCCTGGAAGTGGAGGATGAGTGGAGACACTGGGATTTAGTCATCAGGAGGCCATGGGTGACCGTCAGGAAGGCATTTTTGGGGAGTGGCAAGGGGAGCCCAGATGCGGGGCTGGGAACTTTCCCTGGCAGGAGAAACATTTCCTCAAGAATTGGAAAGAGCTTTGGCCTGAGGAATTCTGGGACAAGCTGGTGTCACCCGAGTGGTGTCACCTGGAGACCCTCCCAAGCCCTGTCATGGGGAGGTTTGCAGCCTGCAGCAGGATTGGGGTGTTGGGGTTTCCCAAGCTGCCCTTAGAGCTGGCCAGGCAGGTTTGCAGAATAATTACAAGGGCCCGATGTGGAGAGTGTTTGCATATGATTTGCACATGAATAGCCTGAGCTTTCTGTTCCCAGGCAATTTTCAAGTTAAATATTAATTGTTGCTGCCCTTAGGGTTTTCATTTCTTGATTCTGCCTTCTCTGTTTCTTCTCACCCACTTGCTGTCAGTGACTCAGATCTCTGCATGGCGGGGGAAGGGAGGGAGATGCCAGGGTGGGAGGCAGGGGCTGGGTGTACAAGGAAGGGAAAGAACGCAGAGGCGGAGCTGGCAGGTGTTGGGGAGATCAGATACCTACTCCATACAAAAGCAATAAGCATGCAAAGCAACAGACCAGCCAGCGCTGCTACAGAAACTTCCCGGAACTCTCCCAGCCCCAGGCAAGGTCCTATCTTTCTTAGTGATGTGGAGAGCTGTGGTCTCTTGGCCCTACCCTAGGCCAGAAGGACAGTGCCATCTACTTCCTGTCAGCCTGCTTTCCAGGCTCACATGGTTCCATCTCCCCTGTCACCAGAGGTCCTGGCCACAGGCAGCATGTAGGTAGGGCAAGGACAAACTGTCCTGGCTAGAGCTGTGCAGTGCAGCAGTTAGCTCACAGGCTCTATGGCCAGCTGTGCCTGGATTTGGATCTTGGCTGTGTGATCTAACTGTGAAGCTTTGGCAACTGACTTACCATCCAAGGGCCTCAGTTTCCTCTTCTGTAAAACAGAGCTACCAGTAGTGCTTGCCTCATGTTGGTGTTGTAGGGTTGAAGCCAGCTAGTGTGTGTGAAGTACTTAGCCTTGGGCCTTCCTGGCATGTAGACTGTGCTCAATGCAACGGAGCTGTAGATAGTCCTAACCCACGAGTGGGCTGCCTGGTCTCAGCTTTGCACAGTGCCAGGCGCCCCTCACCAGCATTTGATCATCCAGCTTCAGCTTGAACATTTCCTGAGGCAAAGGTTCTCTAGCTCTGTTCTCCTGAGGGTTGTTTGTGACACACACATTATAATTATGGTAAAGGGCCTTTGAGAAGGGAACTCAGAGCCTTTCCAGACAGCAACTTCTGTTCTTCACCAACTCTCATTAGGAGGAAGGACTTCCTTGGGCCGCCTCTGAGCTCCACCCTTGCCAATGGACTCAAATCTGTCCTCTGGGGTAGGAAAGCCTGAAACCCCCTCTTCTCTCTGAGAGCTCATCAAAGATTTCAGGATGGCGCTCCTTTCCTGGGTCTCTTCTTCCCAAGCTGTTTAGACCAAACAACTCGCCCTATCCCCAAAACGTGATGGGTTCCTCAGAGTGGTCTTTGCTGAGCCACTGATAGGGAAGAGGATTCCCCCTTGAGGTTCTCTACCTTGGCCCTGGCTGGGTCCAGAGTCCTCCTGAGGGCGTGAATAACAGCTTAATGTTGATGACAGCTACCTCTTGTTGCGTGTGCTGGGCACTGTGCTAAGTGCTGAAATGCAGACTCTCTTTCCATCTTCACACTCTGAGAGGAAGGGTTATGACCATTACCCCCATTTGCTAGCTGTGGGAACTGAGGCTTAGAGGGGCTAAGGAATTTTCCCCAGATAGCTCAACTGTTATGCTGGGAGACAAAGTGTGATCCAGACCACCGGCAGCTGCCTGCTGTGGGGCCACCTCTCTATGAGGATTTCCCCCCCAACCAGGTTGTCTTTTATTTTTCTTCTGTAGGAAGTGAATGGGCTTGACATATGAATCCTAGAATCTGCCTGTCTCGGTATCTGCACTGTGAGCACTATTTGGGTGTGTGCTTAATAATGCAGCCAGTAATGGTCTTTATTTCTTTTGGCTTTCCTTGTCAATATGATGCCTTGAATTTTTCCTGGGTCTCCTGCATCCGTAGGGATGCCCACGCCAATCTCTCTTTTCTACTGCAGTTACCTCACCCCACCACCCGCACCCCAGCCCCACTCCCAGGTGTCTCAGTGCCTCTGAGACAAAAGCACCATTTTCTCCTCACCCACAAGCTCCAAAACACATTTCTCCTCATTCCATATTATCCTCATGCAACCTGCCCACACCTGCTCTCCCTTAGGCCTGCCCTGGGCTGAGTACTTTCAGCAGCCCAGAGGCTGGGTCCCTGACTTCCCAGAGAAATGCAATTTCTGGATGGGCTCTCTGAGTTAGATGGTCTATGAGTTTCCCCATGACAAAGAACCAAGGCCCCACGAGAGATGATAGACAGCCAGTTCTAACGGCCATGACCTTATCCAAATGTATTCAGCAGAAAAGTCCAGAAATCTCTCTGCAAAACTCAGCCTTGCACCAATATGCCTAGGGAGGGGAAATATGATTAGGAAATTGGTTAACAAAGTTGTGATTTTTTTTCATATTCCCAAGGAAACAGCTCTAGAGGAGGGTTCTTGCACAGAACTTCAGGAGCCTGTGAAGCATTAAAAGACCTGGCCAATTCTCACTGTATTGGGAATAGCAAATTAATGGCAGAGTATTGGAAATACCATGTGAATGACTGGATCTTTATTTTGTGAATCCAAGAGAGAGCACCTGGAAAGAGGAGAGGAGATCACTTCTATGTTTTCTTGTTTGCCTGGACAGGGCGTAGCTACTGGATAGCATGGTTGTCACTGGAGAGGTTAGAATCTCAAAAAAACACCCGTTCAAGTGCTGGCATTCCATCAAGAAGAATCCAGGAGCTGCCTGGGAATGGTGGCGACCTGTTCCAGTTCCATCTATCTCTTCTCCCGACCTTAACTTCCTCCCTGTGGTCATCAGTCTTTGAAAAACAAAGATGACGACCTACATCTCTAGTTTTCAAACTTTTTAAAAAGTATGGACCCTTCTCTTCAAATGAAATATTTTATGAAAGTCTAAAGTATAAAACAAATCAAAGGGAAGCTGCTTTGGTGAAGACAATGTGTTCTCTGCCAGTGATTCTCTTAGAGCCCTAGGAAATCCGATGGGCAAGTTCAGGATCCACTTCTGACCTGATCTCTAGATGCCCATCCGCTCCAGGGGAACCAGAGGAGACTCTGGTCCTTGGAACTTGGACTCGGTAAGACCATTCGAGGCCCTGGAATGGTGGCTGCTGGGCTTTGTTGGTAGAATTCTTGAGCACCGCACTTGGTGGTCTCTTTTCCTTGCTTTTTTTTCTTACCTTTTCTCCTCTTTCCTGTTCTTTCTTTTCCTTCTCCTCCTGTCATTTGGAGACAGAGCACTGCCCCACCGGTGGTTTTCATTGTGGATCCTAAAAGCTGCTGCTGAGTCCCAATCTAGAAAGCTCCCCCAGGCCTATTGAGAGGACACAGAGAATTCTCCAGTGACACCCCCAGCCAGTGGCCCTTGCTAACTGAAGAAAGGTCATGATCGGGTCCACTGTTGGGAGCAAGTGGGGAGGGGTTGCCAAAATAGGCCATTATTTCGTGGATTTATAACCTCCTGCACCTGAGGTACAGTGTCAATGTTGCTGGGAGAGACGTCTTTTAATGTCCTGGGTCATTAAAACCCAATAATCTCTTTGAAATGGCTTAACTGCTTCCTGCAAGAGATAAAGTAAATAAAACTGCCATCTCTGTGTCCGCTGTCACTGTATTGATGCAGCATTTCTTTTCTTTTTTTAATAACTGCATTCATTTTATTTGAGGCCAATGCATTTATGCCATACTGGTGGTTTATAAATTTGGTAATTAAATCCTGTTATCTTGACACTAAGCACAGAATAAGAAGCAGTTGTGATGCTTCCGAGAGGAAAAACACTGTGAGGGGAGAAAAGAAGATTTGTTTTGCATTTTTAAAAAAATAATTTTCATGGAATCTTGTTTTAGTATTAGAATGTTGACAGATGCCTGACTAACAGAGAGATGCTTCTGTGGGGAAGGATCTAAGGAAATCTGTGAAATCACTCTTCATGTTGTTGTACATCGTAGCAGAATAGAAAGTTTGTGGGATGACATTTGTCATCCCACAAGAGATAGATGGAACTGGACATTTGTCATCCCACAAACATTGAATTTTATCTATGCTCTATGGCTTACTAGCTGTGTGACCTCAGGCAAGTCCCTTACCTCCTCTATCTGTCAGGGTGCTTTGGGCTGCAAATAAGAAAAATCTCCTAGGCCGGGCAGTATGGTTCATGCCTGTAATCCCACCACTTTGGGTGGCTGAGGCAGGCAGATTGTTGAGCCCAGGAGTTTGAGATCAGCCTGGACAACATGGTGAAACCCCGTCTCTACAAAAAATACAAACACTAGCTGGGTGTGGTGACATGTGCCTGTAGTTTCAGCTGCTTAGGAGCCTGAGGCAAGAGGATCGCTTGAGCCCGAGAGGTGGAGGCTGCAGTGAACCATGATTGCAGCATTGCACTTCGGCCTGGATGACAGAGCAAGAGCCTGACTCAAAAAAAAAAAAAAAAAAGAAGTAAAGAAAAATAAAAATTTCAACTCAGAGTGATCAAATAATTAAAGACAATGTTTTATATGCTGTATTAAGAAGTTCTGATTTAAGGTAACTCCAGGGATGTTGCAGCATGAGTGAGAATGATGGAGGATGTGCAATGCTAATTCTATCTGCAGTGGCTGCTTCTTCCCTAGTTTACCTAAGAGGTAAACACATCTCACCTAGGCAAGGTCTAACTTGTCTTGGAGATGACACAGTCTTAACTTGGATGAAGGAACAGTATTGCCCCTATTAGGAAAGCTTTGTTCTTGCCCTTTTCCTAACATTAGCCCCTGACATTATTGTGCTAAGAAGCATTTGGCTTTTCCTTGAATCTCCTATTGTGTTACATTACAAGAGTCACACATTGACAATCAAATGGCTCTCTCAATGGTACCCAGGAGGGATGGCACCCACTTGGATTATATTCTTTTGGATTCTCCTGATGAAAAAAGAAGGGGGAGACTTCCAGCTTATTCATAACATGTGCTTTGCTTTTGGTTTGTGAGTGAATTATTCCATGAAAGGTATAAGGGTGAACAAGGGCCTGCTTACCACATTATGGAACACCAGAACTCATGGGTAACACATGAGGTTTCACTGAGGTGCACTTAGGATAAATGGAAGGAAATGCCACATCATTCAGCAAAAAATAAACTTTTCAAATTCTTGCCCCAAGGGGCAGAAAAAATTAAAATTATAAATCACCTTCAAAAAGATTATGTTTGTATATAGTTATGATTTTTTTTAACCTGGAAAACCCAAAGGAATTAACTAAAAAGCAATTAGAATTAATAAAGTCATTTCATACAAAATCCAGGTAAAATAAAGCATTACAAAAGTCAATAGTATCCCTGTGTACTTGGATTATTCAGTTAGGAAAAATATAAGAGACAAACAAGCAAAAGTGTCAGGCCTGGCACTGCCTTTGTTCTCCTACCTATTACTCAGATGAAACTGGAGACACTGTGTCCTCAGAAAGGGCTTCCACCCACAGACTTCTTGGACTGCTGAGGGCCCCTCAGGGTATGTTTTCCAGAGAAGCCCATACTTAACTTGTTCGTTGGAATGACCAATTACTGCTTAAGTTTGTATCTTCCCTATTAACCTGAAGGCAAAGACAGAAGGCATATTTCTCATGACTACTAAATTCCTTGTTGAATGAATTAAATAATTAACAGAGCATTATCTAGAAAAACCTCTCTCTAGAGAAATGTGTGTGCCCTATATGAAGAAAAAGTACAGACTTTTTTTTTTTTTTTTTTTTTTGAGACGGAGTCTTGCTCTGTCGCCCAGGCTGGAGTGCAGTGGCGCGATCTCGGCTCACTGCAAGCTCCGCCTCCCGGGTTCACGCCATTCTCCTGCGTCAGCCTCCGGAGTAATTGGGACTACAGGCGCCCACCACCACGCCCGGCTGATTTTTTATATTTTTAGTAGAGACGGGGTTTCACTGTTTTAGCCAGGATGGTCTCGATCTCCTGACCTCGTGATCCGCCCGCCTCAGCCTCCCAAAGTGCTGGGATTACAGGCGTGAGCCACCGTGCTGGGCCAAAAATTACAGACTTTATAAAAGGGAAAAGAAAACCTGAGGAGTAGTGGCCAGGCACCTTGCCCTTAGATCAGACAACTGGGTGTTGAAAAGTTGTTCATTCTGCCCAGATTGATGTATAGACTTGATGCCACGGCAACTAAACTCCTTACAGAAATATTGGGGAAGATATTATAAAATGATTCTGGAAGGAAAAGACCATAAAAGAAAATTCTGGGAAACTAAACTGTGAGTTTCCTATGGGTAGGGCATCTTTTTTCCCTTTAGCTCTAAGTAGGCTCTCACACACAGCTCTGTGTAGCATAGAAACCCCTGCCCATGCCTGCTGTCGCCAAGGGGCAGGCCCTCAAGGGTGGTAGAAAAAAACCAGCAGGAAGTCCCAGGGCAAACCAATCTCTGTTCTTACATTCCAGAAAGGAGTGAGAGCTCAGTGTAGACAGGACCAGGTAAGTTCACGAATGCTGTTTTGGAGTTTGGCTCTCACATGGCTGCTGGGAAGAAACATACAGAGTCTGGGACCTGGACAGGAGGCAACTGGAGCCTGCAGAGTTCTGTGCAGGCCACTCTGTGCTCTCCCATGCCCTTCCCCTAAAGGGGGAAGCTGGAGACACTGTGTCCTTAGAAAGGGCTTCCACCCACAGACTCCCTGGACTGCTGAGGGCCCCTCAGCACTTCTCTGACAGGGTCTTGGTTCCACTATTGTCTTGCCCCTGCTTATTATTATTTATTTATTTAGAGATGGAGTCTCACTCTGTTGCCAGGCTGGAGTGCAGTGGCGTGATCTCGGCTCAGTGCAACCTCAGCCTCCCAGGTTCAAGCAATTCTCCTGCCTCAGCCTCCCGTGTAGCTGGGATTACAGGTGCACACCACCATGCCCGGCTAATTTTTGTATGTTTTTAAGTAGAGTCGGGGTTTCACCATGTAGCCAGGCTGGTCTCAAACTCCTGACCTTGTGATCCGCCCACTTCGGCCTCCCAAAGTACTAGGATTACAGGTATGAGCCACTGCACCCAGCCCCCTGCGTATTATTTCCCTGATCATCGTCTCATTACAGAACATGCAGGGGCAACCTCTCCGGTAGGGGTGTTTCTGTGCCTCGGTTCTCTGGGATCTCTCCAGGAGGGGCTTGCTGACATCTGCAGCTCTTCCAGGCTTCTTGCCCAGCAGCATCTGTAAATCAAGCCCACTTCACTGTGACTGGGGACTCCCCATCTCCCTTCAGTGCGTCTCACTCCTTTGGTTTAGCGGTGGTTTTCAGTACAACGAGTCAAGAAGAACAAAATCATAGGAAGCATTATCAAATCAAGCATTTACATATCTCATACTTGAACCAAAACTCAAGCAATGACATTGTGCTCCTTCCCCTCAAACTTCATTAAATCAAATTCAACCTAACTGCCTATAAAAATACATCCATCATGTCACTTTACTTTGTCCCTGAAGTTGGGGCATGCATTGTAAGCTGCAATATTCCACTCTGTCCTTTCAAACATTTAAGCCTGCTAGAACTCTTTTAGTTATTAACTCCCTTAGTTACTCTAAAGCCCATCAGATAATTCCAGAGAATTTCCCACTGGACATGGAACCATAGATATTCCCACTGACTGCAGTTCTAGGTTTGATATTTTGGGTCAGGCCAGGAAAATAATTCACTCTTTCCCATTTTGGCATTCCAGTTTGAAATGGTTGATGACAACAGGAGACTGAGGTCAGGAGTTGCAGCAGAGCAAGAACCAGGTGGGGAATCTATGGCTCAGGAAGGAGAAGAGGGGAGTCCAGTGGCTTCTGAGGCAAAGGGGCCTAAGGCAGCCACTGAAACCAGGAGTGTGGATTCAGGAGGACAATGCAGGGAGCAATGGGTGAGATACACCTGGGGAGTGGTCAGGAGCGGTTAGCCAGAGCTGGCATGTTGTCTGCTGCTACTTCGCATGCCCAACACAGGTAGGTTGCAGTGGGTCTGAAAAAGAAATAAACAAGAGCCTGGGGCTGAATTCCATGGAGCGTGGTTTTTCCTCCATCTGCACGTGGGAAATTGAGCCTATGTGAGCTCCAGCCCTTGGGCTGAGAAGCCCATCCTCTCACCTTGTTCCTGAATCCTCCTTTCCCCAAGCTCTGGGGACTTCTGATACCCTTTGTGCTTAGCTTGAATGGACACCCCCAACTGCTGCTTGCAGAGGACCATAGTCCCATTGTTCATGGAGAACCATCAGCATCTAGAAGTATTCACAGTGGGTTCTATATTGACTACCTTGGACATTGTGGGATCCTGAATTGTACTCCATGTAGGAGACTGCTGGTGTCTTCCTAAGAAAAAGTGATTTACCATCTGCCCGGGTTGGTTTCCGCCAGCCATTGCCCCGTGCCAGCCTCATCCTTGAGACCAGCTTGCCTCCTTTTCACCAGCGGAAGCTCTCGGACACTGCATGGCTGGGCTGTGCATTAGTCAATGACCAGTACTACTGAGAACAGGAGTTGGAGTCCTGGACTTGAGTTCCAGTGAAGCCATCTACTATCTGGGTGACTCTGAGCAAGGCATGTAGCCTCTCTGAGCTTGAGCTCTCCCATCTACAAAGATGGAACTTGTAATAACCTACCTCCCAGGGTTGCTGTGTGAGGATTAAATGAGGATTAAACAGAAGCCCATGTGAGAGCTCACTCAAATACCCGTGTGGAACAGACCTAGCATGAATACACCTAGCACTCGATCAATAAATCTTTAATCACATTCACAAATCTTATACTACAGATCAGTGTATCATTTCCTTCAGGAAAGTCATCCCAGTTTAACCCTGTGGGTAGTGAGTATATCCTCCTCTCTTCCTCATTTTCCGTGAGTAGGTGAGCTACTTGCAAGCCAGAATTGACTGAAACTCACAAAGTCAATCTCAGAGTCCCTAGTTCAAGGCCAGATATTTCACAGGAGCCCAGCAACAGAAGCCCATGTGAGAGCTCACTCAAATACCCGTGTGGAACAGACCTGGGGACATAGATCGGATTCTGCCTTCACACGCAGAGTCACGCTGTTCCCAGGCTCACCCTTGAGAGAGGAAACGACTGCATAACCATGCTGTATACACACCCACACACGGATTAAAAATATAGGCCAATATCTACTTGCCAAGGAAAGGATGAAGCTATTTTCATAAAAGAATATATTTAGACCTGACAGCATACCCCAGTATTCATTGAGCTGAACGGGCCTGGGTCTGACATCATAGCTTTCCCACCTTGGAAGGGCTTTGTGCTCAGCAGAGTTATGGTTTTGACAGGTGAGGGGAGGCAGCCTCCAGAAAGCCTTGTTAATTTCAGAGGTGAAATGGCAGGATTGACACTTGCGGTGATTCCCCACAATAAGGCCATTGAAATAGTGTTTGTGCAGGGGGTGAATGGAAATGGGTTCTGATGTCTTCTGCACATGGTGACAACAGCTCACATTAAATAACCATTTTGTGTCTGTCTCTCTGGGCTCATTTAGTAGCTTATTCTTCTCTAGTTATCAGGGCATGGCTCCTATTAATCTCAGGGAGAGAGAAAGGGAACTCGGCTTCCAAAGGGGAACTTTCCCCCTGGCATGAGCTTTATTTACATGGACTCCGTGTTGGCCATAGAGTTTCCTAGGAATAAAAATTACTGGGAAGATGTTTGGGACATATTTTATTCCACATCCCTTGACCGTTTTTTTTTTTTTTTTTTTTTTTTTTTTAAGAGACAAGGTCTTGCTTTGTCACTCAGACTAGAGTGCAGTGACTCAATCTCCACTGCTTGGTTCAAATGATCCTCCCACCTCAGCCTCCCAAATAGCTGGAACTATAGGCATGTGTTGCCACACCTGGCTAATTTTGAAATTTTTAGTAGGGACGGGGTCTCGCTATGTTTCCCAGACTGGTCTCAAACTCCTGGCTTCAAATGATCCTCCTTCCTTGCCCTCCCGAATCGCTGAGATTACTGGCATGAGCCACCATTCCTGGTCCTTCCCCCTGACTCTTAGTCCAACTGTGTCTAACACAGAATATTTGGAAGTGGACTTTATAAAAGGAGGATGGGAAAGCAGGAGTAGCCAAGAACCCATATCAAGCCTTTTTACAAGAAGAGGCAAACTTAACTGGATGTTTCTTGCAATGTGTTTTTTGTTTCTTCTATTTCTGGAAGGTGGTAAGTTTTCTACTTGATTTTAACCCTCTTGGCACTGATGGTTGGGCTGGATTAAGGACCACATTCAGAATTGAGCTTATTATCAGTTACTTGGCTTCTTTTCTTGTGAGTCAAGACTTGTCAGGAAGCTCAGAGATGTTGGACCAAGCCTATGGACTGTTGGGTCCACCCCCATTTTTCCATCATCTTTATTTACCTTTTAGGACCTCCAGTAGTAGCTTCATTCCCACCCATAGCACCTTCTCACTGCAGGGCCTTTAAGGAAAAATAGCATGCCGAGCTCAGGCTGTGGATAAAGAAGGGCAGAGCCCCCATCTTCAAAGTCATCATTCTCCAAACCTTTCTTGCAAAGCTCTGGGACCCACCCTCTAGAAGGATCTTGGATCTGCTCTCTTTTTCTTGCAGGAATTGAGGCAACGTTCTTGTAGGGGACATATCCTGAGACTTATCCGGGGCTTAGATTTGGTTGGAAGTGGGTGACCTGAAGCCACCGTTATGTTTTGGTGAGTGTGACTCAAATCTCTGTGCATATGGGTGTATGTCTTTATTTCCCTTAACTGAAAGCATTCACAAGCCATCCTGCTTTTTTTCTCCCTAGCTGCAAGCAATAAAAGTGAGGCACCCTTGCTTTTTAAAAACCTTTAAAGCCCTGCTCTGTCTACTGGATACTGCTAATTCCTGGGTCTCTGGATGAGTCTCACCTCTTTGTGGATCACTCAGAACTTTGGTGCTTTGGGCTATAATCAGTCTTACTTTTCATCTTTCATCTCTTTTCTGCCGGTGACACATGGTGTTCCCTGCCAGTTTCCACTTCCTCTATCATCCATCTATCTCTATGTACCGGCCTATCTATATATATCTACCTGTCTGTCTATATATATCTCCATCTCTATGCTCACAGTTGACAAATGCTAGCGAGGCCCATAAGAAAGAGCCCCTCCAAGTTTAATCTATAGTAAATATGCTTCAGTGTCTACCTGAAATGACACATTATATTCTCCACCAGACCTCCTAAGGAGATTTTTATTAGATTTTCTAGCCTTCTGGGAAGAGATCAGGGAGAGGAGACAATGCCAGTTTCTGCAGAGCTTCTTCAGAGATGGTGGGTCCCTTTCTTTAAAAGTCTAAAACCTTCTTCAGTTTATTGTTTATTGAACACTTTCTGGATGCTGGGCATCACACTGGGCACCAAAGGTGAAAAGCTCATAGCTCCTGACCTCCAGGGCAGCTAGTGGGTGAGGAATGAAACTGAAGACTTTGCAGGTTCCTGAACTTTGACTGTCTGTTGCAAAATGGCCTAGGGAAAGAAGTCAGTAGAAGGCAGGCCACTTGGCATGAGTAATGCAATTGGGAGAAAAGAAAAAGTCTAGATGGGGATAGGGAAGGAAAAACAGACAAAATAGTGCTGGAAAATAGTAGCCATTTCTGGGCCATTCACTGTGTTCAGGGAATTTGTCTTTCTTGCTTACTGTTGTATTCCTAGGGTCTAGAACAGTGCCTGGAACATGTCTAGTGCCCAAATAATTATTTGTTGAATAAAATGATGAATCTCAGTGACTCACTTCCCTTTCCTTTCTGGCTAGGCCATTTGCTGAAAGGAATCCCCTCATTCCCCCGCTCTGAGATAGGACAATGCCATTAGGCAGGTATATCTTGGGAATTTGCACCATCTGTTTGGGGCCCCATGGAAAGGGTATACCAGATGAACCCCAGGTCTATTTTGGTCTTTACTTTGCATGTTTCTTGTTTTTTTGCATCCCATGCAGATGGATACTGTCAGGTTATTTATAGCAGAAGTTTGCACACAATAATAGAACAGTTGCTCTAATTCCAACGCCAATTGAATAACTTTGGTTTTGCATTCTTCAGAGGACCTGTAGCAAACCCAGTATTAAATAGCCGTGGTACCAAGGCTGTTCCCATATAGCATCAGCTGCTGCTGATTCTGATTGCCTTTCCCAAGACAATTCTCTCTCTTGTTTTGTTTGTTTGTTTGTTTTAGACCAAGTCTCACTCGGTCACCCAGGCTGGAGTGTGCAGTGGTGCGATCTCAGTTCACTGCAGCCTCTGCCTCCTGGGTTCAACTGATTCTCCTGCCTCAGTCCCCTGAGTAGCTGGGATTACAGGTGCCCACCACTGCACCTGGCTAATTTTTGTATTGTTAGTAGAGGCGGTGTTTCACCATGTTGGCCAGGCTTGTCTTGAACTCCTGGCCTCAAGTGATCCACCCACCTCGGCCTCCCAAAGTGCTGGGATTACAGGTGTGAACCACCACACCTGGCCCTCTCTTTAACATGGGACACAGTGATTTTTGCTTGCATGCATTTCTTACAGGTTTTAGAAAAAGCCCACTAATAGATGAAAAAATTATAAATAAAATATAGTGCTGACAAATTTAATTCAATGGTATATTAAATAATTGATACACGTAGCCAAGAATGCAAAGATGGTTCTTATGTACAAGGATGTGCATGATCTTAGGATTTATAATAGTAAATATTGAAAACAATCTATATGTTCAACAATAGGGGGCTGGTTTAGAAAATTATGGTACATTCATAGAATGTAATACCATATAGCTATCAAAAAGTCTATTTCAGGGTAATATGTTGTAATATGAGAGAAAATGGTTATGATATACTAAATGAACACCTGCAGGTCATATTATACACAAACACACACACACGATATATGTATATATCATATATATATATATATATATATATGATCTAATCTTATGAAACTATGAATTCCCAGGAAAAAAGAATGAGAGGGTATGGTGAGTAATTTCTCAATGGGCAGATCATGGGTGACTTTTATTTTCTCTTCCTACTTTTCTGTTTTTAACAGTATTTCTGCAATGAACAGTTATTACTTTTGTAGCCTGGAAAAAAAAATTCCATAAGTGCTATTTTGAAGAATAGTGCCACTGGTTTCTTCCAGGGTTGGGGCTTTATATCTGAAGTTTGTATTAAAGACTAGCTCAGGACATTCACTATTAGGGACAACCAAAGGGAAAATATAAAGTGTGCAGTCATGGTCTTTAAAGCAGGCATTTAAAAGGTTGCTTTTTATCTAATCTCAAGAGGAAGAGATAGGTAGTGTCTTCTCTGCAGAGATTTGTTAATGCTGGTTTGTACATTATCCAGGCATCTCAGACTTGCCCTAAAGACCATCTATAAAGAACCAGCGTGTGTAGATAGTACATGCATTTTCCATATCCATAAATTGTGCACGTTGTTTGAAGCCAGTCATCAATCAATTTCCCCTGGAAACAAAGACCAACATGTGGAATAAACAGCAGAAAAGCTTTGGAGAGAGGAGGCTCTTGAGGAAGAGAACTTGTGCAACCTACTTTTGCTTGTATCTCGTGCTTTCCAGTGCCCTGTCTTGGAACTTAGTCCTGGATGAGGCATTCGTAGCAACCTCGTCACGCACAACCTCACGTGTAAATCTATCTTGGTTAAATATACGAGTTTTCTAAAGCCGGAGGGAGAAACAGTCTGACTCATCGCCACTGTTTTAACTTGAACAAACTATAATAGCTACACAGCGGGTTCCAATGATTAGCAGCAGTATTTATCTTTCCTAGTTTGCATCGACAGTGACACACTCACAGTTATCTGCCCAGATACAGCTTCTATAAAGCCAGCTGCGTCATGCACGTTATTTTTAACCGTAAGAAGAAGAGCCATAGCTAATGTAATCTATGATAGCTTTGTAATTAAAATGTCTTACATAATGAAGAAATCTAATAAATAAAGTACAGCAAGTATTATGTTGCAAAACAAACACATGCTTGGATAAAGGTTTTTGCCTTAAAATCTAGCTACTACTATATATCCTCAAAACTTGTCGCTGCCATTGAGAGATGAGTGACAGCCTTTGATATCCAGAAAATAAAATTAGGGAGATCCTTTCCAACATGGGACTTAGACAACTGATGGTGAGAAATACAGAACGTGATTTACTTGACAAGTAACTAGTAACCTGGGACAACCCCAAAAGATAAAAGGAAATGGACTAAAGAGTGAGCCTATGGTGATTCTGTCGTAGAGGTTGATAAATTTTTTTAAAATAATGACACATCAACAGGAAAAGCAAATATGCTCTGCTTAGCTCTTTAGAAGCAACCTCATCACCATTGCTAATTGTATCCTATCATTCTGTCACTGCAAATCTGAGGAAACTTTGGTGGCTGTTGTCCTTACATGTCCATTTGAAATTTGCTCCAGGGAAACCGAAGATGTTTTGTTTCCTCTTGTGTCTCTTATGCTATCATTGAAATAGCTGCTAGATGTGAAGACATATATATATCCTTTTAGTCCTATGAGACTTTCCACTTTCCAATGAAGAGAAAACCTTTCCCATCAAAAGAGAGAATGGGCCAGGCATGGTGGTGGCCCCTGTAGTCCCAGCTACTCATGAGGCTGAGGCAGGAAAATCGCGGGAGTCCAGGAGGTCTGGGCTGTAGTGCGTTATGCAGATCAAGTGTCCACATTGAGTCAAGCATCAAACATGGTGACTTCCTGGGAGCAGGGCACCAGCATGTTGCCTAAGGAGGGGTGAACCAGTTAAGGTAAGAAACAGAGCAGGTGAAAACTCCTGTGGTGATGAGTGGTGGGATTGCGGCTATGAATAGCTACTACACTTCTGCCTGGGCAATATAGTAAGATTCCTCTCCGAGAGAGAGAGAGAGAGAGTATTTGAGGTGGAAAGTCAAGTAGATAAGAAAATATCCAGGAATGCTGTGTATCACATTTTGGGTTGAAGAATTCCTATATCTGTTGTCCCTTTGAGCATGAGACTATTGTCAATGCCTTTGACTATTGGCAATGGGAAATGTATAGCCTGTGATGTCTCCATTGCAAGAGAATCTATGAGCTGCCCTGGACAGCTCTTGTAAATCAACAATTGGAAAATGGACTAGGTTAGCTCAGGATTTCCATTTTGGAGCTATTAGCGACTACTACAGCCTCCAACCATATGACTTCCACAATGCCAGATTAAACATTTATTGAATGAATATGTAAATCAATGAACTGTGTAATTGGAAAAATGAAGGAAAGCTTCGATGAGACCTGAGGCTACAAAATCCCTCTAAGTACCACTATCCACATTCTGTAAGTTTTGACATGTAATATTATCATTAAAGTTCATAATGATTTCATTACAGTTGCATTATTATTTTATGTTAACATATGAATAACCTAGAGATATGCTTTTAATTTTAAGATAAATGTTTTTTTTTTTTTTTTTTTTTTTTGAGACGGAGTCTCGCTCTGTCGCCCAGGCCGGACTGCGGACTGCAGTGGCGCAATCTCGGCTCATTGCAAGCTCCGCTTCCCGGGTTCACGCCATTCTCCTGCCTCAGCCTCCCGAGTAGCTGGGACTACAGGCGCCCGCCACCGCGCCCGGCTAATTTTTTGTATTAAGATAAATGTTTTTAAAAGTTTATCTTTCTATCATTTATTTTTCAGCTAATTGCATTTAGTTATAGAATATGGTCTGTGTATATACAGATTCTTTGAAATATGTTGAGACTTGTTTCTTGCCCTCTATTATGAGGTCAGTTTTACTCATATTTGCATGTTTCACTTATGTTCTACAATGAATTTCATACATATGGTTTTTGATCCTTCTTTTGGTTTTAGGGCTCTGTATGTGTCCATTAATCAAGCCGTGCTGTTAATTGTGTTGTCAAATCTTCTATATCTGTATTGATTTTTTGTCTGCTTGCTATATCAGTTTCACAGAGAAACTCCCACTATGTTTGTGGATTGGTCAGTTATTCCTTGTAATTCTACCAAATTTGATTTGTATATTTGATGCTATGTTACTAGTTTGGGCAAGATTCAAGTGATCTCTTCCTAGTGAATTTAATATTTTTATCATTATTTAGTGACTTACTAATATTTAAAAAGCTTAAAGTTGATTTTATCTATATTAATATAAATATATATTATTTGGGGGGTTAATATTTCCATAATATGCTTTTTAAATAGGTGACTTTCAATCTTTCCACTTCTTATATTTTAGATGTCTCTTATAAATAGCATATAGCTGGATGTTAGAATTTGACAATCTGTAACTGTTAACTTTAGTCCATTTACATTTATTGTGATTGTTCATGTATTTTAACTTATTTATACCATCTTGTGCTATTTACTTGACTTTTTAATACTTTTTTCTTTGTTTCTTGTCTTTTTGAGATTGAAATTTTTTTATATAATTATAGGGAAAAGTAATTTTCCCCATTACTTTTTGGAAAAGATAAACTCGATTTTCTTTTTTTTATTGGTTACCCTTTAAAGTTTAATTGTACTTAACAAAGCCTAAAGTTACTTAGTATCTCTACTCTTTTCATAAACTTTTAGCACATTTAAGTCTGACTACCCCTCCCATCTTATATGTTATTTTTGACTGCTTTAAAAAAAATCTCTAAAATTATGCATTGTTATTGTAACTTCCTACAAGTATTCATTTAGATTTAGCTGCATATTTGCCTATTCTTAGCTTACATTTCTTCTTATTTTTTACTCCTCAGCTTTATTAAGGTATAATTGACAAATACAAATTGTATATATTTAAGGTATGCAATGTGATGTTTTGATATATGTATAAATTGTGAAATGATTACCACAATCAAGCTAATTAACATTTTCCTCACCTCACATAGTTGCCTTTGTGTATGTGTGTGTGGGGAATACTTAAGATGAGTCTTAGCAAATTTCAAGTATATAATACATCCTTTTTAACTATGGTCACCATACAGTACATTAGGGCTCCAGGACTTTTTCGAGCTTTCTTGCAACTGCAGGTTTATCCTTTTGGTCACATCTCCCCATTTCCCCCACCCTGCGGCCCCTGGTAACCATCCTTCTACTCTTTGTTTCTGTGATGTTGACTTTTTTAGATACCAAATATATGTGAGATTATACGACATTTATCTTTCTGTGTCTGGCTTAGCATTATGTCCTCCAGGTTCATCCGTGTTGTCACAAATAGCAAGATTCTTTTCTTTTTTAAGGCTGAATAACATTCCTCCTCTGTGTGTGTGTATCAATCACATCTTCTTTATCCATTTAGCTGGTGACAGACACATAGGTTTTTTTCCCATATTTTGGCTATTTTGAGTAATATTGCCATAGACATGGGAGTGTAGCTATCCCAAGCAAAGCTGCTGAACTATATGGTAGTTATATATTTAATTTTTTGAGGAAGCTACATACTGTTTTCTGTAATGGCTGTACCAATATACATTATTACCAATGGCGTGGAAGGGTTTCTCCATATTGTCACAACAGCTGTTATCTTTTGATGTTTTAAAAGACATCCTAACAGGTGTGAGCTGATATCTTATGGTGGTATTTATTTGCATTTCCCTGATGATTAGTGATGTTAAGCTTCTTTTTATATATACCTGTTGGCCATTTGTATGTCTTCTTTAGAAAAGTGTCAATTCAGATCCTTTGTTCACTGTTATCCCAGTTATTTGTGTGTGTGTGTGTGTGTGTCTGTGTGTTTGGGGTTTTTTTCTTTTCACTATTGAGTTGTATAGCTTCCTTATATATTTTGTATATTAACTTCTTTAATACATGGTTTACAAATATTTTCTTCTATTCCATAGATTGTGTTTTCAATTTGTCAATTGTTTTCTTTGTCGTGCAAAAACTTTTTAGTTTGATGTAGTTAACTTCATTTATTTTTGCTTTTGTTGCCTATGCTTTTTTTGGTCATATCCAAAAATATCATTGCCAAGACAAATGCCATAAACATTTTTCCCTATATTTCATCCTGGGAGTTTTACAGTTTCAGATCTTACGTTTAAGTCTTAGTCAATTTGGACTTTATTTGTATGTATGATGTAAGATAAGGATCAAACTATGGGTTTTTTTTTGTTTTTGTTTTTGTTTTTTTTGCTATGTAGAAAGTTGGTTT
This sequence comes from Homo sapiens, assembly GCF_000001405.40. Classification (NCBI taxonomy): domain Eukaryota; kingdom Metazoa; phylum Chordata; class Mammalia; order Primates; family Hominidae; genus Homo; species Homo sapiens. Next base: position 152,260,890 of record NC_000004.12, on the reverse strand, counting down.
TCCCAATACCACTTATTGAAGAGACCATCCTTTACCCATTGTGCATTATTGGTGCCTTTGTTGAAGATTAGTTGACTGTATATGGATGGGTTTATTTCTGGGCTTTCTGTTCTATTCCATTGGTCTATGTATCTGTTTTTATGCCAGTACCATACTGTTTTGATTACTATAACTTTGTAACATAATTTGGAATCAGGAAGTGTGATGCTTCCAGCTTTGTTCTTCTTGCTCAAGATTTTAACTATGTAGGGTTTTCTGTGATTCCGTACAAATTTTAGGATTGTTTTTTCTATTTCTGTGAAAAATGTCACTGGAATTTTAATAGGAACTGAATTGAATCTATAGATCAATTTGGGTAATATGGGCAATTTAATTTAACAATATTAATTTTTTCAATCCATGAACATGGATATTATTCCATTTACCATGTCTTCAATTTCTTTCATCAGTGTTTTATCATTTTCAGTGTACATGTCTTTAGCCTTCTTGGTTAAATTTATTTCTAAGTATTTTATTCTTTTTGATGCTTTGGCTTATTTTTCATCTTGCATCTTAGTTTTTCCCTCTGAGATAATTTTCCTTCTTCCAAAAGAATATTTTTAAAAATTCTCTTTATCATAGTTTGTTGGTGATAAACTCTTTGAGTTTTTGTATATCTGATGGAATTTGATATATCTTGGAGTGGAGTTGGCAGGATTTTCTGATGACTGGAACAGAGGAGGATAATGAGGGAAAGAGGGCAGCCAAGAGGGTGTATAACAGAGAACTAACCCACAACAGGCATATAAGAGACATGGATAACTCAATTATGAGTAATGAGAGGTAACGTGGCTAAGTATTACTCACCTACAGTCAGTGCCTGCCAACAGATGTGCAGGCTCAAGGATCAAATCCTGAGTCCTGAAGACCTTTATAAAAAATTCCAGGCATGTTCATTCATGCAGTAACTCATACTTTGAACTTACTAAATGTACTATTCATTCATTTGTTTTTTTATTTAATTTTTTTTATTTAAACATTTTAAAGCATTGATTATGTGCTAGGTATGTTAGGTGATGAGGATATGAGATTGAGCAAATCCTTATGTGGACTCTGCCCTTGGGGATCATACAGCCTGTGGGAGGGATAAATAGTAATCAAGTACTCAAACACACAAATGTAAATTTGTGACTATGATAAGTGTGAAGAAAGACGTCTGGTGCTCTGAGAACCTAGAAGGAAAGGTTTGACTGTTGGGGAGGTCCAGGTCCAGGTAGGCTTCTCTGAGGAAGAAAATTTTGAGCTGAGAGCTGAGGGATGAAGAAGAGTAAGACTAGGCAAAAAGTGGGGGAAAGAGCTTTCCAGGATGAGGATATGGCAGGTGCAAAGGCCCTGTGGCAGGGGGAGGGGCATGGGGAAGAGAGAAAAGGGCATCACTGTGGCTAGAGTAGACAGAGGAAGGAGAGGGGTGCAGGTGGAGTCTGGAATGATAAGATTGGGGCTGACTCAGCTCCTAATGGTCCATGGCAGGGGGATTTCCTTATCCGGGGAACAATGGGAATAACTGACAGGTTTTAGATGAAGGGTGGATCCAGGTCAGCTTTGCTGTGTTTTGGAGAGAAACAATACAAGCTTCCTAGCTTTTTCTCCTGCACTTGGCTGACTCAGAGGACTGTAGAGTGACTGACTTTTTCCAAACAGCAACTCTCCGCCTTTGTGGGAGTGAAGTCCGGGCATGTCCACTCAAGGAGCCCTGCTGGAGGTGCTCACAAAACCTTCAACACAGATGAAAACGAATGGTGGGAGGCCTTCTGGGACAGGCACTGGAACTGTGGGTTTCCTCCTCTGTGCTTTAAGCCAAACTCTCAGAAATGTGTTCTAAGTGCCTCCAGGAAGCAAAGGTATAATTAATTAAGAACAGCCGAAAAGGCCTCATAAACCTTTTGATCTCATGCTGCTGGAGCCTCATCCTCCCAGGCAGGAATGAGAAGCTGCAGCAGGAGAGGGTGGGGCCAGGGCTGCTCAGCGCCTCTGCCTTCTGTGACCTTCTCTCCTGATGGGGCGTCCCCTCCACTCTATCCCCTCTGCCTCAGAGTCCTTGGAACCCTCAAGGGGGCCCAGGAGCCCCAGATGGGGCAAAGGAAGAGCAGTCAGTGAAATGCAGGAACAGGAAGGAAGGGCAGGCGGGGGGCGGGCGGGGGGCACCCTGTTGGGGGAGGGTCTGAGGAGATTTCCCGGGCTGGTTCTGGGCTTCACTCTGCATCTAACCAGCTGTGTGACCTCGGGCAGATGGCCTACCCTCTCTGCTGGCCTGTGTGTCCTCATCTGAAAATCAGAGATTTCCCAAGGGTGCCTACAGACCTGGGGATGTGGTTAGAGGTTGGGTGGCTGTGGGTAAAGATGGATTCAACTTCCTGGGGAGGATCAATCTTACTAGAAGATTTTTAGGAAACACTTATTTTTATATTAAAACAAATACTGACATTTTGACTCAGAATGCAAATTTTGCACTTAAAGAATATAATAAGCAATTTCAAAAAAATGGGTTAATGTTCTTTCCCCGACTGCTCAGGACACTTAAGTGGGAAGGTGGAACGCCACGGACGAGATGCACTCAAAGATGCCCTCCAGCTCCTTAGCATTGTGATTCTTTGGTTCTATAATGAAGATCAAGGAGAAGTAGGATTATGGAATTTGTGGACAATAAAAGGATTTAGGCAGCCCTTTTAGGTTTTAGGAAAGGATATTAATGTGGGTGGTGAGAAAATGGGGTTGGTGGGCATTCAGCTGTGCCCAGCATTCTCCCATGCTCTGCCTGTGAAACCTCCTGTTCCTCTCCCAGGAAAGCCCTTGTCTTTCCTGCCTACCTAGCTTGGCTTCTCCTTTGTGTCCCCTCCTAGGCAATGCTTTGTCACTTCCTTCTTCCTTCCTGCCCCAGCCCGCTAGAATGTTGACTTAGGCACTGCCTGCCCTCCATCTTTCCATAGAATCCCGTGCATAGCTCAAATTTTGCACTCACTGATCTGTATTGTATTACTGTTTTCTTGCCTCATCGTGTTAATCTGCTTAATCCTTCATATTGTTCAGAGAATGTGAGCAATGTATTAGCATGGTGAACAAGCCCTTCATGACATTCCCTTGCCCACCTCCCCCACTTGGTGTCTCTGAACGCTGATGCTTGGTGTGGATTTTTGGCATGCCTGCTGACTCGCAGTTCCTCAAAAGTGGCATGCTGTCTCTAGTCTCTGTTCCTGTTTCCCAGAATGCTGTTTTCTGGAATACTGTTTTATCTTTGCTCACATGAAGAATTTCGCTTTATCTTTCAAGGCTCAGCTCAGTTGCCACCCCTGGGAGAAGTGTTTCCTGGCCTCTCATGCTTTCCTCATGTAGACTTCATGCTCCTCAGGAACACCTCGACATCAGCACCTGCCTCCCTTCTAAGGTCATATGTCTGCATGTCTTCCGAGGAGCTCATGGAAAACCATGAGTATGGGCCCTGTACATAGCACAGTGTAAGCCCACACCTGTGAATAGCAGCTGCATGAATAAATGCATAGATGAGAGAAAAGAAGAGGGGGCATTAAAATCACACTACACTTCCACAAATGCCCCCTCCCCCTCCACACTAGCACAAGCACAGAGGTGTCATTCTGGGTTCTCAAGGAGGTAAATAAAGCCCCACGTAGGCATGCACTAATTCATTTCATCATTCAGTCATCTTTTACTCACTGAATGGAACACCTACTACCCATTTATTAACTTATTCAAAACTACTTGCGCTGTTGTAGCTGCTGAGAATTCAGCCTGAGAAAAACAGGCAAAGCCCCTGTCTTTAAGAACCTTATATTCTAGTGGGAAGAAACAGACAATAAAGGAAATATTTACTGCGTCAAATTTTGATCTATGTTTTGTGAAGGAAGAAAGAGCAAGGCCAGTGGTCAGATCGTGTAGGGCATTTTAGGTCATTGTAATGTGTTACTCTGCATGAGCAGAGGGGTGACTGACTTGATCTCATTTATAGTTTAAAAGGCTCACTGTGTCTGCTGTGTTGAGCGCAGCTTCTGAGCGGGAAGCGGTGGAAGCAGGAGACCCGCAGGGAGGCGGCTTCCTCCGGAGGACAGGGGATGGCATCTCACATCGGGGTGCTGGCAGTGAAGCCAGTGGAAAGTGGTAAGATTCTCAATATATTTGGAGGAACAGCCAACAGTCTTTGCTAATGGAGAGGATATAGGGTATATGAGAGAAAAAAAGACAAAGACGACTCCAAGGATTTTGTCCTGGATAACAGGGAGGATGCAGTGTCCATTCACTGACAGGGGCAGGACTCTGGGAGGGGCAGATCAGTGGGGAAGACCAGGAGTTGAGCTTGGACTATTCAGTTTGAGGTGCTCATTAGCCATGTACGTGATAGTATGGAATAGGCAGTTGGAGATATAAGTATGGAGGTTAGTGGAAGAGGTCCAAGCTGGGGATGAGAGTCTGGTGTCACTTACATGCTGGTGTGTGAGAAGGCCTTGAGACTGCTGGAAGCCACCTAGGGAGTGGTGACACAGAAGAGAAGCCACGTCCTGAGCCTTATGGCACTCCAATGGCAGGATGATGGGGAAGTAAGGAGGAACCAGCAAAGAAGACTGAGAAGCAGCAGCCAGTGATGTCGCAGAAGAAGAGAGGTCATAAGCAGGGACTGGAAAGAAGAGAAATGCCAGGATGAAGTAGGAGGGGCCCTGACAGGTATCAATAAATAAAAAGCAAAAGTAAAAGGTAAAATCACGGGGACTTGAAGTTTATGACAACTTTCTAGGAAGCTTTTCTATTTGTTTTAGGCCTATTTAGTACAATTAGCAGAGACAGCTGAGATTTTTAAAAATTTATTTTTACTCATAGAGGAAAAGAGGAAGAGAGGAATATAAAATTTATTTTTACTACTATTTATTTTACTATTTGACCATTTTTACTGCTATTTTCACTCACTCAAATATGGTTCCCCAAATAAAGTCTTTGCAGCAAAAAGAAAACTCACTTCAAAAGTATCATTCCAGGAATGTCAAATTGCCCAGAAAACCATCAGTTTGTGTATGCTGGCCAGAGGAGATCAAAGACGATCTAACAGAAGCTCCAGGGATGGTAAACAACTACCTTCAAGATTTTTTAAATGACTAAACACTGTCCAGATTTGTTATAGAAAGTGTTTGAGGTTGTGCTAGGGCCTAGCTCTCCAGAGTTCACCTCTTCTCTCTGAAGCTTCCCCCTGCTCTGGGTGGGTGAGACTTCCTGCTGGGAGTTGCCTGGGTTCTGGCCACAGACCAAAGCCTTTCTCTAAGACTGAGTCAAGTGGCACTTCCTGTCAATACTCAATCTGTCTGCAAGCTGCACGGAATGTCAACGCTCAATTCGAGCTCATCTAGACCAACACTGTCCAATACATATCATGTTGTGTATCCTGTCCAAATATACAGCTAGTGGCAAATGCAAGCCACATATGTAATTTAAAATTTCCAGTAGCCACATTTTAAAAAGTAAAAGATGATACAGGGTACAGGAGGGAGAAATTAGAATTATTTTTATTATTATTGCTTCTCGGCCTTTTGGCTAAGATCAATTGTAGAATTATTTTTATTAGAAGGTACTCACACCACCTGTGAAGTGATATAGTGCTATTTGAAAATGGATTTGGATTAGTTGTAAATGTATATTGCAAATTCTAGGCAACCATTAAAAAAAGTAAAAAATAAAAAGGTAAAAAGGAAAAAGTAAAAAGAACCACTAAAAAAGGAGAGAAAATGGAATCATATAAAATGTTCAACTTAAATGAAAAAAAGGCAGAAAAGATTGGAAGGCAAAAATAGGAAAAAAAAAACTAAGGGCAACAAATAGAAAACAGTAACAAATATGGAACATATTAACCCAACTATATCAATAATCACTTTGAATGTCAACCATCTAAATAAACCAATTAAAGGACAGAGATGGTCAGAGTCAATCAAAAAACAAGACCCAACAATATATTGTCTACAAAAAACCCACTTTAAATATAAAGACAAATCAGTTAAAAATAAATGGATGGAGAAAAATATATCATGTTACCACTAATCAAAAGAGCATAAATAGCTATGCTCATTTCAGACAGAGCACACTTCAAAGTAAGAAAAGTTATCAGGGATAAAGAAGGGCAATGATAAAGAGGCCAATTCTCCAGG